>NC_000002.12:6979696-7282727 GCF_000001405.40 Homo sapiens | reverse complement strand
AGAAACAAGTAACTGACATTTTCAGACACCTGGTGGGATATGGGCTTGGTTTGATTAGGTAATTGCATTGGTCAGGATAGGCTTAAACAACAAGCACTCAAACCTCCTTTATGCTAATTGTCCACACTGCTTCTGCAGGGACCTGATCTCCATCATCACAATTTCACTCTAGTACTCTGGGTGAAAGAACAGTTTCTACCTGGGACATTGCTGGTTACTGTGGAAGAAGGAAAAGAGTGTGGCAAAGCACATGCTAGATTTTTAAGTTTTTTCCCCATAAGTGATGTGCTCTATTTTGCCTTATGATTGTGACATTTCACTGGTCACGGCAAGCCCCATGGCTATACTGTTTTGATGGTATGTGGAATCAAATTTATCATAAGCCCATTGAGAGAACAAGAAACAAAATCCTTCTAAGGAACTCCAGTGCTACCCCAGCACAGTGGGCAGCTGACCTAAGAAGCTGGTGCTGGAGTCAGGAAAAGACAAGAAGAGGGCTCAGTGATGCCCTCAGAGAAGCAAGGAACAAGGACAGGCAGGCTGAGAAGGCTCTCACCCCAGGCAGGGAGGGTGCCAGCCACAGCAACATGGGTCTCCAGAGTTCACAGCATCACCTCTAGTTAAGATTCTCACAAATTTCTATCTGACCAAACTTGTAAGTTATTGAATAGTGGCACCACTCCTCAGGCTCCAGAGAGTCCTTCTAGGGCCTGAGAGCCACCCACAGTGTCCCTCAAAAGGGGTCACACAGACACCAGGGAACACGTCATTGTCTCATAAATTACTTCCCTTAAAAAAAAGCACTGAAATTTCCTGTGAAAACATGCAAGAGTAGAACTGAAATGCTAGATGCACACCTGCATACTGAGAAGGTTTTCACTGCTTTATACTTTTTTACAAAAGCACACCCACAGTTCCATCATTTTCTTGTGTTTTCTTGTTTCCCCAGGAGAGGCATGCTAGGTCCGAGCCCTTTCTTTCTTCTGACTGGCAGGAAATCTGGCCACCATCTCTAGGACAGCTGGCTCCATGCTCCCCTCAAGGGTCTAGGTAACTCAGACCTCTGTGGTTGCTTCGTGCTTCAGCAGCTAAGCCAGAGTCAGCACCACTGTTAAAAACACCAGTTGTTAAAGATGAAACAGAGATTGGAGCAGGTGGGCTGTGTTGGCTGAGATGTGACACCTACCAAATCTGCAGAGAAAAAGAACTTCACGGTGCAGTTCACTGCACTTTAAAACACACACACACAGACACACACACGCACACACAGACACACACACACACACACAGACGTGCATCTAGTTGGAGCCAAAAACAAAGAATGAGCGAGCCAGAAAGGGAGAGTGCCGACAGCACGAAGGCAGCTTGTCTCTCTGGGCTCTGCCTTGAGAAATGCCAGTATGCAAAAATCTGAAATATGGATTGCTGATTTATTTATTCTATCTATCTAAACTTCTGGAGGGTGGAGATCTTGACTTTTCATCTCAGCATCCTGAGCCCTGGACATTGCCTTTGGGTCCACAAAATATGTTGAATGAAGAAAGAGTGGGGGGATGAGAGAGAGAGAGAGAGAGAGGGAGAGAGAGAGAAGCAATGAGAGGAGAGAGATTTCTTTGTTTCACAAAAGAATTCACTGTGAGGCCCCCTTAAACAGTATGCCTATGGGGCCTCTTGGATGGCTCCTTAGAAACAACTACCTACCTGACACATGGGCAAAAATGAGAAATGAAATTAAAATAGTTTCTATTTCTATAGCACTTTCGTACACGCCTTCTCTTCTGGTTCTCATGGGTCTCTTGGTTCCCTGATTCCAGCTATAGTATAATAGGTTTGGTTTGGTTTGTTCTTACATGATATTGGTAACAGACAAAGTAAACAATACAATATCTCACAATCTATTCCAGTAAGAAAGCGGACAATATAACTCAGTGTATTAAAAAAGTTAATTAATTTTTATTTATTGATTGACTTGATAAATATATTCTAAATGCTTACCATACACTAGACTTTGTGGTAGGGGCCCGTTTTAGTTCATAATCTGCAAGACGTAGCATACAGCATGAATTTGTAAAGTAATAAACACACTGAGGGGATGGCTTTGGTTTTATTATTTATTTTTGTACTATGTGTAAAGGGATGATGATACATACTTGAAACATTAACATGAGGGAAAAATAAGAAAACACCCAGTACCTGCTGGGCACACGGCAGGTACTAGATAAAGCTTTATTTTCTTTCTCTTTAATAATTCATAAATTATGGCCAGATTAACTGATTAGTTAACACATTTACTATTGTTATTATAAAAAATATGCTGTAAGTATCAGAATTTCAAAGGTATTTGTTTTCATCAACCAACCTAAATTTGCTAAAGAAACACAACACCTACCCAGTTGTGGGCTAGACTATGAGTTCTAGAGGAGTCTCACTGCAGGTGCTATGAGGCCTCAAAGGACTGTTCACTGTGGGCTAAGCTCATCAGAAAAATATTCTTAGAAGAGGTAAGCTTAGAAATACAGAAGAAGCTGGATGCGGTGGCTCACGCCTGTAATCCCAGCACTTTGGGAAGCCAAGGTGGGTGGATCACGAGGTCAGGAGTTTGAGACCCGCCTGACAAACATGGTGGAATCCTGTCTTTGCTAAAAATACAAAAATTAGCCGGGCATGATGGCAGGTGCCTGTAATCCTAGCTACTCAGGAGGCTGAGGCAGGAGAATTGCTTGAATCTGGGAGGCAGAGATTGCAGTGAGCCAAGATCATGCCACTGCAGTCCAGCCTGGGCAACAGAGCAAGACTCCATCTCAAAAAAAAAAAAAACGAAAAAAAGAAAATAGAAATACAGAAGAAATACGAGGCAGTTTCATGAAGGGGAGATGGATACAACATGTCTCTGGCAAGGAGCTTGATATGAGCAGAGTTCCACCAGGCCGACTTATTTAGCAAACAGTCAGGTGCCTAATCTCGACTCTCACAGCAGTAGATTTCCATTGCCTCATTTATTTATCACTCACTTGCGGAGGATGTCTACCGGGAAATGTGTTTATAAAGCAGCCATGTATTAGGAGATGAAGAAAATCCAGTCACAGTTCCTCCTCAGAAGTTTAGGTCATGTTTTATAATGAAGGAATGTCAATGTTTATTTTAGGGATCAATTTGGTATACGTCATGTCTTTGTTGAACACCATCCAAACTCCAGAGCATTGATGCATTTATTCATTAACTTATTTTTTAAACATACCAGAAAGACCATGTTAGGTGAAAAGTAATTTAAAATTTAATTATTTTCTACCACTGCCTTCAAACCTGCTCTGTAATATCTTTTCACTGCATTATTCAGACTTCCCCAAATAAATAAAACCAATAGGAGAAATGATAAATAAATAGATAGATGATGGATAGATGGATTGATGGATAGATAGGTAGATAAAATAGAGTAGATAGATGATAGTTGATAGATGATACATGATAGATGACTGATGATAGAGATAGATGGATGAGAGAAAGATAGGATAATAGATAAGATAGATGATAGATAATAGATAGATGATAGAAAGATAGGATAATAGATTAGATAGATGATAGATAATAAATAGATAGATAGATAGATAGATAGATAGATAGATAAACAGACAGATAGATGATAGATTTGTTATGATAATTGGCTTGTATCATCATGGAGGCTGTGAAGTCACACAATCTACCCTCTACAAGCTGGAGAGCCAGGGAAGCCAGGGTGTCATTCAGTCCAAGTTCAAAGGCACAAGAACCAATAGCACCAATATTTAAGGGCAGGAGAGAGTGGATGTCCCAGGTCAGAGAGAATACATTTGTTCTTCCTCTGCCTTTTTGTTGTAGTTGGGCTTTCAACAGATTGGATGATGCCCTCCCGCATTGGTGAGAGCGGATCTTCCTTACTTAGTCCACTGATTGAAATGCTAATCTCTTCCAGAAACTCCCTCCCAGACACACCGGAATAGTGTTTTACCAGGTATCTGCATATCCCTTAGCCTCGTCAAGTTGACACATAAAATTAGTCATCACACTCACCAATAAAACACAGTCCCACAACTTATCACTTTTAGATATTAACAAACATTCTCATTTTTAGGTGTTAAAAATTGCAGTCAATTTTAATATCAAAACCTCAGCCTTTCATGCAATATAAAGTTTTGTCTCTCATTTACCAGTACAGGCCAGATTTGTGATCCTGAAGATTAGTAAATGAAGAGAGGCAAAGTTGGCTTCTTTGCTCTCCTCTCTTAATGTTATTTTTATTTTTTTTTTTTTTGAGACATGGTCTCAGCTGTTGCCCAGGCTGGAGTGCAATGGTGCAACCATGGCTTGCTGCAACCTCCACCTCCAGGGCTCAAGCAATCATCTCACCTCAGCCTCCTGAGTAGCTGGGACCACAGGCATGTGCCAGCACACCCAGCTAATTTTTAAAAAAATTTTTGTAGAGACAGGGTCTCTGTATGTTGCCTAGCCTGGTCTTGAAATCCTGAGCTCAAACAACCCTCCTACCTCAGCTTCTCAAAGTGCTGGGATTATAGGCATGGGCAACCATACTTGGCCTCTCAATAACTTTTAAGTTACTGATTCCTGCAAGTTCCTAAAGAGAAAGAAATGGTTAAAAAGGTGAAAATGACATTACCATTTTTATTGAAATAAGATATAATCAATTATAAAATGCAACAGAATTTCAGTAAAATATATGTCCACACACATACACAGAGTACTTTATTAATTCTAAAGCGACATCTCTCTCACCAATGAGACACCACTACTCATGTATTAAAAAATGATTTTAAGTTAATATTACCAAGTGCTGGAAAAGAGGTGAAAAAACTGAAATTTTTATACACTGTGCCTGCTGGGGTAAATGCAAAATTGTAGAGCCACTTTAAAAATTGTTTGGCAATTTTTTAAAACATAGACACAGGCTTGCTATATAGCCCATCAATCCCACTCCCAGGCATTTACCCAAGAGAAATGAAATCTTATGTTCACACAAAAACCGGGAAGTGAATGTTGACAGCAGCCTTATCTCTAATTGGAAAAAAAAAATCGGGAGAAAACCAAATATCTTTCTATGGGTAAATGAATAAAAAGCTATAGTACATTCATAGATTATTACTCAGCAATAAAAAGGGCTGATTGTCAAATGCATTTTGCTAAGTGAAAAAAGTAAAGAGGCTATAGACTATATTATTCCACTTACGTAAGAATCTACAAAAGGCACAAATGCAGAGTGGTGAAAATCAGTTTGGGAATGGGAGAAGGAGTTAATGACAAAGAGCCAGCCCAAAGGAATTTGGGGCCATGATGGAACGTTTCTGTATTTTGATCGTGGTCATTCATTCATTTGTCAAAACTTATAAAGTGGAACAGCACAGAGAGTGAATTTTGTTGCATGTAAATTGAAAAAGAAATGAATAAACACATCCTGTTACAGAGCATTCACTCATACATTCAAGTCCCCATTCTTCATGTGTATTTTATGCCAAGAGATAAAAATGAATGATCAATAATAATCTCTGACGAAGCCACACCTGGTAGAGGAGCTCATGTTCTAGTTTCACTCCAAAAGCCCTGAGAGAGGCTCGGCTCAGATCCTGGGAAGGTGCCTGTGAAGTTGATCATGAGATTTATTAAGGATGTATTTATTTAAGGTTATCTGCACATCCCCAAGCACCTGGTATATTCTCCCTTTAATTTTACACACAACTGAAGAGCAAATGCTTTCCTTCATTCATCTGGGATCACTAAGTAATTAATGGTGTATGTCCTTCAGTTGTGATTTCATTAGTTATGAATGTTTTGTTTTATAAAGGTGTTCTTTTCCTCTCTGCTGGGGGAAAAAAAGGACAGTTAATGGCATTGCTAATGATATTGATGATTAGATATCTTTTTACATTTAAGAATACAGTACTTTTCTTTTCTTGAAATGACATCTTCTATGATGAGAACTCCCTTTTATTATGCAATTTTGGCCTTTCTAATCCCATGATTCAAATTAAATTGTAAATCCTCTGTATTAAAAAAGAACAGTTTTTTAATAAACTGTTCTTTTATTAGTTTATGAAGGATATGTTATGAAGGAAGTTATGAAGGATGAAGGTGCAACGTCTTCATCCAGAGCTGCCGTTCTCCTCTTGAAGAATGTTCAAAATTGTATCTGCATATATTCTCTATGGTTTAAACCATGGTGATGTATAGAAACACATGTAAGGAATAAAATAGACTCTAGCCCAGCTCTTGTCTGGCCCAAGGCATCTAGGAAGTGAATGATTCTATCATGAGATTATAAGGAGGCCTTTCTAACATATTAGGGAGAATCTGTCTACAATCTGTGCTAGCTAAAATAATACACTCGTGTCATTTTACCTGTGATTGCTAGCGCAAAGCCCTGCCATAGAACTTGTCTACGTGGCATTAGTAGGAACAACTATTTCCCTTAATAGCCCACTTCCTAATTTGAAATGCTTCCAGGCCAAACGATACGGTATCAATAACAAAGGTGAATAGTGAAGTGTCTGCAGTTTGACTTCTTGCAGCTTTGGCATGGGTTGGCTTAGAACAGCTTTTTCTTTCACCCAGCTATTATCCAGGTCATTCCCAGCATAAGCATTTCACCTTCACTGACAGTCTCCTCTCAGCATCAATACAATGTGCTACTGAGGATCAATAGAACTGAAAGATCCTTTGCCTCCCAGGAGCTTGCTGTCTACATCAGAGAGAATAGCAACGTAAGAGAATTTAGAGATGGGTGGGAATAAGTAAATGCATGATTAAGAATCGCAGGGGCCAGGCACAGTGGCTCACGCCTGTAATCCCAAAACTTTGGGAGGCCAAGGCAGGCAGATCACGAAGTCTGGAGATCGAGACCATCCTGGCCAACATGGTGAAACCCTGCCTCTACTAAAAATACAAAAATTAGCTGGGCATGGTGGTGCATACATGTCATCCCAGCTACTCGGGAGGCTGAGGCAGGAGAATCGCTTGAACCAGGGAGTCAGAGGTTGCAGTGAGTGGACATCGCAGCACAGCACTCCAGCCTGATGACAGAGAGAGACTTTGTCTCAAAATAAAAAAAGAAAAAGAATGGCAGGATAAATAATGAAAGCAATACTTGCTTATTTTACACACGGGGAGTTTCTTAAATAGCTTTGTTTATATTATCTATTGATAAATCCAGCCACCTTTGTCCTCAGCCAAAGGACATTCCTTTTTTCTTATCAAGCATTTCAATTATGTAATTGCAAGATATTTACCAACCACTCTCTAGGAATCCACAATAGAATTAAGAAAACAAAGGCATGTGCATATAAAATCGCTAAAAAATAATACAAGGCCAGATAAACTTAAGAATTTAAAAAGGTAGCAGACACAGAAGCAACAAAGGCTATAGAAACTTAGGGAAACAGGAGAATGAAGCCTCCAGACTGGCTAGGAGCTCCCCGGGAAGGAGGTCAGCCTGCACTGAGAAGAAGAAGGATAGTATTACAAAATAGGAGAGGCACTTTTATGTACATTTGAAATTTCTGTAAGTTCTGCAATGTTTGGAATAACATTATTCTCAGCAATGAGGAAAACAGCTTCTGGAAAGCTCAGATTCATTTCCTTCAATCTTTTCTGGCCCAGGGTCTTGCCCGAGCACCTTCCCAGCAAAACCAGAGGAGTGCACGGATTGTGTCCTCCTTGGGTCGTGAAACCACCTCTGCACACACTACTTTTTCCAGAAAGATGGACTGGAAGATAAGCCAGTCTCAGTGTCAGTCTCAGACACATTCTGGGGATCACATGGAATAGAGGGCAGGCAGATCCTTGAAGAAAATGGAGTGGTGGTCACTGGCAAATGACGGTGATGTACCACACCTTTCTACCCACTCCCCCCACCATGAAGCCCACCACGCTTACCCTCGGCAAGTCAGTCTTCTTACTGTTTCCTCTTCATGCCATGTTTGTTCCTGACTCTAAGGCCAAGACTTTGCTCACATTGTTTGTCTCTGCTAGAACCTTCCCTCTTTTCTGATACTAACCATTTCTTCAGGCTCAAGGCAAGCTGACCTCCATGGGGGATTCCACGCTAGTCCAGACACTTCTGTCTCTGCTCCTTGGAGGTTCTAGAGCTCCATATTCAAAGCACATCCATGTTTCCTTCACTGAGATTCCCCAGGACTTAAAATTTTACCACATCCTCTCCTTCACTCACTTTATCTACTGTGTGTGTGTGTGTGTGTGTGTGTGTGTGTGTGTGTAGGACATATCCATTATCTATGGTTTGTTTTTCTTAAACCATTTGAAGGCAGGGCAGAGACATGAAGCTCCATCATTCCTAAATTCTCCAGTATGTATTTGCCCAAATTGTAACCATCCTCCAACTCCCCATGTCTGAATACCAACATGGTAGCCACATTCCCATCCAATCTAGAGATCCCATTCAAATTTCACAACTGTGCTACAATATCTCATTTTTCTCTCTGACCCAGAATCCCATACAGGAATGTGCATTGCATTAATTCTCATGTCTCCTCAGTCTTCTCCTACATGGCAAGGATGACCCCAAGCCGACGTCCAGCATTTCCTCACACGTGGGCAGATTCAGGTCATGCTTTCCTGGTAAAAATCCCACTGGAAGGATGTTGTGTTCTCCTCTGTGTATTACATGAAAGGCATGTGATGCTTGCCCCTCTTATTCACTTTGGTCACCTGGTCATGTTGGTGCCTGCCAGGTTTCTCCATTGTAAAGCCATCATTTCCCCCCTTTTTAATTTATTAGCATTTTCTAGGGTGATATTATGTCAATAACCTGTTCCTCATCAAACCTGTACTCACCAGCACAGTCCCCTCAAAGAACATTCACCCAAATCAGCTGCTACTGTGATGGCTGCTACAAGGAGATTTTCTGTTTACGTCATTCCTACTTCTTTGGCATTTATTATCCAGCATTCTATTGTAAGGAAGGGCTTCCTGTTAATTCATTTGCCCACTTTTTCATTCATTTATCTACTTTATCTACTTAAATTTGTATGAAATCATGTATTTCTATTTTATTCAATTTGTTTATTCCTCTAATTATTCATTTATGTTCAAATTTTCCCAGATTTACCTACTGGGAGCCCTGAAGATGAATTATGTGCCCCTTTGACATAGTCTCATTTTTTTAAAAAACGAATGGACTGTTGTTTTTGTAAGAATTTTCATGGCCAGGCACAGTGATTCATGCCTATAATCCCAGCACTTTGGGAAGCCAAGGCGGATGGATCACCGGAGGTCAGGAGTTTGAGACCAGCCTGGCCAACATGGTGAAACTCCATCCCTACTAAAAATACAAAAATCAGCCAGGTGTGGTGGTGCACGCCTGAAATCCCAGCTACTCAGGAGGCTGAGGCAGGAGAATTGTTTGAACCTGGGAGGCAGAGGTTGCAGTGAGCCGAGATCGTGTCACTACACTCCAGTCTGGGTGACAGTGCGAGACTCCGTCTCAAGGAAAAAAAAAAAAAAAAAAGGAAGTTTCAGGTTTACATAAAAATTCAATAGAAAGTACAGATAGTTCTTTTACACCCCCTCACTACCTCCCTCCTCCCCTGTTTCCCTCATTGTTAACATCTTTGATTAGTGTGGTACTTTTTTACGTTTCTATATATTTTAATTAGAAAATTTCATTAAATGTATGTAAAATTAAGAAAAGTAAGAATATAAAGTGATTTGTCCTATCGCGCAGAAAAACAATTAAATTTTCTATATTCATAATTTAAGGACCATATTTATGAAATATTTTGAAACCAGGAGAGATACATGATGAACATTTTTCTAAATAGTTAAATACTACATTGCACTGGTGAGTTTTAAATGAGAAGACAATGAAAATATATCTCCACTGGAGGATTAAGAAGAGTGTAAGAAACACCTGGCACTTTTTTGAAATATATACCCACTCAGCTCAGAGATTCTGGTAAGATGCCAGAGCAGTCCAATCTTTTGTAGTACTTGGGTCATGCCCTACTGGGGTAAACTGTATACTAACCATCAAATCACTGTTTCCTGTTACGGAAGAAGCACAGGCACAGATCTTAGATCCCAGGCTCAGATGAAGCAAAGCGACTTGCTTTGGCCAACAGAATATGAGCTGACATGATTTATACCAATTTAAGTACACACGTTTTGAGTCATTGCAACTTTTCTCCAGCCTCTTGAAGTTCTGTGAGCCACCATGAGAATAATGTATGCCAGATAGTAGCTTTATCTTTGGCCTGGATGCTGAATGACTTAGCCCAAGCTGCAGACTGGAGCCAAGCCAAACGGAGGCAAGCAGAGCCCAGAAGAGTCACCATAAACATGTAGACCCATGAGTGAGAAGTAAGCACTTATTGCACAAGCCACTGATATGTTGTGGTTGCGTGTTACTGCAGCAAAGTTGACTAATACAGCTGTAAGCTATTCAGCTGTGGAATAAATGCCAAGGAAAGTGATCCTTACATCATCTTTGCTTTATTGAAATGTAATTCACATACAGTTTTGACAGGTGATCCTGTTTCTCCAAGCAGCAGAGATTACAAAGAGGTATTAAGAATCACTTAGATTTTTAACACCTATTTAATCACTATTTATTTATTTTGAGACAGGGTCTCACTCTGTCACCCAGGCTGGAGCGCAGTGGTATAATCAGGGCTCACTGCAGCCTCGACTTCCCAGCCTCAGGTGACCCTCCCACCTCAGCCTCCTACGTAGCTGGGACTACAGGTGCACACCACCATGCTCAGCTAGTTTTTTGTAATTTTTGTAAAGACAAGGTTTTGCCATGTCACCCAGGCTGGTCTCGAACTCGTGAGCTCAAATGATCTGCCCACTTCAGTTTCCCAAAGTGCTAGGATTACAGGTATGAGCCACCTTGCCTGGTTATAATCATTATTCTTTATTGAACTGGTTTCTCTAAACACACACACAAATAAATACTGGGAACGTACAGTCATGGTACTGTAATTATGATTTCACCAAATGAAAGGGTTCCAAAATATGACAGCTCATCAGACTCATTTGGGAAAATAATAAACAAATTACAAATCCCTGGGCTGAGCTCACCCAAATTAACTAACTGAGAAGCTCTGAGTTTGGGTTTTGTATGACCTGCCTAGCTGCTTTTTACCCAGCCAGCCAGGCACAGTTTGAGGATCAATTTAATCACTTCATTTTATACATGAGCAAGGAGATACTCAAGAAAATTTAAAGCAATGAATTGGAAAAGGACAATTGGAGAGATTTACTAGGAAACTAGAGGCATGGCCACCAATTGTCTAGCACCCCAGAAGAAGGCAAGCATGGTTATGTGGCGATATACATTAGAACCCACTAAAATAACATTTTGCTCAAGAAAATTTTATGTTATGTTTCAGTGCTGTAGCACTAATCACATTGCTTTATAATTTTGCTTCCTCATTTGCTCCTTCAATGTATGAATGGAAACAAATAAAATGTTTGTAAATGTATTTATAATGAATGGATGAATGGGCAGATGGGTAGGTGAACATAATCTATTTCCAAAACATGATATTAGAGACATTTTTAAATTTTAAATCTAGATCTTAAAAAGGTAAAGTTTTGGCTACCTGGAAAAATTCTTTATGGACCCTATCTCACCCTCTCAACAAATGAATGAGATCTTACTTTTCCATTTCTAGATGCATTCATGGGAGTGTAGATGAGTAACAGTAGTGCACACAACATCAGCCCTCCACAAAACTGCCTTTCCTATAAATATTATTTTTCAAGGAGACAATCTTGTACATAGAGGAGAGTATAAGACTGGGAGTCAGCCAAAGTCATTAAGTGCACTTGGAGTCTTCCCCTTACTATGACCTTAGGAAGGTTCCCTCCCTTCTCAGCTTTCGTTTCCTTATCCATAAAATGGAGATAATACCTACATTATAGAGCGTGGCATGGTAAGAATCTGGCAGTAAATAAATAGCCTAGGCCAGGGTCTGGCACATGTAAGGTGATCAGCAAATGTGTTCTCAGCATCCCTTTCCTGGCTCAATCCTCACTGCTTCCCTTGATGTCTTCTTCCAGAAGAAACACTCATGGGTGCTTGATAAGTAGCCTTGAATCATATTTTGAAACTGACTCTAAGAAGCAAAGCCGTGTATAGTACACATTGGTGCCCAGAGCAACGTAGCCTTATTGAAGTCATTTCAGATTTCACTTGAATAATGTTTTCTTCCCAGGTGCAGAAGATCTTACTAGTGTTCACTCAACCTTTGAATTTTATTATGGAGTGACAAACAAGTGTTTGTGTGGGTGTTTCTGTGAGGAACTTCTCCAGCCCACCCAACGCTCATGCAAAGCCTATGGCTCCCATCCCTACTTGGCACTTCCCCAAGCCCCAACCTGTGGGTTGATTTGCGGGGAGGAGAGAGTGTGTTTATTTTTTTAACCTCCCCTACTCCAAAGAATGAAAGCGTCATTTTTCCATCATTGTTTTGGAGAGTTTAACAGCACTAACGGGGCTAATGGGACCACACCCCGAGAGGCACAGCAGGAGTGTCCTTGCAAGGCAGAAGTGGATGAGATCCTGCAAAGCCACCCCTGCAGACCAGCAGCCACCTGGCTTGCAACAAGGGTGACACAAGATACTTCCAAAGAGGCAGGCACCAGCAGCTGCTCCGGCATAGCCACTTGGCGGCTCCAAGCTGGGAACAGCAGGTATCAATCTCCAGGCAGGAAAGGCTGGAACCTGCTACATTTTCCCTACACACTAAAGCATGTATGCATGCACACACATGCAAACACTCCCCCACACATTCATACAGGCACATTCACACCCACGCAAATACATGTGCACGTGCACACACGCACACACACACACACACACAAACCTGGGTTCATCAGCAGCTATTTCCACACAAGGCAATTTTTCCCCAGGAGTATTAAGAACTTGTGAAAGGCAGAAAATAAATGCTGCTCATTTTTTACCCCTTGACAACATTCTTCTGAGCAAGAAGCTAGGAGAGTGGAGAGGAAGAGTTAAAATAGTAGAATATCAAAATCTTATGAAAACATCACTGAACTGGCAGATCTCTCCTACCAGAAGTATGACTTTCTGAGAGTCAAGTTGAAGTCCTTAACCTGGTATTCTGGGGCTCATGGCCTGGCCTCTGCCCCAGGTCCCCTGGCACCACTCCATACAACTGCTGTAAGTCCTACAATTGCCATGCACATTCTTAGGTACTACTTGGAGGGGCTCACATTGTTTCTTGGACATGGTGAACTCATAGGCATACTTCAAAACCCAGTGCAGATTTCTTGCCTCTGTGTAGAGATTTTCTCCTTAACCCCCATCTCTGCCCATGATGGGCAGGCGTCATCGTCCCTACTGTATTTGCAGAAGCTACTAGGTTCTTGGTATATGTCATCTCTCTTTCACAACAACGATGCTGAAATATATTTTACTTGCCATTCTTATCTCACATTTGAGGAAAATGAACCTCACAGAGGCTTGTGGAATTATCCAAAGCCGCCTCACTTCTAAGTGGTGAAACCAGCATTGGACTTCTATATCGGGCTGCAATAACCGGTTCCGTCTCATGCGCCACTTTGCCTCTTTCTCAGCTCCCATGGTGTTGAGTGGAAGCCTTTATTACAGCACTCTTTACAGTGATTGCATTTAGCTGTGTAGAAACATGTTCTGTGCCCCACACTTTTGCTAGACCTTGGACTTATTGGGAACAGGGCACGTGCTTTTTCCATCACTATCCCATGCTCCATGGTGGCTGAATATATGACAAGTGCTTGTCATCCCTGAGAACCAACTTTCTCTGTCACCAATAATAAGAATGTCTTACACTTGGGAAACTCCTTCAAGATTATGAAGTACTTTTACATTTCATCCTAAGGCTATTATTGTGAGGTAGATAGAGAAAATGGAATTTTTAGACAACAGCATTTGTATTTTACAGATAAAGAAACGGAGGGTCACCTGTAATCCCAGCACTTTGGGATACCAACGGGGGAATGGATCACCTGATATCAGGAGTTTGAGACCAGCCTGGTCAACATGGTGAAACCCCGTCTCTAATAAAAATACAAAAAAAAAAAAAAAAAAAAAAATAGCCGGGCATGGTGGCGGACGACTGTAATCCCAGAAGAATTGATTGAACCCAGGAGGCAGAGGTTGCAGTGAGCCGAGATCGCGCCATTGCACTCCAGCCTGGGCGATGAGCCAAACTCCGTATCAAAAAAAAAAAAAAGAAAAAGAAACAGGGGATTACAGTGGCTGACATGCCCAAGCACACGATGCCAGGAAGAGCCAGAGGAAGGACTAGAACACTTGAGCCAGGCTTCAAGTTCCAAATCGCTGCACCGCTAAAAGCTACCCCCTCGGTGGCTCAGTGTGTGATTTTCATTATGAAGCAGATTGGAACATGTCTGATTCTCAGTGGAGGCCACAGTGTTCCCCGTCACACAGTACTAGGGATGAGTTCTGCATATCCCGTGTCAGTCTGTGTTCATCCCAGCACGTACCTGCCCAACAAAATGTGTGCTTCCTTCATCTGGATCTTCTTTAGAAACAGTGCAAACAACTTACGGCAATTTCATTAATTATTTATTTTGCTCCTTCTTTTTCCAAGGAATCTTAGCAGTGATATAACATGGCAATGCAGAAAAAAATCCTTATAAATGCTGGCATGAAGTATCTTCAGAGCATTTTGAGGTCTGCTTCCTTCCAGTTGTAAAATGATGGTTTCCAGACTGCGCCCGTGAGGGGGCCACCACCCCTTCCCCAGTTCTGTTTGCATCTGTCTGCTTATCTCAAAGGCTG
Organism: Homo sapiens; assembly: GCF_000001405.40. NCBI lineage: Eukaryota > Metazoa > Chordata > Mammalia > Primates > Hominidae > Homo > Homo sapiens. The sequence goes on along the minus strand of NC_000002.12, from coordinate 7,267,912 downwards.
TGTCATGGGAAGTGGAAAAACTTCTGGAGAAAAGCAGTCCAGCGTGTGTGTGGTGGGGGGGCGTTGAGACCCTGCTGGGGGGTTCTGTGGAGTGGAGATCGGGGAAGGATCTGAGCATACTGAGCTGAACAAAGGAGCTGGGGACAGGCCAGGCACTACTCAGGAGAAGATTCTCTCCTGAATAAAGACCAAGACTGACAAACCAGGCACTGTCCAAAAACAGTGTGCACTGCCAGAGGAGAAGGACTGTGACTGTGTGAAGCAAAGAGAGCGGCTACACTCGGGAGTCCAGGACGTTGTCCCTCAGAACCCCTTTTCAAGGAATCAACACTGGAGAGAGAACCCTTTGCTCAGGACTCCTGGGGGAGCACGCCTTCTACTGAGGCAGCAGCAGCAGCCTGATCCTGAGCAGCCAAGGCTCAAAGGGAACAAAATACAGCGCAGAGGTGTCACTCAGAGCAGTGGCCCAGCAGACGGGCACTCAGTCAGAGCCCAGACAGCAGCCCCGAGCAAGGGAGCAGAGGGAGCCACTCCTTGCCCATCTCCGACCCCTGTCCCATCTACGGAAGGCTATGGAGAACAAGAGAGGACCAATGACATCATCTAGCTCGGGCTGACCTGAGTGTCAGGCCTTCCTTATGGTGAAGGGAGACTTGCCCCCTGAGTCTTGTCAGTTTCCCTCCCACCTCTGCTGAACCCTGATGGTGATCGCAGGCAGTGAAAGGCATAGGATGCAGAGACACGGGGTCAAACTAGACCCCCAGTCCTGGGGCCCACCTTCTACTCAGGTTGGCTGACTCCTCAGTCTCCTTGTTTTCAGAGCAAACCACATTGAGGGCGACCTCAGCTGTGAGTGGGATCAGAGATCCAACTGGACACCAGCTCACAGCGTGGAGCAGGGAACATTCTCCGACTTCCACTCGGGAGAAAAGGCTCTGAATTACTAAACTCAAGGCTGTTTTACAAAATTATCTTAAGATATCAATAAACAAACATAGATCTTTTCCCTTAGTCTTAAATAAAATGGTATCCCACTGATCTCCCTCCTTTCGCTAGTATAAGAACATACTACTTCTCATTCCCAAGTTATAGACAACATGTCTTTTAAAATATGTTAAACAAATTTCTACATTTGGTTCTAAAAATGGATAGTAATGATCATTATCATCCTTGGTTTAAAAAACTAAGAATCTCATCACCTGAAAAACATGCACACACAGTGTATCGTGGAGCTGAAAGAAGACAGCACAGCTTAGATTTCTCACTGTATCTGGAGGGAAGGAGGAACATTGTTAGAGAGCCTCAGAAAACAGACGATAATTGCCTCAGTTTTTCTTATATACTTATTCTCAAAATTGCAGCTAGGACAAATAAAATATGTACCTTCCTAATATACGTAACAATTCACTGGTGTTTACACAGCCATGTGACCGAATCCAGCCTACCTTTGAACTTGGTGAATGGAGTTTTACTGGGGCCCACCCACACCCATCGGTTTAGGTGTCATCCCTGGCTTCATCCGTGCCACAGCAGCAGAATGGGGTAGCTGTGACAGGGTCTAGATGGCCCTCAAAGCCAAACATATTTACTATCTGGCCCTTTGCAGAAAAAGTTTGCCAACTGCAAAGAACCATCAAAGCACTGTGAGTCAGCACAGATATTTTTGGCTCTATCATGCGATAGTAAATTGCCTGGCATTGGAAGTGTTCAAGTTTAGGTGGCTATGGGTCAACGTACTGAACCCAGGATCCCCACCTCAGCACAGAAGCTCCAATCTAGGGTCAGGACCCGGATCTTCTCAGTCATGCTCTTATAACGCACTTTTCACCATTGTCCCTAAAAGGACCTCCTGATTGTTAACGTTTAAGATTTGGGGCACAGAAGAAAATGGTCACCACATCAATTATAAGCATGTGATAAGCTTATGTCACATAGTAGAGTACTTCACCCTCCTAACTTAATTTATGCTTGCTACTGTACTAGAAATCCTCTGATATTAAGGAACCTGAACTCAGGAAAACAGCATTTATTGAATTAGAAGCCAAGCATCAGGAGAGGTAATTTCATAACGTTTTCGTTATTCCACAGATCGGAAACAATCCTTTTTCTTGAGGGAGAAATTGAGGCTCAGAGCTTTGATAACGTTCCCACAGTTACTGGGAAGTCAATGGCGTAATTGGCACAGGAGCCGGGTCTGTGGGTTTCTAGAGCCCTGAGGCCGTTCCAGGAGATGTCCCCCTGCCACTGGTCAGAACTGAGTCCTCAACTAATTACAGCCAAGGATTCCACCTCATCATCCCCGCAATGCACTGGTGCTTCTTAGACACAAAGACAGAGTACTTGAAGGACTTAAACATTAATCAAGAGCCTCATCCCCTCCTCCTCCTGACACTGAGCCTGGGACCCCTGCAGCTGACAGCGAGCGGGACTGGATTGATAGAATACCCATGCCGACGGCGGTCACAGTTGGCTCTGCCAGGCAGAGACACCAGCCCTGGTTTGATGAGAGTGATGATTTTTAAAAGAACCTTGTTTGAAGAGAAACAAAGGGCATTTAACAGCCTGCTTTCTGATCCCAATCTGCCGTAAGGAAGGCGCATTATAAAAACATCAGCAGTCAACCAAGGCCAGAGCTATCCCTGAATGGATGGTGGGGACAGCAGAGGTGATTTATCAGAACTCAGGACCACAGCCGGACACGAGCAATTCGCCCACGTCCCGAAGCCCTAAGGCTGTGTGCCCACAGGGATCAGAGCCTGGTGTCTTTGTACACACATGCGTCCTCTCCATGTTAGGGCAAGTCTCAGGCCGGGCTTGGGCATGGGATATGGGCTCAAGATTGTGCTTCCAAAGTGAGCAGATGGTGCAACCATGTTCCATGAGCAAGAGAGATCACGCCCAGCGAACATGAGCATTTTGACAGAGCACCAAGTCACGCATTTATCAATCCTGACATGGTATCTGACAGGTGCTGCCTGCCGGCCCCCACCCCTTCACAGCATGGTGAAACCTTCCAATTATTGAGGTCACAGATGTCAAACTCTCCTAGCACATATTCTAAAATGTCAAAATCACCCTTGGCATCTCCTTGTTTGTTTCTCCGAAATAAATCCTTACGCTCTCATCACGTGTCCGAAGCTGCAGTTGGAGGTTGAATCTTCTTTGGAAAAATGGGTGGTATCAACGTGTTCTCAAGGGGCCTGGCTATGAGCCCTTGAGCCTTCCTACCAGGACACATCGTGTCCCTTTCCTGGCTCCCCTCTGGTGAACAAGCCCCTGTTATGGAAAAAGGAAAGAATCCTGGCCTGAGAATTAGAAACCCCAGATCCTATTGGCTACTATCCTACTAATTTTTTAAGTCTTGATTTATAAAGCCTTAAAGTAGAAAAAATTGCTGCTATTAAACTTGTCTCACAGATATACAGGGAACATCAGAAGCCCTTTGCAAAAACAACCTTTACCAAGAAAACATTTAATTAATTATTAATAAATGAAAATACGCTGCTGAGTCTCTGTAGCTAGAGGAAATTAGTTGTCTTCTTTTTTTTTTTTAATTTTTCTGACCTCTTTCATGAGGTGGGTCAGTGGGAGTAACTCAGGAGAAACTGAGGGGAAGGCTTGGTTAAGTCATGAGCAGATAAGGTAGAGGTTTGGTGAACAAGACTGAGCACCGTGGAAAGATGAAAATGTCGGAAGGAGGGAGGCAGAGGAGAGAAGCAGATTTAGGAACATGTATCAAGGTGAAGGGTAAATGTTGGAGAGAGTAAACTGAGATGCAATATCTGTGGACAAAGGTATAGAGAGAATGGGAACAACAGAGTGATGAATATGACGCTACCAACAGCTGAGGGAACTAAATCCATGAACTCTGGGCACAGAGTGGAAAGCATCTTCCTGGAGAGCCTAGCCAGTGCTGTAAGGGTTAACATTCTGTGCCAGATCAGGTGCCTCAAGGCTGGGCCCTGTTGTATTTCTTACAGCACCAGCTTTCTTGTTTGCACCAGAACAAGTTAATCGTCACTGTCTCTTTTTCTAGTCACTGCCTTACCCTCCTCACTGCTGAATTCCTTAAAAGAAGCCGCTGCATTCAATGACGGCGCTTCCTCACTTTCCATCAATCCTCACTGTGGGTGAAATAACGAGGCTTACCAATGGACTGCCATGTGCGGCACAGTGGCCTCAGCTTGCAGCTAACTTGAATTCCTTTCCCTACAGGGTTCTCCTAGTCTGCTGACCTCTCCTTCTCTCTTCTCTTCCGCAGGAGCTTCTCTTTCTCTGTAGGTTTCTGGTCCTCAGGAATCTATCCTTGCCTCTCTTTTCCTATCATCACATAGTGTGCTATCCCTGGAGAACCTTGCAGAGTTCCAAGGTTTCCATTATGTGTGTGTGTGTGTGTGTGTGTATCTATACCTGTGTGTGTGTATCCATACATTATGTGTGTGTGTATATATCTATACAGACACACATGCAGACACACTGAGGACCTCCAAATGTATATTTCTGATCTTTACTTTTCTCCTGAGATCCAACATTGAATATTAAGCAGAAACAACATCTCACTTTTTTATCAGGGTACGTTTGAATTTTAGCATATGTTTAGTATATGTTAAGCCTTAATAAATCTTCACTGAAAGAAGGAAGGAAAGAAAGATGGATGAAGGAAAGAAGGAAATGGAGGGAGGGAGGGAGAATATATGAAATGACTTCCTGCAGAGCTCTACCCAGATGTCTCCCAGAAGCCACAGACTCAATGCTTGAAAGACCGGGCTTGTTTTGCCCACACCATTATCACCACCCACCACACACCACCCTCACGTTCTTCCTCCTCCAGTGCCTTCGTCCCATGAAAGGCTAGTCACTTCTCACTGTGCCCTGTGTCCTGTCTCTGGCATCATCCTAGCTTCCTCCTGCTCCCACACACTCTCCCCTCACCCCAGCAGATGGGGTGACCGGTTCCTAACAATCCCTCCATCACCTCTGCTGCTGCCAGAACACAGGCTCTTGTCACTTTTCTCCTTGAATCTGCTGTCATCATCTCATCCCCACCCACACTCAACAACTCTTCCCAAGCTGACAAAGTCACCATTCTGACATCAACCCTGATCCCGCCTCTCCCCAGCTTCACACAGCAGCAGCAGCTCTAAACGGCCTGGAGAAGGCAGCACATGTGCCCAGCATCACCACCGGGCTTGCCAGGGCTGGACCATGCCCTCCCCCACATCCTCGTCTCTCAGCATGGGCCTGACTTCCAATTGCAAGGTCCAGCCATAAATAACTTAATTCTTTTTCATGCCTCTATGCCTTCCCCTCTACTCCTTTTTTCTTGGATATTCCTTCCTATACTACCATCTGCCTTTCAGCACCTTCATGCTATCCTCATAGTTCATTGCACCTGTGGTATATAGAATAAGGTCCCCCCATGTTTACATCTCAATCCCTGGAACCTGGGGACAAGTTACCTTACCTGGAAAAAGGGGATTTTTCTTATGTGATTAAATTAAGGGTATTTAGGCTGTTATTCTGTGTTATCTGAGTGAGCCCAATGCAATCACAAGGGTCCTTGTGAGACAGAGACATGATGGAACAGCATTTTTATAATGGGCTTAAAATAGAGGAGGGGCCAGGCACGGTGGCTCACGCCTGTAATCCCAGCACTTTGGGAGACTAAGGCAGGAAGATCACTTGAGGTCAGGAGTTCGAGACCAGCCTAACAGGGTAAAACCCTGTCTCTACTAAAAATACAAAAATTAGCCAGGCATGATGGCACATGCCTGTAGTCCCAGCTACTCACAAGGCTGAGGCAGGAGAATCACTTGAACCTGGGAGGCAGAGGTTGCCGTGAGCCGAGATCACACCACTGCACTCCAGCCTGGGCAACAGAGTGAGACTCCATCTCAAAAAAAAAAAAAAAAAAAAATGGAGGGGGGGCCACAAGCTGAGGAATACTTGAGGCCTCTGGAAGTGGAAGAAGGCATGAAAACAGATTCTTCCCGAGGGTCCCCTGAAGAAACAAAACCTTGCTGACATGTTGATTTTAGCTCCTAAGAGCCACTCTGAACTCCAAGACTATAAGATGCCTGATTTGTGTTGTGTTTATCCACTAAGTTCAAAGTAATTTGTTACAGCAGCAATAGAAAATTAATACTTTCCTTCTAATCCATCACAATATCTATGACACTTTATTTATGTATCTACTTTTTCACAAGGCTGTTTTCTTGACTTACACTGGAAGTTCTCTGAGGACTAGAGACGGTTTCATCTTTGGATCTCCAAGATGATAGTCATTAGGTATCCTTAGATATCAACGGAAAAAGTAAGTGAATTGGTGCCCACAGTGTACTCACTGGAAGTTCCAGTAGGTCAAATTGGATTAATTAAAATAATAGTAAATAATGCACAGAAGCAGCATTGATACTAAAAGAAAGTGGCTTTTATTTTAAAATAATGAATAACAGAATAGATAACAGAGCTCTGGTGCAAGTTTCCTCTCTGGAGGAAACTTTAGAAAACCATTTATCAGGTTATATTTTGTTTGTTTGTTCGCTTTTTAACTTTTAGATTCAGAGGGTACATATACAGGTTTGTTACCTAGGTATATGGCATGATGCTGAGGTTTGGGGTATCAGTGATCCCATCACCAGGTACTGAGCATAGTACCCAATAGTTAGTTTTAAAATCCTTGCCCTTCTCTGTCCCCTCCCACTAACTCTACAGCCTGGAGAAGGCAGCATACAAGCCCTAGTAGTCTCAGTCTCTGCTGAGAACTCCACTGTTAGTCTGATGGAGCTCCATTTGTATGTAATCTGACCTTTTTCTCTAGCTACCTTTGAAATTTTTTCTTTACCATTGACCTTGGACAGTCTGGTGACTATATGCCTTGGAGATATTAATTTTGTATAAGTATCTCAGAGATGTTCTCTGAACTTCTTATATCTGGATGTTTACCTGTCTAGCAAGATTAGGAAAATTTTCTTGAATTATTGCCTCAACTACTTTTTTCAGGTTGTTTACTTTATCTCCTTCTCTTTCAGGAATGCCAACAATTCATGGATTTGGTCACTTTACATAATTCCATATTTCTCAAAGGCTGTTTTTTAAAAAAACTCTTTTTTCTTTATTCTGGTCTGATTGGGTTAGTTCAAAGGACTAGTCTTCAAGCTCTGAAATTCTTTTTTCTGCTTGGTACTATTAATGAAATTTTTAATTGTATTTTGAAATTCCTTAAGTGAGTTTTTCAATTCCGGAAGCTCTGACTGATCTCTTTTTAAGATGTTTATCTCTTCCTTCATTTCCTGGATTGCTTTAGAAGTTTGTGTTGGTTTTCAACTTCGTCTTGGATCTCATTGAGCTTCCTTGCAATCTATGCCTTGATTCTTTATCTGTCGTTTCTGAGTTTCCATTTTGGTTGGGGTGTATTGCTGCAGAGCTAGTGCAATCTTTTGGTGGTATCATTACTTGAAGATTTTGCCAGATGGACCTGGCTGGTCTGGCCCCGCCCATCGTGGCCCCTATCCACCAATAATTCTGGTGCCAGAATTCTTGTGCTGGCTCCTTCTCATCTGGAAACACTGGCACTTCTCGATTTTGTAATTATTTTCATGCAGGTAGAAGTTTCCCTTTTTCTTTCTTTCCTTGTAATAGTATTGCTTTTTTTTTTCTTTCTCTTTTTCCCCCTCCCTAAGGGGTGTGACATAGATAATGCTAGATGGGGTCTTGGCTTTGCTTCTATAGCCCTGTGCACTTCTTTTGGCAGGTTTTATATGGGGCTGTGCAGTTCAACCTGTAAGCCCGTAGGTGGTACTTGCAGGTAAGAGCCTGCTGCAGCCCACGTGGCTGGGTATATATTTGATTCTTGTTTACAGGATGCTTGTTTACAGAGGCAGAAGCTCTCTGTTTCCACAGCCAAAAGGCAGATCCACGGAATGGGCAGTGGCCTGAGCTCTTTGCTCTGCACCTGGAGTAGGGGCCATGATGGGCAAGGCCAGACCAGCCAGGTCCACTTAGCAAGCACAAGCACGAGTGCTGAGAGAGAATCCAGTAGGTGGCTACCAAGTGCCTAGAGGCATGCCTAGGTATGGAGCTGGGAAACCACCTTGCCTCCAAGTCCTCAGCATAGGGCTGGGGGACAGCCTAAGCTTCTAATCCAGGAGAATGGGCCCACTAGATGCCTGGAGATCTGCCTGGGCATGGAGTGGAGAGGGTTTCCCTGCACCAGGATCTCTGCACAGGACAGGTGCAGTGGATCAGTCTGCTGATCCAGGTGAGGAGGTATTCTAAATGCCTGGAGAGCTGCCTGGGCATGGAGTGAGAGGGCCTCCCTGTACCAGGGCCTCTGTGCAGGATAAATGGGGTGTCAGGCTGCTGATCCAGATGAGGGGTGGCTCTGAACATCTGGAGATCTGCTTAGGTGTGAAGTGGAAAGAGTCCTGCTGCACCACACTCTGTGTCCAGGAATGGTGGGGTGGTTCAGGCTGGACCCCACACTCTGTGTCCAGGAATGGTGGGGTGGCTCAGGCCGGACCCCACACTCTGTGTCCAGGAATGGTGGGGTAGCTCAGGCTGGACCCCACACTCTGTGTCCAGGAATGGTGGGGTGGCTCAGGCTGGACCCCACACTCTGTGTCCAGGAATGATGGGGTGGCTCAGGCTGGACCCCACACTCTGTGTCCAGGAATGATAGGGTGGCTCAGGCTGGACCCCACACTCTGTCCAGGAGTGGTGGGTGGCTCAGGCTGCTGGTCCAGGGTCCTACACATGCCTGGATTTCTGCCTGGGGGTGGAGCAGAGAGGGTCCCACTGCACCATAATATCAGGACAGCAGGCTGGGGCACACGCAGAGCAGTTCCAGGTCACCAAGCTGGACCTGGCTGCAAGTCTTACCACCCAGGAGAAGCTACAGATGTAGCTGCTCTCCTGCTGCCTCAGGCTTGCAACAGAGGAGAGCAAAGTTCCAGCGCCTACTGCTGAGGTGTGTTCCACAATTCTGACTGTGGAGGTCCCTACCCCATCCCAGAGCAGACACTGCAAACCTTGACTGAAGACTAAAATGCGAGCCGCCAAGGAACAACTAACTTTGTGCGTACCTGGATTCAAAATGGTATCCTGCACTTGGTTTCCGGGTCTGGGAAAAGGTTTGCAGCTTTTCCCAGTGTCTGTCCCTCACAGCGCTCCAAGCCTCTCCCCAGGTTACCTCCAGAGCTTGGTAGAAACAAAATGCTCTCCCTTGGCCTGTGTTGCTCCAATGCCCAGTGGAAAGGTGAGTCACAGAGGGAGGCTCCCGGCATTTCTCTCGTACTGAGGCTTCGCTCACTTTCATCTGGCAGATGCCATCACAGGGACTGTTTGCCGGGTTCTCCTCCTGGGGATCTGGGTTGTCCTTTGCGATTCTGGTGGACTCCTGATTTCCTTCTTGGATTAAAGCTCACAGAGTTGATCTTTATGTACCATCTTGCTATTTCCAAGTGGCAGAGGCATGCTGAAAACCTCTGATCTACCACCTTGGGGAAAACAACACCAACAACAAAAAGTTCAGGTTAATTTGTTACAAACTAACGGTGTTAGATGATTTTGTGATTTCTAAGGTACTGTCAACACTAAAAAAATCAATTATATTCAAAGAGAAATCATGAATAAGTTGAAATAATAACACTGTTTTTTAAAGATGGTGGGGGTGAGCTTAAGGAAAATCTAACATTTACAACCCTCATGGATTGGATTGAAGATAAGCATCACTACTGTTGGAAAAATCAGTGGGGTGGTGTAAGAAAGACAAGATACAAGTACTATCTCCACCACATCCTGATGATACACTTGGAGAAGTTATGTAACTTCTCTGAGCCTTTTCTCAAGCACACGGTGAGGATAACAATGTCCATTCCCCATGTACAACCCCAACACAGGAACAGACACATCCGAGAAACTCCAACAGTGCTTCCCTTCCCCTGATCTCCTTAGTGTTGTCAGTAACACCTCACCAGTCTAAAGCATTCTGTAGCATTTTAACATACATGTTCTCATGTTATCTACGTAACAAACTGGCAGGGAGATTCTATCTCAGTCTGCAGAAGATGACTAAAGACCAGAGTGGCTCAGGAGCTTGCTCAGGACACTCTGCTGGGAAGAGGTGCCACTGAGAGTTCCAAGGAGAGCATTCATTTCTCATTGTCATTAATTCCAAGTGAACAGGCAAGGCGAAAACAGCTATGAACAGAGGCATGCACCTCTTTGCAATCTCTCATGGGTGAGCTGCAGGTGGGAAAAAATCCAGGGTCCTCCACATGAGGAGGATTTCAGGAGCATTGCAGGCACCCCCCTGGGCTGAAGCAGGCAGGATAGGGAGTGTGTGGGTGGAGGGGCTCCAGGCCCGGATGTTCTGAGACCCAGCAAAGTTTGGGCTTTCCAGGCAAACATCACAGGAGGGTCACATGAATGTTTTCTGGGTTACTTTGTCAGGTAGCTCTTAATTTATTGCTCAATATCAAATCTGTAATTGTATTTGCATGGCATCTTCCATCTAAAGATTCCGAGAAGCTGCCAGACACAGAGGCCCACGCCTATAATTCCAGCACTTTGGGAGGCCAAGGTGAAAAGGTCACTTGAGCCCAGGAGTTCAAGACCAATCTGGGCAACATAGCAAGACTATCTACAAAACTTTTAAAAAATGAACCAGTCATGATGGTCCATGCCTGTAGTCCCAGCTACTTGGGAGGCTGAGGCAGGAGGATTGCTTGAGTCTGGGAGTTTGAGGCTGCAGTGAGCTATGATCACATTACTGCACTCCGGCCTGGGTGACAGGGTGAAATCCTCTCTATAAAACAACAAATACAAATTCCAATAAGCTTAATAAAATGAATGCATCAATATCATCTTGCTGAAGAGTCATTTTGAATAACTGAAAACATTTTGTCTTTATTTGGTGTAGCTGAGGTTCTGTCTTTCAATACAAACACAGATGAAATAGGCATACTTGTAAGAAAATGGGAAATTTGTTTTAGGGAGTGGCAGATTAATCATGTTGCTACTGTAGTCTTGTATCTGCAGACATAATTCTTCATGTAATTTATTGAAACCTCACTCTGTGTGATTTTCAAAACACAATTATGTTTTATTTATGTGGAACTTGACTACATATTTACTTCTTAAAATGAGACGTTCCACATTTTACATATATGAAAGTCCTTTTCAAGTTATCTACATTAACATTTCATTTGTCATTTAAGGAAACTGAAGCACAGAGAGATTAAATGACTTTTAATCATTTAAAAAGTCACTTTTAAGTGATTGCACAGCAAGAGATCGGCAAAGCCACAAATATTGCCACTACCCATTATAGAAACAATTGACATTTTTATAAAGCAGGATGAGTCACCAAAGAGTTTCATATATATTTACCCATTCAACAATTGTTCATTTATTTAAAATATTACCAGGCTCTAGGGATATAAAGAGCTTAAATCGGGAAGAAGACGACTAAATATGGACAACACATCTCACAGAAATCCCTTACGGAATCCCAGTCTGATCAGCTGTCCCTCCTCCATGTTCCCGTAGTTCTGGATATAATTTGATCATTGCAGCTACCAAACTTCATTCAATAGGCCTTATCAATTCTTTCTCATCTCCCTACACTGTGAAAATACTGAAGAAAGGGATAATATTCCTTTCTGTATCATTATTCTCATGATAGATGCTTTAAATATTCCAGTTGAAACAAACTAGCCTTCCCTTAATATTCCCTAGAAATATTACCAGCAAATGAGCAGTATAATCACTCATTGTTACATCAGCCTCCCCGGTGGAGCAAGGAAAATATATATACTTCAGTTTTACATATATGTGTATGTGTGTGTATGTATATATACGTGTAAATTTATGATTTATTAAAGATTCTGGGAATAACAGAAATAAACTATAATAGGAATTCTATAATATCATATAAATAAATTATAACAGGAATTCTGTTCATTATACTATTTGTAAAGAATTCTAAAATAGAGTTTGTATCACAGTGTGATGATTACATATCTGTTGATTAATATCATTAGTTTAAAAAAAAGATTTTTCAAAAATTCAGTTTGCCACTGGAAACATCACAGTTTCAAGCCTTAACTTTGGTTTCTCCTTCCAAATAATCCAGATATAATTATGCATTGCAAAATATACCCCATCATGTCTGCTTGTCAATTGCCAAGTCAACCATCTTTACTTTCCTGAAGAAAATGCGGACTCTTGGCAGCATTTAATCACTGCAAACCTTCACAGCTTTCCCCATTACTGGTTTCCTGCTGCAAATTTCAGCAGATTGGACACACAAGGTGTCACTATATTTAAAAGTTCATGCTGAACATTTTGCTCGGTTGGAAAAGATTAAGAGTCCTGAAGATGCGGTGCTTTCAGCATCTGCTCAGGTAAACAGTGATGTTAGTGACCCTGTAACGTGCTCCCTGCTGGCAAAGACAATCCCGACACTTTTCCATCCACTTCACTGAAAACAGTTAAAAATGAGCCATATCACATCTCTGAATGGCAATTTCTCTCTATTGTATTGCTTTTTTGTAATATCCCAAGCTGCCCACACAAACAAACAGAAACCTGTTTTGTCTTATTTTTGCAAAGGGAAATCTGCCGCTCCTCAGAACAATAGACCTTTTGAGGTAGATTATGCCCGAATGTGTATAACACGAGGCAATAACTTGAAAGATAGCACAAAATTTGGTAAATCAGCTGGTTCTTTTGTCTTTTTTTGCCAAACTGTTGGTTCAACTGTTCTTTTCCACTAAGTTGATAGGATTGAGTGGTCTTTTTCTGTGTGTCAATTCAGTGTTCAAGAGTTAGCTCAAGGTGAATGCTTCACCTACAAGCAGCCATTGCATAGAATTCCTAATCTCCTCTTGCTCTACTCCACCTGATGAATTCCTGCCTGTCTTGCTGGTTTTGCTCAACGCCGTTTCTACCAAACAACCTTCTCCAGTTCCCAAAGTTACAATTATTTAGTTCCTTTTATTTCTGAAGTCCTTTTGATGAACCTCTGATGAAGCCTTTATTTCATCCTAGCTACGTTATAAAAATTGCATGTGTTCACCACTCTTCATAGTAGACACCATGTTCTATTTACTATGTAATAGATGTCCAGTAATTATTTATTACATTGAATTCCACCATGCTAAATGGTAATGAGTCAAAAGAGTTACTCTGTTTATCTATGAAAAGGCAGTTGCCCTTGGTTCTTTCCTAAGTTCTTAGTCCCTTTCTCTGCTTAGTTCATGCATCACAGTCAGCAAAACTTTAGGTGCTGGGCCTCCATCTGTCCAGTCTTGAAGAATGTGGAAGGATGGAAAGCACAACAGAATGGATTTTCATCAGCTGTGATGAATGGCTGCTTGTGGACACAGAGATCTGGAGTTTCTACTTGGGGCAGGATTCCAAATAGAGGGCACTATGGAGGCAGATGTAGCTTTTTCAGGACAAGGATCACCTAATATCATGGGGATTTCTAAGTAGAAAAGGAGGACTCACACAGGATAGCTGGAAGTGACAAGGGCATGGGAACCTGACTATAAATAACTTTCAGCCCATTATATAAGGTAGATATGTTTTTAAATATCTCCTTATGCCTCTTTTCTTTTTTAATCCAATTTCCTTCCTTCTAGCCCTTCTACCATACTTGGCCAGTGTAAGGAGAAGGCTAGCCCTATTTCTGCTACCACACTGTGGGGTTACCTAAGGAACTCACTCTCCCAATCTGATTCTTTATGCTCGCCCATGAAGCAGATGGCCCAGTTGTCTCCTAAGGAAATGTTCAGATTTGCCAATCCACAGGATAACTTCCTCTAATTGCTATAATCCAGTTTCCTAGATCTCAATGATACTGTTCCATGATCTCTTCCTTCTCTCCCTTAGTGAAACAATTAGGAGAACTGAATTGCAAAACTCTAGGTACTCCCATAGAATAAAATAAAACACAGCATTTCCTGTTCTATATAATGGGCCTTTCTGAAGACATTGTCAAGGTTAGATTGCACCCAATTTTAGGTCTTCAGGGTTTAGCATTTGACATTTCTCAAATTTCTTTCTTTAACATTAGCTATTTATCTTAGTCTGTTCAGGCTGCTGTAACAAAATAACATAGATTGGGTAGCTTCAACAATCGACATTTGTATCTCACAGTTCTAGAGGTTGGAGACGTGATTCCCCAGTGAAAACTCTTTTTCTGGCTTGCAGACTGCCATTTTCCTGCTATATCCTCACATAGTGGAGAAAGAGAGACAGGGAGAGAGAGGAAAAGCTCTCTGGTCTCTTCTTACAAGAACAGTAATCTCATCACTGGATCCCCACCCTCACAACCTCATCTAAACCTAATTACTTTCCAAAGGCTCTTCTTCCAAATACCATCACATTGGGGGTTAGGTCTTCCACATATGAATTTGGGGTAATACAATCATTTAGTCCATAACATCATTGTTTTAAAAGTATATTTTAATTTTAAAATCACCTTCACTCATTTTTTTATTCCCCTGTGGGATAGCTAGGTAAACAAGAAACACTCTCTGGTTAGATGGCAGAAAAAAAGCAAGAAAACTTTGGAGAAAACTACATAGCCAGACTTTGAGGTTCAGGATGCAAATGCTTTAGTGTAAAAAGGATCAAATTTGAACAACTGAAACTAGGCCCTTTTATCTACTCTTAACCTTCATCCATGAATCCCATTCACTCCTCACTGCTCCCCAACACTGCAGACCACACAAGGGGTGGTTTCCTTTCCAGAATTTTAAAAATAAAATAACAAAAAAAAATTGCCTATATTTTTGGTGTGCCATTGTATGTGTATTTGTTTTGCTTTAGAAATAATTTTAATAAAGTAATTCTTATCTTCCTTAAAATAACTGTACCTTCCTTTAGTGCCAAAACATTCCTTAAAAAAGCTTTCTACATCAAAGACTACAATATCCAATAGTACTTGTGCTCTTCACTTCCCTTCCTCCTGCATCCTCAGAGGAAACTTTTGTGTTGAAGTCTGGTGTTTCTCTTTCCAGAGGGTTTTATTAGTAGTAGTGGTAGTAGTATTTTGAGATAGGGTCTCACTCTGTCACCCAGGCTAGAGTGCAGTGGCTCAATCATTGCTCACTGCAAGTCTTGACCTCCTGGGCTCAAGTGATCCTCCTACCTCAGCCTCCTGAGTAACTGGGACCCCAGGCACATTCCACCAAATCTGGCTAATTTTTGTTTTGCTTTGTTTTTGTTTTTGTTTTTGTTTTTGTTTGTAGAGATGGGGCGTAACTGTGTTGCCCAGGCTGGTCTTGAACTCCAGGACTCAAGAAATCCTTCCACCTTGGCCTCCCAAAGTGCTGGGATTACAGATGGGAGCCACCACACTTGGACTTATTTTTAATTGGGAATACTTTTATTACAAAGGCCTTTGAGAACACATAGTATTTGTATTTATTATTCAACATCAATATTTTGAGAGCTATCTGCACTGATATGAAAAATAATTCATTCTTAGCACCGTGCTGAAGTTTGTTTGCACTGGCTGGTAAAAGCCTTTTGTGTGCATCTCTTTGCAACCGCAAAATCAGTGTTGTCACTTAGGTAGGTTGAAATTGGCCAGGGTGGGAATATTTATACCTCTGAAATTAGGGAAGGCTACAAATCAGGGTTATGTTTGCTTTTCTAGGAGGCTAATCATTAAAAAATTACCAGCAAAACATTGTATTCCTTTTTACCATATACATCATTTTATCATAGTAATAGACTACATTTTATTTAATCATTCCTCTATTCAGGAACAGTCAGAATGTTTACAACTTTCTGTACTACAATAATGCTTCAATAAAATCAACTTACATTTCCTTAATTGCACATGTGAGAATATTTCTCTAGGGTAGCATGCCTAGAAGTGGATTTCCAAGTAATATACATGCACATTTTTAATTTTAGTAGATAAGATTACTACTTCTTAATCAATAAAACTTATAATAATTATTTTCTTAGTTTTTTATGTTGCTACAACAGAATGTCTCAGACTGAGTAATTTATAATAAATAGAAATGTATTTGGCATATGGTTCTGAAGGCTGGGAAGTTCAAGAGTATGGCTCTGGCATCTGATGAGGGCCTTCATGCTGTGTTTCCCATGGCAGATGGTGGAAGGCCAAGAAAGAATGAGTATGAGACAGAGAGGTCCGAATTCCCTTTTATAACAACTCACTCTGGTGCTAATCAACCTATTTCCATGATAACAGCATCAGCCCATTCATGAGGGAGGAGCTCTCATGGCCAAGTCACCTCTTAATGGTCTCAACTCTTCATGCCATCACAATAGAAGTTAAGTTTCAATAAGAGTCTTGGAGGGGACATTCAAAACCATAGCAACTATCTACTGCTCACTAAACATCTTTCCCTGGATAATTCCACGAGTAATTAACACCCAACAGTTTTAAAACTACTCATCATCCCTCCCCCTTTTATTCTGCTTCTTCTCTTCTTGGACTTCTGTATTCCTTACTCCTGTTCTGGCACCAATATCAACCCAGTCTTTCAAATGAGAAACCTAGACATCAGCCTAATGCTCCTGTCCTGTCTTGCTTTCCTTCCTTTTTTTTTTTTTTTTTTTTTTTGAGACAGAGTCTCTCTCTGTCACCCAGGCTGGAATGCAGTGGTGCGATCTCAGCTCACTGCAAGCTCCACCTGCTGGGTTCACACCGTTCTCCTGCCTCAGCCTCCCGAGTAGCTGGGACTACAGGCACCCACCACCACGCCCGGCTAATTTTTTGTATTTTTAGTAGAGACAGGGTTTCACCGTGTGAGCCAGGATGGTCTCAATCTCCTGACCTCGTGATCCACCCACCTTGGCCTCCCAAAGTGCTGGGATTAACAGGCAAGAGCCATTGCACCTGGCCCCTTCCATCTTTTATAGCCATTTCCTGGGTGAACTTCTCATCCATTCCCCTTTCTATAAATGCACCAGCACTTCATAGTTTAGCATCTGAGGATGGCTCATCTGGACTTGTATAACAATTAATTTTTCCCTTCAGTTATTTCTGTGTTTTCTCAGTAGAACCATCTTTCTACAACAGAAGCAATCTTCTGATTCTTGTAGTTTCAGTAAACCCCTATTGGCTTGCTTTAGCCTGTTGGATTAAGTCCAAACTCTCTAGCAGGATATAAGAAGTTGGCTTCTCTCTGCCCCTTACCTATGTATACAGACTGTGCCCTCAAACTACTTTGTCTTCTTGAAGATCTCCTTGCACTTACATGCTCTTTCTCTCCCTCTGTGCTCCTAGAACACATCTACGTACCTCTATCTGCTTTATAGACAGTTAGACATTAGGAAGAGATGCTGAAGAGCCAAGCTAACGAACTGGATGACAACAGAAGCAGTGGGGATGGTGAGAGGGGGATAGGTTCAAGCAAAATTGCAGATTTAGAATGCTTAGAAGTTGATAGCCAACTAAGTTAGCAAGGTGGGTGAGAAAAGAGACAACCACAAGATTTCTAGTTTGGAAGACTGGGTGGATAGTTTTGCTAAATGAAGCAAAGAAACCCAGGGGAAGACCTAAATAATTCAATAGTCATTATTCTCTTGGCTGTATTCTTTGACATACTATAGTTTTAAATGTCAAAAACACTACAGAATTCTTGCTCAACTCCTAAGGAAAGGCCTAAGAAGAGGAATGACGTAACTATATACTTTATCTGCCTTTGCTACACAGTTTCTTTTAGTATAAAACACAGAGCCCTTGTATTTTGGCTTTAAGAACAGGGTGCAACACCCATCTGTTCAGTCAATCACAGAGCAGATGCAAGTGGGAGGATAAGGAAGTGTGTGGCCACAATCTTGGATAATAATAAATATTTAAATATGTATTCGTTCTTTGTAATGGATTTAGAAGCAGAGTGATGAACACACTTAAAAAAATCAATAACAACAATGATAATGAGATGTCTCCATAACAATTCTGGATTACGTATGCATTTGAGTTCATCCTAAATGGAAAAATTGGGGGCATTATGTCTTGATGAATCTGCGGTGGCCTCTTTTCCTTGAGTCATGTGAAACTCCCCTTGATCTGGGAGATGGTACAGTGAGGGGCCTGACCTTAGAATTTCCTTCCTGAACTGCAACACAGATGTCAACTCTGCAAGCCAAGGAGGGATCTTAGAGAGTGCTGTGGTCATATCTCTCCTATTGCAGAGGAGAAAACTGAGATTCAGAGAAAGAAATGGCAAACACCCTCTTAGAGAGGAGCCCACACCTGCACCGAGCTTCCTGGGCCCCTATGGTCATTCCTCTCAAAGGGAGCTGAAAAGAAAATGAATACACCTGGTGAGAACGTTCAGAAGAAATAGATTAAAGGAAGACATCATTTTAAGCCTACAGAATATCACATGGAAGATTTTAGCAGAGACTTTAGGAGCAGAGGGGTTTAGGAGCTGGGAATCGGCAATACTGAACGTTGTTTGTGTTGTGCTGTGAAATACAAAAACAGTGCTGCCTTTATTTGAATAAACTGTGTCAGTGATGCTTTTTAAGCGTGTACCTCTGCTTTCTTGAGGGGAGCCACTGTGAACTTGCCTCTGCTAACTGGCTGGGTGATGGCATAAGGCAGGTCCCCACTAAGTTCCAGGACACCCAGTTCTGTCCTGTAAAGAGCAGTCCCTAATCACAGAGAAAAGAACCCACTCCCTGTTTGCCACTGCCTAGTTTCTGGATAAACCGTAAGAACAAATGAGATCAAAGAACAGAGAGTTCCTTCAGGGACCACTCAGGGCTAGGCAGGGGACTTACCTTTTTTCCACAGTTATACGAGGAAGATGCATGTACACCCAAGTGTTTCTTACAGAATGAAAGTTATGCATGGGGAAAAAAATTCAAACTGTATAAGAATGTAAACAATAGGTAAAAAATAAATATTTTAAATCAAAAATAGGTAATTTACCCCGACCCTTATGTCCTAGTTTTCCCCAAGATAATCTCTCTCTGTCTCTCTCTCTCTCTACATATATATGTATGTATATATAATAGATAGATAGATAGATACATAGATAGATAGATAGATAGATAGATAGATAGATAGATAGATAGATGGATGTGTGTGTGTGTGTGTGTGTCCAAGTTTGGATTTCTCTAATACACACACACATACACACACACATACACACAGTGTACAAAAATTTCACAAGACTTTCTCTTCTTACATTTATAACTGTCATTCAAAGAAAAATAATCAGATACTCTCTCAAGGAAAAGCAAATATATTGATGCAATCCTACCAGACTGTATCAGAAATATTTGATTTTCATTAAAGAGCAGGTTAGTCTGGCTTTTTTGAGACAGGATCTTGCTCCGTCACCCAGGCTGGGGTGCAGTAGTGCACTCATGGCTCACTGCAGCCTTGACTTCCTGGGCTCACGTGATCCTCTAACCTCAGCCTCCTGAGTAGCTGGACTACAGTCTCATGACACCATACCTGGCTAATTTTTTAAATTTTTTGTAGAGATGGGGTCTTACTGCCACATCTGGGGTCCTGTTTCCTAGGCTGGTTTTGAACTCCTGGCTCAAGCAATCCTCCTGCCTCAGTCTCCCAAAGTGCTGGGACTACAAGCATGAGCCACTGTGCCCATCTCTAGTCTGGCTCTTTAAAGGCTGTTATCATTTTTTCTAACTCAGATTGGCACCCTGAATTCTGTAGTATAGTTCTGACTATAGTTAAAAACATTCTGCCTCAAGCTTACCCAAGTGTTTTTCTCTTAGGAGTCAGTGTATGGTAACAAATCTGCAGTCAGGTACAGCGTCCTAGCTGTGAGACTTTGGACAGGTCCTGTAGTCTCTCTACACTTGGATTTCCTCACCCATATAAGTAGAATAAGGCTAACTCATGGGTTAGGATCAATTAGAGCATGTCCCATGGGCTCGCGCATGCACAGCATGTATCATGGAAGATATTTAATAAGAAGTAGTTAACTATTTGCCTGCTGGAATGTCTTGGATCAGTTACTAACACTCCTAATTTTAGCCTTTCAGATTCTGACCACTCACAAAAGTATAGCCAGCAACCTCCTAATCCATCCTATCCCTTCTCTCTGCAAGGCAAAGGATTTCTGCCAGTTCACCTGAAATTTCAATCGAAAGGATAGATTTTAAAAATAAAGCAGAATCTTGTTGGAGCACGCTTCAGAAGCACATGCAGCACTGCCATTAAAATCAGGTCCTCCCAAAAAGACAACCATATTCAAGGAAACCCATATGTCATATATAACCATTGGATAGTATGTGTCTGAGTCTAGGATTATCAAGGCATTCTGACATTTAGTAATTTGAAATAGAACTTATTTATCAGTGGAGTGCTAGGAAAAACAGACAAGTGCAACTGGGAAAAAAGCACTAGTTAACATAAATAATGTCATTGTAGAGACAGAAAAAGAATTGGTCATATCTCAGTAAAGCATAAGAATTTTAAAGTTATTGGAATACCAGTAACATTACTGCAGGATAAAATGCTGAAAGTCTAAATTTGAAAACAAGCATTTGTCAAGTAACTATGCTTCGCATCACCTAGTAGGTGTGAGCTAAGGTTTATCTTCTGCTGTCTTCACCTGAGAGAGGCAGGAAGAAGGGGATCTGCAGACACAGCAAGGGCCCACAGGACATCCCTCAAAGGAAACACAGGGTATTGGGGATCCCTGCCCGGACACTTGTCTTTCTGTCCACTGTCACCACCACACAGGTTCTGTCACTACAGTGAGATCAGTTGTCAAGGTATGACTTTGTACTACTATCCCCTTGCACACGTGCATGTGAAATAGTAAGAACGCGCTGATGTCTGATCATGGAACAAGGAGAGCAGGATAGATGTGTGGACTGCAAGGAAGAGGGCAGGACCCCTTCTGTCTGAGACACAACACAGAAGAAGTCCATGGAAAATCAAGAGCCCTAGGCCCCCTTCTCATGGGGGCAGGCACCTCTTAGAGCCACACAGAAGAGAGAAGAGAAAAGCGTGTGTGACCGTTTATGTTTTTTGAGGTCCCTGTGCACATGACCACCTCCAGAACTACGCTGAAGGCCCTTTACTGTGTGCCCAGGGCGATGTTTCTCACCCACCAACACGGAAGAGTGCCATCATCAGAGCCAGGGGGCACAGGCAACTCTGGGGCAACCAAGGAGTATGACTTTAGCCTGCCCAGTTGAGCAATGGCTATGCTGTTTTGCTAGCTTTGTCTGTTTTTACTAGCTTTGCCTGTTTTTACCCAGGCTAAATCCACAAACCCAGAATAGGGTCTCAGAAAACTCCAGAAACTAGAGCTCTGTGCCAAGACAACGCGATGCCTAGAAGAGGGGACCCTTTGCTGCAACCACTTCCTCTGTCCTTTTAATTTTCCTGTAAAAAGTGGCTCAGCTAGAACATCCCCTCCAGCTCACACTAGGCCACAGGCAAGGAGAAAACCTGTCTCACTGAGGAAATCAGAAAGAAGGCTGTTGAATGACCCTGACGTTACAAGTCGGCCCGCAGTTTCCTTATTGTGACTATTTTTCACAATTTTTAAAACTTTCTCATTCGGTGTGAAGTTACCTATGACAGGATTACATTTTTTCTTCTGGTGTGTTCCTCAAACTAGCTAAAAATAAATGAAAATTGTATCTGTTATTGTTTATTATTTTGCTCCGTGAGCCTTGAGAATTTCTTTAAGCTAAAGGAAAACTAAGGTTTTAAACTGCACTCTAAACCCTAATCAATACTCAGAACTCAGTCAATTCAAGCTGCCAATGGCAAGGGTTGTACTCAAACATTTCCCCTGCGTGACTCACCTTTGTCTTTTCTGCCTCCCCTCACCTGTACATACACACACGCACACACACATGCGCACACACATGCACACACACACACGCGCGTGCACACACCAGTTGCTGAGCAGTGACTGTCCTCACCAAAGGTGTGAAAGTGGCCATGATGCTGAGTGCCCCCAGACAATGTCAGACGATTGACAGGCTGTGCCTGCTCTGGAGCCCTTCCTGTTTTCAAAGAAAACCCATGCAGAGCATTGGACTGTGGAAGAGCATCAGGAGAGAAAGCGCCGAGTCCTCCAGCAGCGTCAGGACTGCCCTTCACTTTCGTCCTTGCCCTTGTCAGTGTCCCAGAACAGAAGGAGCTCCGGGGACATTCTGATGGGGCTCTTCAGGGCAGAGCCCCCTGAGGAGCTCCTCTCTTTCATTCTCTCATCCCCTACTCTCTTAACATGAATTCAACTTTTGCTTAAAAATAGGCCTGATTGTCACATTCTCTTTGCCAGTTGGAGTGGATGTCACTGAGTGTCACAGAGCCCTTGGCTACAGCTTGTGGAGCGATTGCAGAGAGAAACTGGGTCCACACAGAGCAGCAACAACAGGAAGACTTTTGGAGTCTCTGATGACTCCACCCAGATTTATGCTAAGAGAGAAAGCATCGACTTTTCTTGCCATTGTCTTCTTTTCCATCGATTTCTTCCCATAACTATTTAAAATCACCATCTGTTCTCATCTTGGAAATTTAAGTACATTCAGCACAATTTCCTGATTTTTACATCCTATCGCAGATAAGCCATACATACATAGGAAATTTGGGTTCAATGTCAGGTATACAAAATGAGGTTGTATTATTCCATGTTGGATTGTAATAAAGGAATACCTGAGACTGGGTAATTTATGAAGAAGAGATTTATTGTGGCTCATGGTTCTGCAGGGTGTACAGAAAGCATGGAACCAGCATCTGCTGGGCTTCTGGAGAGGCATTGGGAAGCTCTGACTCATGGCAGAAGGGCAGTGGAGCTGGCATAGAAAAGGAGCAAAGGGTGGGGGGGGGGGGTGGGGAGGTGCAGATTATTTTTAACAACCAGATCTCCAGGTAACAGAGTAAGAACTCTCTCACTACTGTGGGGAGGGCATCAATCCTTTCAGGAAGGATCTGTCTCTGTGACCCAAACATCTCCCTCAAGGCCCCACCTCCAACACTGAGGGTCATATTTCAACATGAGATGTGGAGAGGATGAGCATTGAAACTATATCAGAGGTAAAAGAAATTATGCAAATGAGTTGACGGTCTCTTTGGGATCACGCCTCTGTTACTCTATACTCACCTAGCAAGCATTTATTGAGCACCAGCTATTTGGTAGGCATCGTTCTAAGTTCTGGGGCTACAGAGATGAATGAGGGCTCTATAGTCCCTTGAATTTCAAGAAGTTTAAGATAATATAGGATATGGGCCGAGTGCAGTAGCTCACACCTGTAATCCCAGCATTTTGGGAGGCTGAGGCAGGCAGATCACCTGAGGTCAGTGGTTTGAGACTAGCCTGACCAACATGGTGAAACCCCGTCTCTAATAAAAATACAAAAATTAGCCAGGCATGGTGGCACATGCCCATAGTCCCAGCCACTTGGGAGGCTGAGGCAGGAGAATCACTTGAACCCAGGAGGTGGATGTTGCAGTGAGCCAAGATTGCACCACTGCACTCCAGCCTGGGTGACAGGGTGAGGCTCTGTCTCAATAAATAAATAAAATAACATAAAGATAACATAGGATATGACCAATTAGCCATTATGATACAGTAGGGAAATTCTATTCTAAATGTACATATGGCTCAGGCTTCTCTTTCCACACTAGATGGCATCCCCCACCCCAGGCTATCTAGAAAATTCCTGCTTCACAATATGGTTGAGCACTTCACCTGTACAGCAGCATCTGACCTCTCTGAGTAGATTGAACCATCTCTTCCTTTTACCCCGTCATGCCATTTGCCTATTAAACTTCACTGAAACTTACAAAACAGAAAACTTTAACACGCTCACTAGATTATGAACCCCTTGAAGGCAACATTTCATCTTACTTAACGTTACAACGCTGGTGTCTACCAAAGTGCTCTCCCAGAGTCACGTTTTAATAATATTTGTCAAATGACTATATAATCTACTTTATTAAAATTATTGAGGGTCTGTATTGTACCAGGTACTATGCCAGGCAAGGACACGTGTGTGTGTGCCCATGTGTGCACACCTGCACCTGTGTGCTGGGGAAAGTGGGGTACTGGGGGAGCACTGCAAAGGTGGACAACAAAACTGACCACATGGGGCTTATGATCAAGTAAGAATCTTATAATAGGGCCAGGTGCAGTGGCTCATGCCTGCAATCCCAGCACTTTGGGAGGCTGAGGTGGGTGGATCACCTGAGGTCAAGAGTTTGAGTCCAGCCTGGTCAACCTGGCAAAACCCCATCTCTACTAAAAATGAAAAAAAATTAGCTGGGCATGATGGTGTGCGCCTGTTGTCCCATCTACTCAAGGGGCTGAGCCATGAGAATCACTTGAACCCTGGAAGCAGAGGTTGCGTGAACTAAGATCACACCACTGCACTCCAGCCTAGGCAATATAGCGAGACTGTCTCAAAAAAACATTTCATAATAAGTAGTAGATATTACTCAAGTATATCTATATTTATCCCCTAGAGGAAATCTTAAGAAATAGCCTGAGATAGTTGTAAATAGCAAAAGAAATGTCTGTGTCTCATTTCGACATTCATTCTTAGTATTTTGTTCCTAATTTCTTTATGTTGAATTTTTTTATTTCATCTCTACTATGAAAATATTTGATACATGAATACACTTTTCTGTTACATCTCATATCTTATCTGTGGCTCTTGTTATGAGGAATTTGGGGTTGCTTTTCTTACTATATTTGGGAATTTTCTCTAATAAACTACTGCTTACATTTTGGTATTTTCCTGCACGGAGATGCATCCCACACACAGGCTGTGCCGTCCGTCACCTAGCTGTCCTCTGCCTAAAAAGTACTGTCTCTAGGTAGGGAAATTGAAACACACTGTCTCCAGGATCCCTGCCCTTCCTAGCACTCAAGATATCTACACTAAAGTCACCTTGACAAACACTTTCTGAGCACCTATGACTAAACCCATTCTGGAATGGATTCCAAAATAGAGAGGTTCCCAAACCAGATGTGGGAGACAGAGTTTCTTTGCTTGAAATAAGAGCCTTCCCAGAGAAGCAGACCTTGCTTTATGAATGAGTAGAGAAGAGTGATTATTCTTATTTTTCTTGACTTGATCATTGGAGCTGGTCACATAATTAAGTTGGACCTTGAAAAATAAGTAAGGAAAGGCATGAGCAGAATTATAAAGTCACTTGTAACTTAGTGCTCATATTCATGAACATGACTTTGAACCTCCATTTGAAAGAGGAAGTTCCCACTCTTAAGGCTTTTGGTGATTTCCAAGAAGACTGAACGCCCATTTTACCCCTTTCTTTGGGTTTCACTTTCCACCCAAGCTTTTCATCCCCTTTCTTCTTTTTGCTCCCAGTCTAGAATTTTCTCCTCTTTTCCAATAGCTACAGCTGCTGTTCTGAAACACGTATTTAAAAAATGCCATTCTCTACCCTTGCTGAGGACTCCCAAGGGCAACACACAGAAGCTAACATTATCAGGAACCTGAGTATTAACAATCCCAAATCCCAGGCTACGGCCAACCCCTTCTCTCCACTGCCCCCCAGAGCAGGATACCTTCCGCAGTCCCTGTCTGCAAACTTTTGATAACATTGCTACTCAGCCAAGTCCTTTGTTTGCAGGAAAGGCTGAATGGCAGCATGAGGCTTTCCAAACAACCCACTTCTTGGCCATTCGCAGCATATCAAAGCCAATTAAGCCTTAGCCATTGCAGACTTGGTGACACATGTGAAATTGTAAGGCACCAGATCTCAAGAAGAACCTTCTGAGCAAATGGTGTTCAGAAACTCCTTCTTACATAACAATGCCTGGCAATAAGTGGGCTAAAAATATTAACAGAGTAAACAACAGGCAATGAACGTGCAAAAGAAAAGGCATTTTGGGGATGGGTTTCAAAAACACACGCTTCTTGGAAAGCAGATGTTATTTTATTTTTTTGGTATCATAAGGAATATTTTAGTAGTGCAGTAGGCTGTACTATAAATACTGAGAATATCATGCTTGATTCTGGGAGAGGAAGGCCCAGGTTGAAGTGAAGTGAGTGATATTTGAGGAAGTGTGAGAACAGGACAGAGATGGTGGGGAATACATAAAGCCAAGGACGCAGAGTGAAATAGACCCCATAATTAGGCTCTTGGAGAACAGAAGACTAAAGGCTTGGCATAGAACGAGATTCCCAAAGCTCTGGATTGTACATAGTGGGTAGACAGTGAAAGCTTTCAAATATTGGAGGATTCGAATCCTACATGTTATGTACTGTTGGGTAGAAAGAAGAAAAAGGAAAGAAACAATGAACGGCATCTTGACTGCAGTCATGACTCCAGAGCTTCATCCATTCTGACCTCATAGGCAAATGACTCCTAGAAGAAAAAGAAGCTTCCTCTTTAAATGTTTTAGCATTAGAGATGATGTAGCTAGAGGGGTGACGCCTGCCCTGCTCTGGAAGATCTGCTATATCATGGTTATCTATTTAGAATGTCATAAAAAATTTAATACCCACCTGACCAGGTTGGCAAATTGACATTCAAAATGAATCACATAACCCATTATTCACATAGCCCATTTTGAAATAGCTTCTCCAAGGCCTACAGAAGCCAGTGGAGAAGAAGATGCTTCTCTTCTGGGTACCACACTGACATGAGGCAGTTTATCTTCTAAAGAAGCTGATCTCTGGAGATGGGTTATGCTTGCCAACTCTGAGGATTAGAGACAACAGGAGCTTGTTCACAGTGAGCTGGACCTCAGATGTCCTCAGCATTCCTTTTAAATTATAAAACTCCCTGCTCAGAATTATGAAATGTATTTATATTTATATTTAACCTTAATTTCACCAAATGCTCAAACTGTGCTCAAATAAGACAAACGCCAAACTGTAACCAATCCAGTTGTTTCTGTACCTCACTTCCATTTTCTTTACGTTACTCGCCTTTCACTGTCCACAGATTTTCTTTCACCACAGGACTCCACTGGAGTCTCTCTAAATCTACTGTGATTCTGGGGGCTGCCCAATTCACAAATCATTCATTGCTCATTTAAACTCCTTTAAATTTAATTAAACTGAAGTTTTTCTTTTAACACTTTTCTTTTTTTAAAATCACCTTAATTCTGATTTAATTTCAATAAAACTACAAAACTGCTATTTAACACACTTTGTCTAGCAATTGACTAAAATGCTGTGATTATATATAATTATTTTAATATAATAATGTTAAAATTATATATAAATATATATTAAAATATTACGTAATTATCTTTGCATATGTATTCAGATGCTGTGATTATATAATTTTATTTATGTGTGTGTGTATATATATATATATATATATATATAAAATTGTCTTCTTTTTTTTTAACTTTGCTCTTAACCCCTCATTTGCCTTGTGCCCAACTTCTGAAGGCATCTCTAGAGACCCTTTCAACCATTGCAGTTCCTCCTCGGCCTACAGAAGCCAGTGGAGGAAAAGATGCTTCTCTTCTGGGTACCACACTAACTGACATGAGGCAGCTTACCTTCTAAGGGAGCTGATCGCTGGAGATGGGTTATGCTAGCCGACTGAGGATTAGAGACAACAGGGTCTTGTTCACAGTGAGCTGGACCTCAGAGTTTTACCATTTGGCATAGAAATTTAACTCTGATCCCATAAAGTACCCTGCTTAGAAAATGGACTGCATCCACTTTAATTATCCAAAGCTTCCCGGCTGCCAGAGCCAGGTGCATAGTCAGGCCCTCGCGCGCTCGTGAACCCCTCAGGATGCAGTTACAGGCACAGTAACTAGAGAAGCACACCCAAATCAAATTTAAATTGTAATTAATTGTTGGATATTCATTTTTAAAACTAGCTTCAAAATCCAAGTTTATACATTTTTTTTTCTTAGATAGATCTACTTTTTCTTTAAAAACTTTACTCTTTAGGTTGGCCTGAATCCGGCCAGTGATCTCATGATTCTAACATTCATGTGAATATTCTGATATGCTTTGAGGACCCTTCTTTTCTTTCTTACAGGTATTGACAAATTAGCACTGCCTGTCTCAGGTAGGGGACACCATTGCTTCTTTAGGAGAAAGCAATATGTGTAGTGGTGAGAACGCAGGTATTGGAGACAGAATTGGCTTCTAATTCTTGTTCTTCTACTTACTAGTTTTATGGTATCAGTCAAATTAAGTATTCTCTTCAAGCCTCAGTTTCCTCATCTGTAAATTGGGGATAATTATAAAAATGGCAGCTATTGTATTTTCATATTATTCTATTTTGCTTTGTCTATTTACTTTTATATTATTTCATAATCCTACATCACTTATAACTTAAAGAATACATCTTCCTGAGGCCAGGCATGGTAACTCATGCCTGTAATCCCAGCATTTTTGGAGGCCGAGACAGGCAGACTGCATGAGCTCAGGAGTTCAAGACAAGCCTGAGCAACAGGGTGGAACCCCATCTCTGCAAAAAATTAGCCAGGTGTGGTGGCATGCACCCGTAGTCTCAGCTACTTGGGAGGCTGAGGATCACCTGAGGCTGGGGAGGTCAAGGCTGCAGTGAGCTGTGATTGCACTACTGCACTGCAGCCTCAGTAACAGAGTGAGACCCTATCAAGAAAAAAAAAAAAAAAAGAATGTCTTCCTTTCCTATAATGCGAATTACTACTAAAAATGTCAACATTGCATTTCTGATTTCCACTCCATGAGTTAAACTCTCCAATTACATCATCACTAAATATTTAGGTGGTTTAATCCATATTTTCCCTATTCATTGAAGAATATAGAAAGTGAAAGCAATTTATAACTTCCCTTTAATACACCTGGATATTAGTTATTGGTTCAATTTGGACTGTGCAGTTTCATAAAGCAAACGGATTTTTCCCCA
The DNA here is from genome assembly GCF_000001405.40 of Homo sapiens. Taxonomy (NCBI): domain Eukaryota; kingdom Metazoa; phylum Chordata; class Mammalia; order Primates; family Hominidae; genus Homo; species Homo sapiens. The sequence continues at coordinate 7,239,069 of NC_000002.12, read as the reverse complement.
CAAAACTATGAATTTATGAAAGCTGGAAATAAATTATATCCTTTGATACATGTTTTATAGAGACATGAAAAGTGAGGATTAAAATCATTTGTTTTATTTTTTCTTTTTTCAGGATTCACCAATAGGTGTACATTAATATTTTCCTTGCCTTGGAGAATTCAACTCAATTCCAAGTGTTCTAAAAGAGACAAAACAATTTAACACCAAAAGATGTAATCCAATTTCTTGCATACCCCCCTTCCCTGGAAGCTTCATTATAAAGCTTGTCTCAGGCCTTATAGATGACTTTTAAAACCTACTTTAAAAGATTCGGAGTTTAATATGAAATGGTAAAATGTGATAGTGAGGGCTTCTTAATGTGATAGTAAGGGCTTCCTAATGTCCCCAGTAAGAAACATCATTGAATAGAGGACCAAACATGCCATCTTTGTCAGGAGTGGGCACGATCAGAGGCTCCTGAGGAGAGGGCAGCGGGATCCACCTTGTACTGAAAAATCACAGTGGGTCTGAATGTTCGTGTTCCTACAAAACTCATAGGTTGACATCCTGACCCTCAAGGTGACGGTATTAGAAGATGAGATCTTTAGGGAGTGATTAGATCATGGGGATGACAACCTCATGAATAGAATTAGTGTTTTCATAAAAGATGCCCAGGACAGACCATTACCTCCTCCACCGTGTGAGGATACAGCCAGAAGCAGCCACTCATGAATCAGGAAGCGGTCCCTCACCAGACACCAAATCTGCCGGCACCTAGATCTTGGAATTCTAGCCTCCAGAATTGTGAGAAATAAATTTCTGTAGTTTATAAGCCACCCAGTATTTTTGCTGTAGCAGCTGGAATATACTAAGACCGTATCTCTTTTTGTGTCCTTCACTGTCATTGATCAGGAATTTTTAAATTTCAGAAGGAATTCTTATTTTTCAAAGATTAATGAACACACTCATTTTATGTTGACTTCATTGATAAAATCTAGAATAGAATAAAGAAAGAATTCCAAATTCTCATACAGATTTCCTTTAGGACACTCTTCTTAGATACTTAGAAAGGAAACAAAGAAGAAAACTCCTAAAACAATAATGCCAAATTTGAAGAAAAAGCTAAACTTGAAACTTTGTGATTTTAGGCACATTAGTTTCTTTTTAGCTGTATTTTCCATCACCTAACCCATTCAAAATCCTTTTCCTGACATAGTATAACTGAAAGCAGGTAAAGAGGTAAAGGGAAGAATAAGTTTCCTTTGCTCTCTCTGGATGTTGCCTGGGCACTGACATTTGCAATTCAGTATGCTTCTCAGTCCCCAACCGGTCCTGGAAGTCCAGATCATCGTGGAAGCCAAGAACACCTTCTGCCCTCTGATTTTGGCACAGCGGTGGCCACTTCACTCAGATGTGTGCCTCCCGGCAGTTATTCCCGCCGCAGGGCCTGCGGACTGGCATGCTGCAATATGCTCTACCTGGGGCTGCACCTGAGACCATATGGACCTTCAGCTGCTGCACCATACAGGGACCTGCCTGGAGAAAGCCGAGGACCAGATGGAGCAGACGATACCTGTGTGAGACCGTCTGACTCGACGCTGCTGGGGACTTGGTGTGCGGAAAATGGCAGACTATAAACATTTAAATAATAATACCACAACACATGCTGATTCTTTTCCAGCAGAAAGGTAAAGAAATTGAAAAAAATAAAAAAAACCTTTTTGGGAAAGGCAAACCTACTATAGAATAGGAATGAACTTTAAAAAAAATAAAATAAAGCTAAGAGTCAAAGAGTTAAAACCAAACATGGGTATAGGAAATAGTTCTAAAGGCAAGCATGGAGACTTAGAAAGCATTGGATGGGAGCCAGGATCCACAGATTTCAGTGTACTAAGTTACAATGTGACTTTACACAAGACACTTTCCTCTCACTGTGCCTCAGTCTCCCCACTGATAATATAAAGGGAGCGGCTGATACCGTTCAAGATGCCAAGATAAGGAGTTTGTGCCTGGACATGAACCAATGCATTGAGAATCATCATGAAAGACCAATTACAAAAAACACTTCGGCAAACTAAGGAGTGTGCTTAGGAACGTGGCTGATTTGCATTCTGATTCAAACTCCTTATCTCATAGCAGATAGAAAAGAAATTTCTCAGAGCCTGAAAAATGTTTAGGGACCAGTATCAGACATTGAGTACTTTGAGTAGCACTGGATTAGGTTACCTCTTTAAACTTTCAGCATTCTTGAATTGTTAAGAACTAAGTGAAGAATTCAGAACTAAGCAAAGTACCATGTTACCTTATGTTACTTTTTACTTGCCTTCAAATATAAAACAAATATGCACAAAAAAGTAAGATGTGGCTTAAAGAGTCCAATTTGCTATAAGTTATAAATTTCCCAAAAGTGTAAGAAAAAAAATCAAGTATTCAATTGTTATTGCATTCCACAGATATTCATGAACTGCTGGTAAGCTTAACTGAAAAATTATACCCATGGTCTAATGTGTACAACCATTCTAGCTTCAAGGGGTTTCTGGAAAATATGATTCTTGGGTGGGGGCTTACATGATGAATTGAATGTTGCCAGATGAAGAATCGGGCACAGTGAGAAGGAAGGAGAGGTAGTCCCAGCTGAGGGAAATAAAAAGTCACATGGGAAAGACTACAGTGCAAGCAGAAATGCACACATAGTTTTCTGTTGCTAGAATTTGAAGTCCAAGGGTGGAAGATGAGAAGGTAGGAAGTCTGTAGGTCATACAAGACCTTGAATTCCTGGCAGAGGAGCTCAGACATCTCTACAGGTGATGGGGAACAATTAAATGGCTGTCAAACAATAGAGTGGTAAGATCACATCTATTTTTTAGATTTACCACTCTGACAGTTACATGAAGAAGGGGTTGGGAAAGGAAAAGTTAAGACCAGATCCTACTAGGGTCTACTAGACCAGATCCTGGTAATCCAGATCCTACAGGAGGAAATCACATACAGTATCTTGGGATAGAGAGGTGATGAAGCCCTGAAGTAGGGAAGAAGAAAACAAAGCAGACACGAAAAATTGTAATTACTGGATAGTTTTCATTTGTTCATGATTTTAGCTTCTAATCTACTACCACTCTCACCCACAATAGCCTTGGCTTAATTACTAGTGAATTCAATACACGCACAGACAATTCCATCGAAACTCTTGCCTCTCAGTTCCTTGGCCTCCTGCCATCTACAGATCTTGTCCTTCATAGGACCCCAGCCACCCACTCCTATGGCTACACCCAAGACTGTGCCATTAACAATAAGCAGAACTCCTTCATATTTACAATGTCAAGCAACCATTCTTGACCACTGCCTTTTATCTTCCTAGCTCACTTCCTCTAGTATTTCAGCATGAATAGTCTTTTCTTCCCAATATTACCACCATTTCATAGATCCTATCATCTATCCACTGTCCCTCAACCCCTTGGTGTCCTATTATCCCTCCCTATCTATCTTAAACTCCATGATCAATTACTACAGCAGCTCCCTTGCATTCATCTCCAAACCCCTCACTCCTTTCATCACATTATCCTTATTTGGCAAAACCACAACCCAAGTCAATCCAACTTTCTACCTACTCCGTGCCTTACCTACTGTGCTCACACATCTCATCATTTCTGGAGAAAAGCAGGCAGCCATTCTGACCACTCTCAAATTAAAATTAATACCAAGAATTTTAAGTGAACCATTGTTGCTGCCTGGCCATTATATATTTTCCTAATCTGGTAGTTCTTACATTTCTTTAGGTTACTTTATCATACACTCTCCTTTCTCCTCAAACATCCAACACTTTTATTTCCATCCTTACTGTCAACTACTGACCTGCTTGGTATTTTATTGCTATAATTGCAGCAATCAGAAGACAGTTTCCAAAGGTTAGCAGCACCAAATCTACCAACTAGCCCACAGCTGTGTATTCTCTGACATTCCTCATTACTGTGAGTGAAATCTTCCCAAGTTATTAAGGCATCTCCACCCTACCCATTTATACACTACTTCCCCTACCTTCTCACCTACCCGAGGTCACTGCTGAAGCAATTCTCTCCCTCTCTCCCTCATATTTTCCCACCCTACTGGATCATTCCCATTGAAACAAATATACTATTAATCTTCCCATCTTATAAACAACAACAAAAAATACCCTTCTTCTTTTCCTTTTTTTTTTTTTTTTTTTTGAGATGGAGTCTGTCTCTGTCGCCCAGGCTGGAGTGTGATCTCGGCTCACGGCAACCTCTGCCTCTGAGTTCAAGCAATTCTCCGGCCTCAGCCTCCCAAGCAGCTGGGATTACAGGCACATGCCACCATGCCTGTCTAATTTTTGTATTTTTAGTAGAGATGAGGTTTCCCCATGTTGGCAATGCTGATCTCAAACTCCTGACCCCAAGTGATCCATGCGCCTTGGCCTCCCAAAGTGCTGGGATTATAGGTGTGATACCCTTCTTTTGAACAAACTTGTCCCCTTCTCTGATCCCATATACAGCAGTACTTACTGAAAAATTTTTTCAGCCTGAGCGTGGTGGCTTATATCTGTAATCCCAGCACTTTGGAAGGCCGAGGCAAGCGAATTGCTTGAGCTCAAGAGTTTGAGACCAGCTTGGGGAGCTGAGGCAAGTGGATTGCTTGAGCTCAAGAGTTTGAGACCAGCCTGGGCAACATGGCAAAATCCCATCTCTACAAAAAATACAAAAATTAGCTGGGCACAGTGGCATACACCTGTGGTCCCAGCTACTTGGGAGACTGAGGGACGATCTCTTGAACCTGGGAAGTCAAGGCTACAGTGAGCCGTGCTGATGGCACCACTGCACTTCAGCCTGGATGACAAAATGAGACCCTATTTCCAAAATAATAATAATAATAATAATAATAATAATAATAAAATTTAATGCTTAAGCTCCCTTCTTGTTTTGGACACACTTCAATTAGAATCTGGTCTTACCACGCCACTGAAATTTTTCTCATAAAAGATACCAATGAGCTCTGCATTGCTAAGTCCAAAGATCAGTTCTTAATATTGACATCTGTGAAGCTCAGTTTTCAATCTCGAGATCTTTCAACTGTGTCCTAACAAGAGCATGGGACACCGTTATCATCGCCTCCTCCTGTAGCAGATATTTATTCCATTTCCAAGACACCACATTGCCATGGTTTTCCTCCCACCTTACTTGCTGTGCCTTCTCAGTGCCCCTCACTGGCGACTCTTCATCTCCCCAATCTCTTCATCATTGAATGCCAAAGGCATTCAGCACTCAGAGCTCCTCTCTATCCATCACTTTGCATTAGTGATATCATATACTCTAAAAGATTTAAACCCTATCCAAAACTAGTCTACTCTCAAATTTGTATTTCCAACCCACATGTCTCTTTGTAATTCCGGACTCACATATCTGACTTCCCGTTCAACATTTCCAGTTATTTCTCTAAGTTAACATATCCAAATTCAAATTTCTTCTCTTCCTCCCAAAATTCATCCCATGGGCAGTCATCCCTATCTTGGCTGCTGGCAGCTATATTCTTTTAGATGTTCAGGCCAAAAATATAGATGTTACCTTGACTCCCCTATTTCTTTCAGAATACACATTCAATCTGTCAGAAAATCCTGTCTTTCAAAATGCATGCAGACTCCAATAATACTATGCCAACTCCACCACTAATGCTCTAGCCCAAGGCACCTTCATCTCATGGTTGGATTATTGCAGTGGCCTCATAAATGAGCTCTCTTATTCTGTCCTTGCCCCAACACTGTGAGTAATCCTCTTAAAACTTGAATCAGACCTTGTCACCCTTCTACTCAAAACCACTCAATGGCAACCCACCCCATTCAGAATAAAGCCATAGTTCATAGGCCTGAAAAGCCTGTTATGATGTGGACCCCAGATTCCCCTGTAACCTCGTCTCCAACCACTCTTCCCCTTGCTGCCTTCCTTTGAGCTACTCTGATTTTATTGTTATTCCTCAAATAAAGAAGTTCTCTCAACATTCTGGATGTCGTTCTTTGATAAATATGCATATTGCAATATCTTCCCCCCAACTATGGGTCAGCTTTTTCCTCTCTTACAGATGTCTTCAAAATATATGGTAGGGAATAGTTGGGATTGCCATGAAAACAAAAATTTCTATTACTAGAAGTAAAGCAGTAGCTGACGGCCAGAGAGTGAGGCTCCAAAGCTGGTGCTGCTATAACTCTGTAGATTTTGTCATGGAGTGAAGGATTTGCCCTAGAGTTTTCAGACTACACATGAATGGAAGTGGGGGTAGAAGTGATACCCTGCCCAGCATGCATTAGCTATTTATCCTAACGCAGCAAACCACCATGGCACACGTTTACCTATGTCACAAACCTGCACATCCTACACAAGTACCCCAGAACTTAAAAAAAATTTTTAAATGATACCCTGCATAAAACCAGAACTCCCCAAGTGCTACTAATTCAGGGAAATGGAAACTAATAAATTATATCCAACAGCTGAGCAAGGAAACAAAATGATTCTCTTGCCCTCAGGGCCTAAACAATGTACTCTGTTAGAAACTTCCAGTAGAAAGTAAACCATGCACTTCACATGCATTTGAACTTAAAAACTGCATTTACTTCATTACGAAGAAAATCATAAACTATGAATTAATGTTTTAAAAGAGAAAAAAAGTAGTCCAGGTTGTTGATATCCTTGATAGAGATAAATGGGAAACCATCCATCCATTTCTACCTCGTGGGATTCCCATGTGAGGGGATGGCAGGGACCAGGACTTAACAAATATGAATTTACAAACAAAATCACAAAAATAAAAAATTCCATCATGAATACAAGGCAGTGGTTACATGAAAAAAAAAAGGAGGCACAAATGTCTCAGGTACTAGAAATAATAGAAAAAGAATAAAGGCGATCATAAACTAAGAATATTTAAATGGTAAAAAACATCTGGAAAGAATAAGACAGTATGCAAAATCACTAAGTAAACTTGAAAAGAAGAATCAAATAGAACATTTACTAATCAAAAATATAGTAATTAAAATAAAATAAACCAGGCTGGGCACCGTGATGAATACCTGTAATCCCAGCAGTTAGGGAGGCCAAAACGAGAGGATCACTTGACGCCAGGAGCTCAAGACCAGCCTAGGCAACATAGCAAGACCCTGTCTCTACAAAAAATAAAAATAACACATTAGCTAGGTACAGTGGCACATGCTTGCAGTCCTAGCTACTTGGGAGGCTGAAAGAGGATCACTTGAGCCAGGAGGTCAAGGCTGCAGTGAGCTATAATCCATCATACCACTGGGCTCCAGCTTGTGCAACAGAGTGAGACTGTGTCTCTAAAAGTAAAAAAAAAAATAAAATAAAAATGAAATGAAGCAAGTGGATGACTTAAATGGCAGTCTAAACACAATTTAAAAGACTGTTAGTAAACTGGAAGGTTGATCTGCAAAAACTACTCAGGAAGCAGCACATTGCAATACAAAATATAATAGATTATAGAGGATACACAGAGAGCCCTCAATACCTGGCTAATGGGAATTCAGAGAAGAGAATAGAGAGATAGGGTAATGGAAATAATAGATAATGCTAAGGAGTCCTCAGAATTCACGAAAGATAGGGTTCTCAATTTAAGAAGGAAAAATGAGTTCTAAACAAGAGAAGTGAAAGGGTATCTTTCCTCAGTTGATAGGATACTGCCCATTTTGTAGTACTTTCATTTGAAAGATATTTTGTAAGTATAAAAATTATGATATAATATTTTAAATGTGTAAGGGAAATGATCAGAAAAAAATTGTTTCTTTTCACCTCTGTTCTTCTCTTAGCAGAGAACACCATTGCTACCTATTTCTTGTGTATCCTTCCAGAAATCTTTTATGCATGTAAATTATGTTCATATAATCCATGTTTATATATATACACACACACACACACACACACATTTATTGATGACGCAAGTGGTAGAATACTATACAAACTTCACTTTGTTCACTTTTTTTAACAATACCAAAACTGTTACAAATGATGACATATAAAACAGATGCCTTATTTTTAATGGCTACATAGTTTTCTATTAGATAAGGGGTAATAAACTATCTTAAATTAATTATTATCATCATTTATTGTTTCTAACCACTTTACTATAATGCTGCAGTAAGTCTTCTCGCACAGTTATCTTTTCACATAATATTTGTCAGTAAACAAATTGCAAAGATGTAATTGGTGGGCCAGAGCAGGATGTATTTTAAAAAAACTGATAGATAATAAATGCCTCTCTATTTTATTGTATAAAAGAGTTACATACTAAACCTTCAGACATTTTGTTAGATTTCCTACTTGGAAATATCCAGGGGTTGAGCACTGCATGACTTTTCTTTTTCTGCAAAGCGTTCAACAAAAATATCCAGCTCCACATGTGATATACATATGCTATGGATGTTAATTATGATGGTAACAATATCTAATTCAGGTAACTACTTTACTTCTTCGGCTCAAAGACTGTTGTGTGACTTCCAGAGCAAAACCAAATGCAATTTATATCCAGATACACCCCCACTCCTTTAAAAATATATTCTTTAAGGTCTAGATCAAAAGCTATGTTGAGCTTCAGTTGCTCTGACCTCCATTTTGCCAAGTCAGAATTTTTCAGCTTTTCTCTCTACTTTTTCAGTCCTTCACCCATATCTAAGTGAAGTACTGACTCTGTTCCTGCACCGTTGGCCTTACCCCTTAGGTCATAGGCTTCCTCGGCTGGGACTGACCTTCCGCCTTACCCTGGTGCCTGTCTCAGAATCTGAAGCTATGATAGCAGGCCTGTAGGCTTTTATTGTATTAAATTGAAGACGGAACACAGGTGTATTGCAGTTCCAAACTTAAACCATGAAATATTTCACAAGTGGCATTAAACAAGAAAGTAATAAGCCAAAGTAAACTTAATTGACAAAATATATTTGTTTAAATTTTTGAAGCTTCTAGTGTTCAGGATGAACACTCCAATTAAGTACACGTTTGGGTGAGTGTAATGTTTTTATACATGATCGCTAAATTCTCTCATCAGGCGTTTCTGGCATGGAAGAAATAGAAATCTATTTGAAAGCTTCTCTATTTCTTGTTAAAAAAATCTTCAGACAAATTAAATTTAACAGATTTTAACTGAGCAAAGAACAATTCATGGATCAGGCATCCTCTAGAACCAGAATAGGTTCAGAATGACACCAGGGCTGTCACATGGTCAGATAACATTTACAGACAGAAAATGGAGAGTGGTGGACAGAAAACAAAAGTGAGGAACAGAAACAGCTAGATTGGATGCAGTGAGGCATTTGCCTTATTTCAACCTGGTTTGAAGAGTTGGCTGCGGTATTAGTCCGTTCTCACACTGCTACAAGGAACTGCCTGAGACTGGGTAATTTAAAAAAAAAAAAAAAGAGGTTTAATTGACTCACAGTTCAGCATAGCTGGGGAGGCCTCAGAAAACTTACAATCCTGGTGGAAGGTGAAAGGGAAGCAAAGCACCTTCCTCACAAGGTGGTAGGAAGGAGAATGAATGAAGGAGGAACTACAAAACACTTATAAAACCATCAGATCTCCTGAGAACACACTCACTGTTATGAGAATAGCATGGGGCTAACCACCCCCATGATTCAATTACCTCCATCTAGTCGCTCCCTTGACACGTGGTGATAATGAGGATTAAAATTCAAGATGGGATTTTGGGTGTGGACAAGAAAGCCTAACTATATCAGCTGCCTATGGTTGAATGAAGTTCAGCTGCTGTGATTGACTGAGACTTGGCTACTTGTGAGTAGAGTAGGTTACAATTTATTTAACACATCAAATTGGGTTACAGCTCCTTATGTATGGAAAAACCTTTAGGCTTAATGCAAAATACATAAGGAGGCAGTTTGAGGCCAAATTTAATTTAACACTGAAATTTTAAACATGCAAAGGGTCTCTAGGCTGAAAGGATCCCAGTTGTGTTTGTCCTAATAAAAGCGGGTGTGCTCTGCAAACAGGCTACGCCGCAGACATCCTAGAGCAGAAACATAAAGACCCATTGGGGCCCCAGCAGCCAATCCCCTCTTTGGGGCAACACTGAATTTCCTAGAACCTCTGGAGAATTTGCACATGGTATCAACAGGACAAAACAAAAGATGGAAAATTAAAATATGCTGAGAATTTTGCAAAATTTGCTTAAAATACTTTGTCAATCTGAAATAATTGACAGGATCAGAATCCAGCTTAAAAGAATTATTCAAGCACAAAATTAAAGGACAGCTGTCTGAGGAACACAGACTCCAAAGAAATGGAGTCAGTGCTCCAAAGTGAAAAAGTTAAGGTTTTACTTAGGGAGAAACAAAGAAGTTTAGCAGAATTATATTTTCCATACAAGGCTGTTTTATGAGTTACAGCAATTTGGTTGGTCACCACTTGTTCCTTTTCAGGAAGTGCGTAATTAACATTTTATCTGAAGCAATTTGATAATCTTAGAGTCTTTTGGTCTATCTGGTCTAGTTGGTACAAGACAAGAAAGAAGAAAGTTAATCTATAAAGAGTGTCAACAATTCATAGGGAAGGGATCCTATCTCTGGCACTATTCAGTCTTTTACAACATTTTACTAAACAATATCGGTAGGGAAAAAGTTAAGCTATAAGCAGAGAAACAAAGGTTGCAGCTGCCTGTTACATGACTACATGACTGAGGACCCACCAACACATTTCTTTTGAAGCTCAAAATAATTTAAAGTTTCAATAGCATTAATTTGAATTACTTACTTTCACAACTTTGTGCACTAAGACACTTTTCTTGGCCTCTGCCCCCATCTTCACCCCGCATATGTTCTGTAAGTAGCTCAATGCATCTGTTCAGCAAATAAGCATTCTCAGTTAAGGACTTTATCTCCTCTGAGTCCACAATCTCTCAATTCTAAGGCTCTGTACAATGCCCTGAGCCTAAAGTGCTCTTGTTGTATACACAGCAATCATGAAAAGTGTGACATCACATGTTCACTTGTGATTCTACAATAGCAAACTTTCAGATTAGTAAAATGATGCAAATTCGCTCAGACTCACGTAATTCTTCCAAATATTCAACATGTTTAATCTTTCATCTTTTGAACTACTCACATATGTAGTAATGCATTTTTCTTTTTAGGAGGCACATCTCTTTGATAAGATGAGTTCCTTGTACAGGCCAAAAGAAAACTTCCTCTTTGCCCACTGAAGATTCTCTGAAAATCAGCTGACAAAAGGCAGATTAATAGAAGAAAAGTGATACAAAATTTATTTTAACATGCCTAGCATGGTGGAATCCTAGGAGACTGACGACTCAGTAACTCCATGGGGTCCAGATGCTTATGTAGCTTTCTTCATGAAGGAGGAGGGAGAGGGAGAATGTAGGTAATTCTTTTGAGGAGCAAAGAGTGATTATTAGGGAGAATGAATGGACCTGGGAGACAGAAATTAGCCTGTAAATGAATGTCTTTGGAAGTTGAATGCATCCTGGAGATTGAAATTGTCTTATGAAAAGGTCACCCAGGCATAGCTGCATTCCTCAGTCTTCTTTTCTGCCTCAGTAAATTAGATTTCAGGGCAAGGTGGAAACCAATTTTTCTCCTTGATGTGTCCAGTCTGTATGCAGATAAGGAAAAAGTCTCTTCTAGCACCTGGTTGTCTCCAAAGACCTTTAACTCAAAACACTTATCAAGCCAGGATGCCTTTTTTTGGAGTGAAATTTTCTGGGATACTTCACTCTCAAACCGATAATATTTTCTATACTTTATTTCAAAAGACAAAGAGGTCACTAGACTTTACTTGCTTCAGTTTGAATCAGCAGTTAATCAGGAGCATACTTCAGGTTTACAGAATAGTTGTGTTTAATCACCAATAAAATATAATATCAAGGAAAACTATTCAATTAGCAAGACTGCTATAATTTTTGTTACTATAGCCATTTATGTTGCATTTAAAGTAACATGATATGCACATTCTCCTTAATACATCTCAAACAATGTTGAAACTCATCAAATGGTCCATTCCAAAAATGGAGCTTCAGATCATATGTTTATATTTTATTTGTCAACAAGCATTTCAGTTTCTTATAAAGCAAATGAATTTCTCCCCAAACCCTAACTCTTCACATCAAATACAAATACGTTGCCACTTGAAGCAATTTCCCCCAAATGGTTGATTTATACAGCCTCACAAATCATAAATTTCCAGGCAAATAAATCATTTTGCACTTGGTTTCTACAAACATAAAATAAAAGATTTTTTAAAGGTGCTGACTAAGACTTTGTGGAATTTGCTTAAATACTTCACACTTAATTAAAATATATATTGATGCATTTTGTTTCCCTGAGAGAAGCAATATGGTAATAAGTTCTTAACAATTCAGATCTGTGCCTTTTCATGGTGTGTTTTGCAATTCTATCTTACTTTTTTTTCTTTGTCTAATCAGTAATCAGTACTTTTTGAGGTTTATGTGTACAGTATGTAATTTGATTTCCTTCCCTGGCAAGCTAATACATCGACTGAATACAGAGATTAAAAGTACATATATTTAGAATCAAGCAAAGCATAATATATGTTTTTGCTTCAGTGATGAGCCCTATACATTAATCAAGGTAGCAGGCTCAAGCAAAACATTACAGTTTCTCCTGCTGTAGGAGCAATAGCAGCAATTCTTTAATCAGCATTTCAATGTCAGGTAAGGAATTGGGAGAGAATCAGGGGCATGTTGTCTCTTGCCCAAATGGCTTTAATCTTACTGTAAGTGTTCTTTTTTGTTCCTAACCCTAAAGCCTCAGATCGACTTGGGATACTGTATATGTTTTTCCATAAGGATAATGATGTTTCATTCTTGCATTCTGACTTAATTAGCTCTATAGAGAGGTTGGCTCTTTAAATATTTTTTTCTTTCTAATGTAACGGTAGCTTTAAATGCAGAATGCAGAATCTGTCTTTTTAAAAACCACCTGTTGGGTTGATAGCCAGCTTTGTTGGCTTGGCATTGTGCACTCTCTGATTAAATTGTGGTGAATGCACCTGGGTTACTATGGCATTGGAATACACTGTGATTTGATTGGAGGTTAGAGACTGTGAACAGGTTTCACAGAATTATAGAATTTTCTAATAATGGAACTGGCTGCAACTCTGTAGTTATTTTCTTCCAATCCCCTTGATTTACAGATGAGGAAACTGAAGCCCAGGAGGTGAAGAGAATGGGCCAAATTTATCCAACTGATTAACAAAACAAACACAAAGGCAAAATTCTCTTGATCACTAAACCTGAGTTAGTTCTAATATGGCAAAACTCCAAGTGATAACCGTCATTGGACCCATTATGAAAATCTTTCCAGCAAATTTAACAACAGATTTTGAATTCATAGGGGGAATCAGATTCGTGAGTTTCTAACAGAGATAGGTTTTTTTTAAGTAAATTAAGATTGATATTTTGCTCTTTCAAACAGTGATAAGAGAGGAGCTGTTTATGTGTCCTAGTGGTTTCATTGGATCAGGTTACTTACTCTGAACCACATATAATGTGATTTGAGCAATTTCCACAATCTAACAGGTTTTCAATGACCGGATCTGGGAAGAGAAATGCCATCGTTCAACATGGGACCAAATTTGTTGGTAACAGTGCCATTAGCATGGGATTTTCTGACCTACAAAGTGGATTTACAATCAACATGCCCTTTCATCCTTAGTTTGATGAAGTTGATTATGATGACAATAAATATGTTGGGTGCCATATAGTGTTCTAAGTTCTTTTTACTGGAATCTTATTCAATTGGTACTATTATTATTCATAGCTTATCAGTGAATTCTGCCCCCAGATTCTATAATCTTTTTATTATCCCATAAAAATTACAAAGCAGTAATGTCTTCTTCTGCCATGTGTGATAATATTGGAAAATTGGAAGATGCATGTGTTAGGAATACCTTATATTCTCACCCTCACATTTCTATGAAGGAAGATACCTCACCTTCTTGGAAAATAGCTTGAAAGGGAACCTACGTCTCTTTCTCCATCCAGTATAAGTCTCGTTCATAGGGAAGTTGAGGATCTTCGATGTCCAGCTAATGAGAAAAGTATGGTCTGACTTTTGGTGGGCCTATTTCTCTGTTGAATTATATTAGTAGGATAACAGTATCTGATTATATGTGGTCCAGCTGTCTTTCTCTTGCTTACTCTGGGCACTGTCTTTGTTTGAATGTAACTGCCTTCCACTTCCAATCTTAAAAGGTAGAATAGTGCAATGGTTGAGTTCCTATAATCTGCCTTCAAACATTCATTGCTTACCTGTGAGACTTTGGACAATTCACATTATCTTTCAATGTCTCATTATCTCCAGCTACAAATGAAAATGATAATAATAGTAACTACCACATAAGATTGTTTTAGTCTTTATGTAAGATGATACTTCAGAAATGCTTAGAAAAAGTGAATGGCATCAATGAACATTTTATTAACCATTGTTATTATTATTTATGGTAAGTATGCCCTGGGTCTAGCCTCCCTACTGTACCCAAGACTTCAGTGACCTGCTTCTCTTCCTAAAACAGAGGGAACCAAAGAGATATGATAGGTTTTATGGACCTAGCTGTTTAAGGAGCTAAGAAGGCCCTACAAACTCTGATCTGTTTATAACTTAAGTGTTCTGAATACAGCAGAACTCCTGGTCTCCCTTTGAGCCTGAGTGAATATTTTAAAGGGTGAATATTTTAAAAGGTTGCAGATAACCTACACCTCCTAACACCTTAGATAAAGAGTAGTTTCTTATATCTTCCTGAGCTGTAATTGATGCTGCTGGGATTCCCTTGCTTTAGTTCACATGCTGGAGATTAGATTGAATTAAGATAGCTCATTTTCTGAAATGTAAGGAATCTTTCACAGTGTTAATTCTAGTGATAACCCATACTTTATTTTGAAAAAAAATATTTATGTTGTCATTTAACTCTTCTAATGCCTTTTTGATATTTGGAGGAGGGAGAATTAATTTGTGCATTGGAGCAATTTGGGGAATAGGCATGGAGCTCCCAGAGCAGGCTTTTCAACTTTTAAAGCCCATATAAATCACTAGGAATCTTCATAAACTGCATATCCTGATTCAGTAGTGCTGAGGCAGGGCCTAGAAAAGTGTTTGTAACAAGATCCCAGATGGTGCCTCTGCTGCTGCACAGCAAGGTCCTAGAGAATGTTGGGCAATGACATGGGATGAATATAAGATTCCTCATGCTGCCTCAGTTCTGTAAAACCTGGGTGTTAGAACATCCATGCATACTCCTACAAAAGCAGACATGGTTCTAGATGTTTGACATAAACTTTAAAACAACAATAACAAAACTCTCCTAAAAGTCTCAATTTTGTTGCCAAAGACAGCTGACGTATATGTCACTGATGCAATAAATTTGGGGTTCATATAATGTAGGATGTGGTAGTTATTCTCATGTCTGCTCAAATTTCATTTGTTTCTAGTGGAGAGAATATTACTAATCCATCATCTTAGGAATGCTATTTAGAAAACCCACCCAGTCAAGCTATACTTTTTCTGGGCAAAAGGACATCAAAACATTTAGTGATGTTTGCCTTTAAAACTTAGCGATTACCTGACCATAATCAAAAGTACCATCTCCTGAGGAAAAACTTTTCACAAATATGAGGATATTTCAAAATGTTCATGAAGAATGCACGCCATGAAAAAGCTATGCATGAATTTAAAAAATTTTTGCACCAAAATAAACTTTGACTAACTTATAGTGCATCTGAACAGGATCTAGTTTGAGGTACTAAGAAAGACAAAAACACCAGTTTGAAAAGAACCCCTATCAGAGCAACAGGAATTCTAAAATTAAAGCAAGAATAAACATCAAATATGTGGTAAAACTTGGGTGAAAGAATGGGAAATTATTGATGCTTTATGAGTTTTGTGGGGACAATTTCAAAAAGAAATCAGCAGTTTACATATAGATAACTCATTTTAAGATGAGATAAGATGATGTTGAAGATGAAGCCCATAGCAGTAGACCATCCCCATCATTTATGAGAATAAATATTAATTTTGTTTGTGCCCTAATTAAAGAGAACTGGTGATTAATAGCATAAGGAATAGCAAACACCATAGACATCTCAAATAGTTCAGCTTAGACAACTCTGACTAAAAAATTAAAGTTGAGCAAAATTTCATGTAATGGGTGTCAAAATCATTGCACACAGATTAGCTAGAGACAAGTACAGAGCTCTCAATAGGCATTTTTTTAAATGGTGAGATTAAGATCCTGAGCTTTTTTTTTTTCGTTTATTTTTTTCTATTTTTTTATTTTTTTGAGACTGAGTCTCATTCTATTGCCAGTCTGGAGTGCAGTGGTGCCATCTCAGCTCACTGCAAACTCCAATTCCCTGGTTCAAATGATTCTCCTGCCTCAGCCTCCCAAGTAGCTGGATTACAGGCACGTGCCACCATACCCAGCTAATTTTTGTATTTTTAGTAGATATGGGGTTTCACCATGTTGGCCAGGATGGTCTTGATCTCCTGACCTCATGATCCACCCACCTTGGCCTCCCAAAGCGCTGGGATTACAGGTGTGAGCCACTGTACTGGCCCTGAGCATATTTTTGAAGAATACTTATGGGAGATAAAACACAGCTTTACCAGTACCATGCTGAAGACAATGCACAATCAGAGCAATGGCTACCAAGAGGTGTAGGTGGCCCAATCAAACCAAAAATAAACAAGTTAAGAACAAGAGTCATGGAAAAACTTTTTTGAAATTCTCAAGTCATTTTCCTTGTTGACTTTCTGGAGGACCAAGCAATGATAATATCTGCTGATTATCAGAGTGTTTTCAGAAAGTTAGCCAAACCTTTAGCAGAAAAACACCTGGGAAAGCTTCACCAGAGAGTCCCTCTCAACCATCACAATGCTCATGGTCATTTCTCTCACAAAACAAAGGTAATTTTCTAAGAGTTTCCATAAAAATTATTAGGTATCCACCTTACAGTCCTGATTTGGCCAGTTTTGACTCTTTTTTGTTTTCTAATCATAAAAAAAATCTATAAAGGAAAGCCATTTTTCTTTCATTGAAAATGTAAAAAAGACTTCATTGCTAAATCTAAATTTCCAGGACCCTCAGTTTTTTTAGGGATGAACTAAATTGCTGGTATCATCACTTATAAAACTGTCTTGACCATAATGGAGCTTATGTTAAGAAATAAAGTTTATATTTTAAAAATTTTATCTTTTAATTCCATTTTTCATAAACTTTTTGAAGTCCCTTTATATATTATTATGTAACCCCTTTTTCTAAGGCTGCACTTCAATTACATTTTTGTCTGTTGGTGAAAGTACAAGCATTACAATTCTCCATGAATAAAAATCTCACTAGCAATGCCTTTTTTTTAACAATTAAGGAAGGAGAGGCACAGGAGAATTGTAACTAATCCCAGGCCACTCAACAATTTAGGAAAAGAATCATGGCGAAGACCCATGTGGTGATTTCCAGTCTAATTTCTGTCTATGCTGCTGTAACATATAACTTTTAAGTACGGTCAATCCTCATTATACATGGATTCTGTATTTGCGAGTTCTCTCCTAAAATTTATTTTAACCCCCAAATCAATGCTATTGGCACTTTTGTAGTCATTTACAATGTGGGCAGAGAAGCAAAATATTTGAATCATCCAAAGCACAAGTTCCCAGCTGAGACTGAACAAGGCAACACTCTGCCTTCTTGTTTCAGCTCTCAGACTCTAAATAAGTGTCCCTTTTAAGGTCTATGTATGCTACATCTTTTGCTGGTGATTTTGCTGTTTAAAATGACCTCTACGCATAGTTCTGAAGATCTGTCTTGTGTACCTACGTGCAAGAAGACTATGATGTGCCTTATGGAAAAAATATGTCGGTTTTAGATAAGCTTAATTCAGGCCAAGTTATCATGCAATTGGTTGTGAGTTCAATTTCAATTAATCAACAATATGTCATAAATAAGGTGTCTTTAAACAGAACTATACATAAAACAAGGTTGTGTATTGGTTGGTTGATGATCACATGACTGGAGGCTCACAGGTGCCTAATCCTGTTTTTCCCCAAGAGCAATGGTTCAGTATTCACAATTTCAGTCTCACACCACTTTGTAATTTTGTTATAACAGCTAAAATAGAATAAGACAACCTATTAAAAACATTTGAAGCAGATAAAGGCACCATTGTAGACTTCCAGACAGGATCATGAACTGAGAAGATAAGAAACCCCACCCAGTACCTTCACTCATTCCCAAAACACAGAAGTTATAGGTGGCCTTCTCTAAATATTAAAGCCAAAAACAGGAAAGAAAAATCTTCGGACACCAGAACTAAAGATGAAATCCATTGCCATGTTAATGGGTGAGATGTGAAGCCATGCAGCCCATGGGCAAGTCCAGGTGTACGTTTTATGAAATAAAATTTAATGTCAGAACTGAAATATAGATGAAAGCTATAGAAATCATCAGAAGTAGAGATGGACACCCTGCATATAGCCAAGGACCAGTCATAAGCTGGAACTAGAACAATTCTGCCTGGAGCTCAAGGGCATCCCCAGAAGTAAGCAGTTGGTCTTAGGTCATGGATAGAATCAGAGAGAGCTTCAAAAATGTTGAAACCCATGTTATAATATATGCAAATTAAAGTTCAGAAATCATTGTTAAGCTGATAAAAAACTGATGTGAAACCACCCTGTAAGTATGCCTTCAAAAGGCAGAGCACTTGCAGAGAAAAACACCCATGGAGAATTGTCCCCGCTGAAAATGTGTTTATAAATAAGAGATGAAGAAGGAATCACACTTCCAAGAAGAGACAGTTAGAAGACATAATAAATAATACAATTTATATTGAAATAATAAGTTACAATAGAAAAAATCTAATAGGAACTTAAGTATAATTATTCAAAAGAAAGAATAAATAATATATTATATAAAATAATATTGGTAAAACCACATTAAAATATAAAAAACTTTCTCATATTAAAAAATACGTTAGTCTTCAGATTAAAAAATAATATTTCACAGAATCATGAAAAACAAATCTATACATAGTCACTATATTATGAAACTATATGTCTTATTAAGAAAAAGTCATATTAAAACTACCAGACAAGATTAGATCAATTATTTGCAAATGATCAATGTAATAAGGAAAGAAGACTTCTGATCAGTAACTACAGATGTCAGAAATCTTTACTATTATACTTAAAGTACAGAAGGGAAACAATTTTCAACTTAGGATTTTATATCCAGCTTACCTCTTATTTCAGGTAAAGATTAGAACGGTAGCATTTTTAAACACACACATACTGGAAGTATTCATAATCTGCAAATCTTTATGAAAAACAAGAACTATTAACGTATGTTTTCCATAAAGTAGAGAAAAAAAACCAAGAAGCCAAAGAGTTTATAGTAAATACTATAAGTTTATTTCTTATTTAAATAAGATATAACTAAAATTCTAGGCAACAATATTATAGAGGATGGGAGATAGAATTGGGAGGGAAGTTAAAACATGCAAAGATATTAACACTGTATATAAAAATGAAAAAGAGATTTGTTGGCTCTAAATTTTATTAGAAAACATCAAGTACATGTGTTAAAAATGTTAAGAGTACCTACTAATACTAGAAAAAAAAATTCTTCAAAACAAGATTACAGATTAAAAGGGAACTAATTTTAAGAGGAAAAAAATAACAAAAGTTCACAGAATATGAGCCAGCTCAAAAATTTACTTGTTTTCAGTAAGTAATAAAGATTCTACTGTACACAGAATCATAGGGCCAAAGGAAGACGCAAGGGACATGGGTGAAGCTGGAAACCATCATTCTCAGCAAACTATCACAAGGACAAAAAACCAAACACCGCATGTTCTCACTCATAGGTGGGAATTGAACAATGAGAATGCTTGGACACAGGAAGGGGAACATCACACACCGGGGCCTGTTGTGGGGTGGGGGGAGGGGGGAGGGATAGCATTAGGAGATATACCTAATGTAAATGATGAGTTAATGGGTGCAGCACACCAGCATGGCACATGTATACATATGTAACAAACCTGCATGTTGTGCAAAGGTACCCTAGAACTTAAAGTATAATAAATATATATATATAAAAGAAAAAGATACTTGCACATGCAAGTTGATAGCAGCACAGTTTGCAATCACGAAAATATAGAACCATACCAAATGTCCAGTCAATGAGTAGATAGAGAAAATGTGGTATATATTCACACCATGGAATACTACTCAACCATAAAAACGGTTTGCAGCAACCTAGATGGAGTTGGAGAACATTATTCTAAATGAAGTAACTCAGGAATGGAAAACCAAACATTGTTATCTTCTCACTTATAAGTGGGAGCTAAACTATGAGGATGCAAAGGCATAAGAATGATGCAATGGACTTTGGGGACTGCTGGGAAGCGTGGGAGAGGGTGATGATAAAACACTACATGTTGGGTACAGTGTACACTGCTCAGGTGATGGGTGCACCAAAAGTACAAATATCACCACTAGAAATTATCCATGTAACTACCTGTTCCCCCGAAACCTATTGAAATAAAATTTTTTAAAAAAAGAAAAATGTTTTAAAAAGCAAACGACAAAAAAAAAAAAAAAAAAAAGCAAACAAACAAACAAAAAACTACATCAGGAGAAGCCTCTGGAAATTTGATAGTAGGTCCCATAGGCTTCAGGCATGACAGGCGGGACTTGGCCACTGCATCAAGAGCAAGGCTGTTTTGGGTTGATTTCTATGCAGTTGAATTAAAATACCAAGATCCTGGGCAGATCATTCGTGCAAAACAGAAGAAAATATTAATGAAAGCTAGACCTGGGTAGGAGTGAGGGTGAGTATTGAAGAGCTTAGCTTGCAAAATTGGCTGTTCATATCTGCCATCCTTTTCAAATTCCTATTAAGATATTTAACAGGTTTCTGTGAGCATAGGCTCCAAATAATTTGTTAGGAAAATGCAAAAAACACTTATTTTTTAATCTCCCCAACCACATTAAAAAATTATTGGTAGTGATTGGTTTTGAGCCGCTCAGTGACTATATATCTTTAGGAAATACTACTTCTCTGAATGGGGCATTAATTTTATCAGTATAACAAAGCATTACAGAATGAATTCAACAATATAATATAAATAGAGAGAAATTCAGGAATTTCAAGGAAGAGATCTTACAAGAAGCATTTAACATAGCAATTCTATTTACTAACCAAGCTCCCCCAATTAAGGTGGATGGTGGGTATCATAAAAGGAAAAATCATTTTCTCTATCAGAGGATCCCAGGTAGCAATTATTGACTAGGAAGCAGGGAATGTCTGAAGCTATCAGAGGTACCTATTACTATTGGGGCATTCATTCGCTCTGTAGAAGAGGGGCAGACTCAGTGGTAGGACTGATTTTTTTTTTCTTTTTTTTTTTTGAGACAGAGTCTCACTCTGTTGTCAAGGCTGGAGAGCAGTGGCGTGATCTTGGCTCACTGCAACCTCCGCCTTCCAGGTTCAACTGATTCTCCTGCCTCAGCCTCCTGAGTATCTGGAATTACAGGCACCCGCCACCACACCCGGCTAATTTTTGTATTTTTAGTAAAGATGAGGTTTCACCATCTTGGCCAGGCTGGTCTCAAATTCCTGACCTCAAGTGATGCATCCACCTTGGCCTCCCAAAGTGCTGGGATAACAGGCGCGAGCCACAGTGCCCAGCAGAATTGATTTTTAAAAGTTAAGCACGGGCGTATCTACAAGAAGACGGTGATTTTGGTTCTTGATACTTGAAGATAATTACACTTGTGCATTTAAAGGAAATTAAGTGCTAAATTCTTCCTCAGAACACATTTTAATGAAGTGATTTTTTTAATCTGAATTTTTTAAAAATAATTTTTCATACCAACTGATACAGACAGATTATTAAATATTACTAGTTGTTAAGCCTTTTAGCTCTGAGGCACTTCTAAGAAGGACAATTTAGCCATATTGAAGGTTCTTCAAGTTATCCTTGGTGAAATGATAATTGTGGCATGCACAAGCATTAGGGACATACAAATTCAAGACTGGAAGCAGGCGTCCAGCCAGCCAGGGTAAGAACTAGGGAGATGTCATCCAGTGAGCATTGCTGGCAGCTGGCTGAAGGTGTCATTTTGAACTTTCTGCTTCATACCAGCTAATTCTAAGTGGCCATTTCTCTCCTCAGAACTGACAATCTGCTTTTTCCAGAAGAGGCAGTTTTGGAGATTTCATCTTTTAAATTAACTCTCAGAAATACAAAGACAAAATGGAGGAAAGTAGACACTGAGGTGTTGAGATGGTGACCCAAGGCAAAGTTTGCCCAATGAGGGACAGTGGCACTACAAGACCACAAACTCTTCAGTCCTCAGAGTCAGTTTTGTTAATGGATTTGTGAGAATTTTCTCTACTAACTAGTGCTCTTTTAGACAATGTTCTTGATGATATAGAGCAAGACAAAGTCAGGCCAGATAAACGCAATTTCACCAAAAACTTTTAAGAAAACAATCCCAATCAGAGCATAGACTTCCACAGGTGATATCTAGTTTTCTCAAGAGACAATAAAGCTTAGTACTTAGTGACCTCAGTCAAATCAGAGCAGAGGCCCAGCATGGGACTCACCCCTCTGGGCCAGCAGCCTCCAGTAGAAGAGATGCAAGAGGCCTCAAAAGACACTAAGAGAAGTGATCTGACCCAGAGCCCTGGTCTATGCCATCGTTAGGGGAAGTCACAGCTGAATTTTGTTAGGTCCTCCAAATTATGAAAAGTCCCCTTCTCAGACAAAGAAGCTTTAATAATAATTGAGTTGTATTGACTTACTACAGTGAGAAAAACTACATAGACAATTCGCAAATGATTTTTTCATTAGGGAAAGTGAACATGGTTTTCGATTACTGGTGTGCCCGGCTCAAAACTTGTTAAGCAGGATATCAGAAGGAAAAGGAATCTTCAAATTGGTTGATATCTTGAGTTCAGAATCAAGGTGAGTGAGTTGAGGTTCTGAGAGAAGGAAATGTCATGCTATGGAGACATTCTGCAGTTGTATTTGTAGAGCTGATAAGAAAGGTAGTATTCCGTTTTCAAATGTTAGAACAAACCTCACCTCTGTCTCTCAATGCACAACCCTTCTTTCGTGATTCACATAGTGGTTCTCTGTTGTAAGACATTGAGGCAGAGGCTGTATGTTTCACAGACATTCTCATTCTCATGCAATGCCCAAGAAAGCGCAGGCCACAACAGGCAGAACAGATGGGTTGGCGGGACTCACTGACCAGGCCCTCTCTGCAATGACAGAGACTGTGCCTAGCAATGCCTGATGAACGAATCACACCTGGCCTTTTCCCTTGCATCTGTCTGTTCCCTGGGAGTTCCCTTCCCCAGATGCTTATTGCACTGGGAAAGTGGTGAAGATGATGCTTGGGCTCCTGTCGCTCCCACCTGCCCCATGTACAGGTGATGTGGCACCTCCCAGCTGTTGACACACATGCTCCCTGCCTTTTTCTCAGCTTCAATTTCCACCAGCCACAGTGAAATTTCCCCCAACTGCTACCGATTCTCACAAAGGAAGACACACAATTGCTTCAGTAAAGTAATTACTGAATTTTACAGTCAGGACAGCCATTTTTCAACACAGGTGCATTTAATGGCTTAGAGCCACATGCTCTGAAAATGAACCATACTGTCCCTTTTGATCTGAAATTAGCCAACTGTGCTTCAAGAAAAGGCCAATAAGATTCTTCTCTGCTAATTACTAGAATGTTATGACTTCGTTCCGGGATATCAGAAACATTGGCTAGTGGGCATGAGAAAAAGAAGGCAGGATAGTAGATTATAAATACGAGCCAGTTGTAGGGATGATCTCAAAGAGGTATATTCAAATCCAGTCCACTGAGCCCAAAGGGTGTGATACGGTCACAGTAGTCATTGGTATTCATCAAGGGAAACCATATCATGAATGTAGACCCAGCAAAGGGGATCCAAGGGACAAGTGGAACCTGGAATATCCTCAGCACCTTGCACGGAACCTGGCTAACAGTAGGCAGGCCATAAATTCTGTGCAATAAGGGCAGGCAAGTAGATCCCAAGCCCCTGGGGAAAGGCTTGGCAAGTTCTAGGTAGAGGATTGAGGATTCAGTGGAGGGACCTGGGGGTTCAGGGCTGGTATTAACCCCCAGGGATTAAGGTGTGACTGAGCCTCCAGGTAGAAGGCATCATTGGTTACAGATTATATGGTCTAAAGAAGGCAAGAATTGACATCTTAGTGTTACCACCCTTCCTTAAAGTAACCAACTTAAAATGTAAGAGAGATGTCACTATTCCAGCGCAAGGCTCTTGTTCGTTTTCAGTTTTGCCATCCCAAGCTTATTTGCAAGAACTTTCCTACCATTAGATACCCTATGAAGTGTCCACATCTCATCGTTGCACCCACAGTTGTTTTAGGGATTGTAGATGCTCTCATGGGCGACTGAATGGGAACAGAGCAAAGGCTGTGGCAGTTGGGCGCTACTTTGTCTGAGCAGTGCATATGGTACCTATCTCAGTAAAGTTTCCTCCACGGCCTGCAGCAGGGCCTCTGGGGATGAGCCCTGTGGACTGGCACTGGCAGGTTCTAGCCCAGATAAGTCCTGTGCCGTCGGAAGGCAGGACCTCCTCTTCCATAGGCTCCTGCACACTCAAGACATACAGCCCAAATCAACAGCTCTTTCACAAAAATCAGAGTTCTTTCTTCTGGGATAACTTTCTCCAGGACAGCTGAGGCTCTGGGGCTTCTGCAGGCATTATTTTCACTGCCTGCCCTCACCTTCTCCTGCCACTCTTGATTCTCATCGCCAGGTCTATGCCGCCCCCACCAAGCCTTCTGTTCTCCCTCACTTTCACAACAGATCCTGATGCTCATTGAACCTAGAGTTCCAATCCTCTGTCACCAAGAGTATGGCCTTACTTCTTTGAAGGCAGAGAATAGTTCATCTCCCAGTGTCCTCTAGAAGGAAGAAGACACATTTCATTCCATCTATAACACAGCAAATGAAGAAGAATCCACAGGGGCACATTAAAATTGCCTGATATTTTCATGAAAAGACACTGTCTTGCTTAAACATGTTCTCCTGGCTTAATTCTCCATGAAGTGTGGCCCTTGCCTTCAGAGTTTATAATCTAGCTGAGAAGATGGCAACAGAAGATGTCATAAGACTATGTTGAATCAATGGCTGAGGGCTGTGTCTGATGCACAGGTGTATCATGTTTAATCATCCTGGGGAAAGGAGGCATAATGATGGTCATTTTCCTGGAAGAGGTAGAAAATGAGCTAAATGAGAGGTAGAAAATAAGCTTTGAAGTTAGGAACAAACATTTTGGCTAGCAGAAAGAGAGAGGGTGAGGAAAATTAAGATGAATTGAAGAGTCTGGCTAGTAAGAGAGAGAAAAGAGAGCTTTGCCTTGTTAGAGGGGAGCTAAGGTTGGTGAAATCACAGTGTGCTGGTTGTTTAAGGAGGAAATTACAGAGGACTTAGAAACCAGGAACGGAAGCTTAGACCTGGTGTGAAGCAAATGTGTAGGCGGTCAGGTGTTGAGATCTGTAGGGAAGGGCTGCAGTTGGGAAGAGGGCATCAGGGCTGCTGCTGCAGTCGTCCCAACATAAGGGCTTAGACAGAGCCTAAGAGGGTCTTGAATGAACAGGTTGATGAAATGCCATGTTGCTGATCTGGAAGTATTTGTTCTGCAGAGCAGCATTCTTAAGCCTGTAATGTCAGTGGGTTAATTTTCAGGCAAACTCTTATTCAGAAGCTCATTTTTCATAAAGCAGAGAGAGCCTTGTTTTGACGCAGGTGAAAGGGGCAGAGGTCAACTCCCAGGCCCACTCTCCCTGACCTCCATCTACGATGTGGCCCTCAGCATCTCCCAAAGGTATCCTCTGGGCTCCTTGACCCCGGAGTACTGGAGGTTAACACTTTGTTAAAACATTCTATTCAGTTGGTTAAACAAAGGAATACTAAAAGAATGGCTACTAATGACCACTCATGATGACATTAACTGGATCTTTTGAGAACAGGAGGGACTCTGGGAGAGAAAGGATAAGAGAAAAAGAAATGAATAACTCGCTGCAGGCACATTCCTGCAAGCATTAAGCTGGCTGATTAACATGGAAATTACAGACACAGAAAACTGCAAAACACATGCAAGAAAAGTGTGAAGATGAATAAACAAGGAAAGAACTGGAATAAAAGTGTGGAGTGGACGTGAACAGCATCACTCAGCCCTGATCAATAAAGCAACATTCTTAAGACTTTGGGACCAACCTCTCTAGCCTTCCTCCTATTTATTCCTCAGACCATAGCAAAAGGGAGAAGTTTTAAATGCACACTTCATTATGTCATTTCCAGGTTTAAAACCCTTCAAATGTTGTCTATGGTTTTTCAAGATGAAGTCCAAACCCACAAGGAGGCTGCATGCTCACCAAGCCTTCTGCAACTGAACGAGCGCCTGAATAATCTACTCGGCTCTGGACAACCTCTTCAAACTCATCTCTTCCCATCTCATCTCTCAATCTTCTTTCTCTCTCTCTCTCTCACACGCGCGCGCACACACACACACACACACACACACTTTATTTATTTATTTATTTTTGAGACAGGGTCTTGCTCAGTTGCCCAGGCTGGAGTGCAGTGGTGTAATCATGGCTCACTGTAGCCTTGACCTCGTGAGCTCAAGTGATGCTCCAGCCTTGGCCTCCTGAGTAGCTAGGACTACAGCCACACACCACCATGCCCAGCTTTAGAGATATATATATATACATAGTATTTTTTTGTAGAGACAGGGTTTCACCATGTTGCCCAGGCCAGTCTTGAACTCCTGGGCTCAGGTGATCCTCCTACACTTGGCCTCCCAAAGTGCTGGATTACAGGTATGAGCCACCATGCCCAGCTCACACTTTATTTCTTTTCTGGGCCACACCGGCTGTGCTTCAGGCCCGCTGTGGCTTTCTCTCCATTTCTCTCTATTTCAGGGCCTTTACCTGTGACAAACATTCCATGTGAAGCTTCTCTACCCTTTCTTCCTCCAGCTGATTCCTACTTATCTTTTCAGTCTCCTTGTATGAGGTTATTCTTGCATTGCTATAAGGAAATACCTTATAGAAAAGAGATTTAATGGACTCCCAGTCCTGAAGGCTGTACAGGCAGTGAGGTGCTGGCATCTGCTCAGCTTCTGAGGAGGCTTCAAGGAGCTTCCAATCATAGTGGAAGACAAAGTGGGGAGCCAAGTTATCACATGGGGAGAGCGAGAGCAAGAGAGAGAGTGGGGAGGTGCCACACACTTTCAAACAACCAGATCTCAGAGAACTCACTCACTACTGTGAGGACAGCACCAAGCCATGAGGGATCTGTCCCCTGTGACCCAAATTCCTCCCAGCAGGCCCCGCCTCCAACATTGAAGATCACATTTCAACAGGAGATTGGAGCAGAGACAAATATCCAAACCATATCACTCAATTCCATTGTGTCAGCCTCGGGGAGACCTCTGAACATGAAATCTCATACTACTCTTTGTGACTTTTGCCAGATTTGTAAATGCTTCTGTCTTTTCTCTCCACCAAGTTAAAATTCCGTAGGTGCAAGGATCACCTTCCGGTGCAGTGTATGGTACATGGGAAGCACTGGATGGATATTGGAAGGAATGAAGGCCGAGACGGATGGAGAACGAGGGGGAAGAAGAGAGAGCAGTGCTTCAGAGGAGCCCCTGTCACAGTGGGGCTGTCATCATCCTAAGAGGAGTGAGAGAACCACTGGTTACTTTATGTAATGGACAGGTATTTCATGAGTAGGGGATGAAGAAAACTTTGTCAGTAAAGTAAAGGTAACTTTGGAATGTTATTGACATAGCAGCTGGGATTAATTTTTGTTGCATGTAACAGAAAACCTAAGCGATGGTGGCATAAACCACAAGATTTAATCAGGGTGGTTCCTCAACGTCTTCAAGGACCACATGCCCCCAGGTTGCCACTCTGCCATCGCTAAGGTACTGTCCTCATCCTCCTGGTCCCAGCAGCACATTCTCATATGGGACTGGATAGAAGGAGAATATGGCTCACCCACTCCATCTTAAGGTGCTGCCCCAAAGTCATATGTAATACACATTTATAGCTCATTAGTCACAGCTGAGCATCACGGCTATACTGAGCTTAAAGAAAAGCTGGGAAATGCAGGGTGTAGACAGGCACATAATAAAATTAGTCCTGTTACTAAGAAGTAAGGGAGAGCATGGGTGAGATGGTCTGTCAGTGGTATTAGGCCACAGTCTCTTCTTGTGCCAATAACCTTGTCACGTTTTTTTTGCAAGTCTACCATAAAGACATAATTCTAGAGTCTTAAAATTGACGTCAGTCTCAATTGCAATGCAACAAGATACAAAACAAAGCACAAAAAAAAATGAAAAGAGCACAATAAACAACAGAATGGTGAAGAAAAACCTGACATGCAGAACCATACAAAAATAGGAAATGTTTTCCTTCAAAACTTACACTCACCCACAAACACACCTCCTTCAAATTTAGTAGCATTGAACAAAAACAGAGTTGTGCTTTGCTGGGGCTTCACAGTCAATATGTAGCATGCCTGCCAGCATTCCAAAGAGGAGCAGGGGTTTGATAAATGGCATTGCATGGTCAACTCAAAACCTCATCATCAACTGGGAATTCAAAATACTGCTATGCTGGCAAGAAATCCTTACTGAAGTATGGCCTGGGAGGAAAAGAATGCAGGTCATGCAGGGGTCCAAGTGGTTTTCTTTGCTTCCTGCTACTCCGCTCTGATGCTGCCCTGGCAGCTGGACTGATTGAGTTCTATCATACATTAATGGGAATGGATGACAGAGTGTCACCAACTCGAGTGTCATATGTGCAGTGTGGCTGGGTCCAGAGGTCTGGGAGATGAAGTATGATGTGCCCATCTGTCACCCGAGGCAAAGATGTTCTCCAACCTGAGACTGTGCAAGGCACCTAGGTCTCCACCTGATGTTAGACAGCCTGTTCCTTTATTTAAAAGAAAAATAACTAGGGCTGGGTGCCAGGGCAGAGGCATTGGCTCCCCACCGCCCTCAGCAGGAAAGCTCATTAGCTTAATCTTCAAGCACTCGCAATTGAAAGCAAGGCAACAAGACAGCTCCAGAGAGAACAGCTAAAGCCCTGGCTCACCTCCTTCAGCTCTGAGGGATTCAGGGAAGCAGGGCAGAGGACCACACCCTAGCTCTTTGAGGAGCTTCTCACTCTGGCCTCTATTCAGATTCCTCCCTTAGGACTTAATGCACATGGCTCACCCCATGAGCCCTTCTCTGCTTGCTGGATCACAGACCTCTCTCTCCTCCTCTGAACTCTGAGCAAGGGTTCTGTGCTGGTTGTTATCTGGTTAAAACATCCTGCCTTGCACGGTTTTAACCCACTTATGCTTAGCGTTCCATTATTGGAACGCTAAGCTTGTGGGAGTTATTTATGTCATACTGCTCAAGGTCATCACCAAGGTCTGATTTTTCACACACACAAAAAAAGTGCACCCTCCAGCATAAATGGGTTAACAAGTAGATGTGCATATTCCAGCTGTATTATTTGAACTTAACCATTGTTATAGTTCTTTATAAACCCCACAGAACTAGCATCTATTTGATGGATGATAGATGGTTGCTTCAGAAAGTTGCTTGGGAGGCTGAATGAACCAATATAAATATTCTATACCTGTCTTCTGTAATCCGAGCCCACAGGAAGCCCTCTGAAGCTGCACCTCCAGCATGCCAGATGAACATTTGCTCTCAGCAGCAGATGGGGTCACATGGGCAAGCTTGGATTCAGAGGGGCCATGGCCCCACTGAGGCACCTACCACTGGCTTGAGACCGGCCTAGTGTAGGATTTTATCTGAGATAAAGAACCCTCAACGCTGAATATAAGTTGGTTACTATCATATTCTTGAGATTTCTTTAGCACTGTAGAACCTGCCTCATCAATGATTGACCCTGGATTAATTTAGCCAGTAAAGTTTAAACAGAATCTGATGCTATCCTGATGCTGGAACGACCCGAGAGTTTATCTGAAGATCAGAACGGCCTCCTGCTCAGCTGCTGCATCAGAGCATGTAAACTCAACGCGGGGTCTTCTGGCCTATATTCTTGGTAAGAACTCTGGCCACTTTTTTTTTTTTTTTTTTTTGCATGACTCTCAGTAGACTTAGCTCTCATTATCTGCATAAGAAGATTCCATAGCAAGTCTTTAGGGCTAAATTTGGGGAGAAATTAGGGGAAGGGGTAGCTGCCATCATAGTGTACTGAAAAATGTTGGCATGAAAAATTTAGTAGCCTTGGAAGATTCAGTGGAATGCTTCTTTGCTGTGGGTGTATACAGCTTGTTAGCCCAAGTTCTGTCTGAACCCAGATGGCCAGGTTGAAATGAAACATGAGATTGGCAAGAGCTCTTCTTCCGTTTGGTGCAACTGTATTGCTATGTATACAGGGAGATTTATGGCTTCCTCTGATGGGCCAACATGTTTACACCTTTCCAAAAGAAGATTCTTTAGAGACAGCCAACAGAGAGTGCTTTAATGATGGCACACACGACAGTGGGCTTCTGAAACCTCCACTGCCCCGGCCCCTGAGGCCTGTCAGCTCTGCAGTTGGCTGGTGTGGCTCTGCTCCCACAGACGGGATTGGGCAGAGAGGCGGTGGGAGTGGGAGGAAGCACGGAGATCTGCTACCTGGAGCTTCCCCAGCTGTCAGCAGATGAAGTGGCCTGATGCAGCGTAGGGCCATGGGGACTGGTTGGAACCATGCAGTGGCCAGGCTCGAATTGCAAAGCTGAAGTTTCTCTGCTGTCTTCTTCTTTTTATTTCATCCTTAACAGTGGGGCCAGTTTTCTGTGTCTAAATACACACATGCTAACTGGGGAGCAGGGACAGGGGGAAGAGAGGACTTTGCATATTCAAAATAATGACAATAAAATGCACCGCAATGTATTTAACCAAAGGAAATCATTGAGATGCTCAAAGACCGTCATATGGTGGAGGGAGAATTCTGTTTTTCCCTAGAAGTCAGTAAACGCACTGATTTGGAGAGAGGATAAAGATTTCTTCATAAAATAAAAAACAGACTCTCCAAAAGGGAAGTTTTACTGGATGAAATCAACAGCACTGTGAGGCGGTGAGTTCCGTGACTGCCTGGCAAGCCTTCTAAGGAGGCCAAGTTATCCTTTCCACGGGCCCTGCAGCCAGGACTCTTGCACTAAGTAGAACATTGAGGTCAAAATGCAATGCAGGCTCAATGACTCCACAGGCGTCTGCGAGTAGAAAGTGAGTGAGACACAGGCCTCATCAACATGGAGCCTGGTGCCTTGCTATAGCACTTGGAGCACAGCCCGTGAGTTCAGCATTGTGGTTACCAGTGCAGACTCAGTAATGCAGCAGGAACCGCCCGCGTTTGTAGAGTACATCCCCTGTGCCACTCACATCATCCCCTGTGCCACTCACATCCCCTGTGCCACTCAGCACTTAGGATGCACTGCGTCATAGGCTCCTGACACTGTGGCTCATACTTAACATCTATTAAGGTTACAGAATAGCAGGCAGAGGACCTGGGATTTGATTCAGGTTGTATGACCCCAAAACACGCTCTAATCACTTTCCTAGACAGCCCATTAGAAGCATCCTTTAACCACAGACTGAACGATCTTTTCCAAGGTCCTATGTTCTGTAACTTACCCGGCAGAGAAGCAGCCAGAAGCTGCCTTCTTACATGAGACTAAGTGCAGCTATTTAATGAAGATGACTTGGGCGTCTAGCGTAGGTTAGCAGGTACCTAGTCTATGAAGACACGGAAGATAGTGGTTTCTCTCACGGGAGCTCAGACGGCAGAAACTACAAATGGCCCCGTTACAGGCCGGGCATGGACCAGGGGTCATTTGTAGTCTGATTCAATCTTCATATCGCACCCACTGTGTAGCTCTTACCATCCATTTTGATGTAAAGATGCTGAGTCTCCAAACATTGAACTAAATGTTGTAGGATTATGACTAAAGAATGGAGCAGAGATTTGCATCTAGGCTCTAGCTAGGACCCGTGTTTCAGCTCGCAGCTCACCTCACAAGCACGTGTATGTCAAGAGCAAAAGAAGATTCCATTGCAGAAGGATTTGGGGAAATTCGAAAAGTCCTGAGTGTAGAAACACCCCTCATTATTTTACAGCAGACCTGGTGCTGATGGGTGAACATGTCACTTGTGAGCTATAACCCAGGGTCATCACCGCTGTCCGTGAGGCTGACTTTGCAGCAGCTGGATGGAGCCAGAAGCAATGAAGTTTCCTGCTTGTCCCCAGCTGACAACGGGGGCACCAGCCTTTTAGTCTCCCCTTCCCAGAGAAGCAGTCTTGGCCAGTGCCTTGGAAACAGGAAGCTCCCCACTCCATGACTGCCCATAGAGCCTGCACAGATGGAGGAGTTTCCTCATCCTTCTGAATGATCTCACAGCCAATTGGCTTGACTCTGCCTAAAAAGCCAAACGTGTATTTTCTGGGAATCACTATAATGTGTTCTCTGCTGAGTATCGCCGGGGAACTATGATAAGAAGGTGTCTGCCACTTTCAGTGATTACATCCCACAGGGTGGAGTCCGAGTCAGCCTCATCATAATCGCTGATATTTGCTCCCCAAGTTGTAGTCTACAAGGAGCTTTAGCAGGTCTTGCCCGAGCAGATTTCCCAACATCCTAGGAAGTTGGATGGACAGCTATCATCTCACTTTATGGTTGAGGCAATGTTGTGGTAAAGTTTGCAAGTGACTTCCTTAGTTAGTTAAAGACACAGCAAGGGTTTGTATCCCATTTTGATGATGTAAGAGGCCTTTTCATACATTGTCACACCAAATACCAGGTAATCATGCCTTGTGCTGAATAAACAACAACAACAAAATATCGGGGTTTCCACTGCCTTCCTTTCTGTTGCATCTGAGTTTCTGGAACTTTATGCTATTGTGTTTGAGCATCCCCTTAGTTAGGGTTATGAAGATGAATTCCACAGGAGAGGAGGCACAAAGGAAGCCCAGCTGTGTGCCTGAACCCCTGGGAGTCCTTCCTTGCGTGTCCTCCCGTGTTGATTGGTGTGGAGAGCAGCATGCCTCTGGCACAGTGCAGTGCATCAATTTTCCTGGCCACGCTGTAGCCTGCACTCACGCCTGCCACAAGCTTAGCTATTCACGGATTCCTCCGTGTCTCATGGCCGTCCTTGCTGATGGACTGCGAACATGGTGTACTGTCCTCTCTGCTTGGCCATAGCAGCTAGCCACAAGGGGATGACTTATCTGTACTAAACCAAGATGGAAAGGGATGGATTCAGAGAAGCTTCTATCCCCTAAGAGAGCATGCCTGAAGGACAGGCATGTTCTGAAAGATAAGAGAGCACCAGCCGGTCAGAACGGAAGATGTTCTGTGGCTGGGGCACAGATTGCAGGGGCGATGGCAGGATGGGGTTGGCCATATGAGTAGGGCCTGGTCTGCTGTGGGAAGGAGCTTGGAATCTGAAGAGGCATGGACAGTTGGTGAACACTGTCAATACGACTTATATAGTGAATACAAGGAAACATAAGAAGGAGTCCTCCTGTCCTCATCTGTAAAATGGAGCTGATATTGGTGGCACCCCATCAGGCTGCCATGGTGACTCAGGGAGGTGGTGAGATAGTTGCACAGAGCAGCTGGGATGTCCCCACATGTGGTGATGCCTCATCCACGGGAGTTCAGTGGAGGCACACTGTGAGCTGGATCCTGTTTTATTTACTCCTCCCAACTGTGTGCAGAAGTTCTTTTATAATAGCTCCACTTCGCAAATGAAAAAAAAATGATGATCAAACAGCTAAGGACAGTTGACTTTGTCAGCATTACACGTGTATACATCTGTCTACAATTAAAGTATTAGCTCCATAAGAAAAAAAAGGGCCACG
Organism: Homo sapiens; assembly: GCF_000001405.40. Lineage (NCBI taxonomy): Eukaryota > Metazoa > Chordata > Mammalia > Primates > Hominidae > Homo > Homo sapiens. The sequence goes on along the minus strand of NC_000002.12, from coordinate 7,205,103 downwards.
TTTTCCCTGTCAGCCTCTTCCCTAACACCCACACCCCCACAGTGATTAGGACCTAGAAATCACATCATTTCTTTCATCAACCAAAATATAATGAATAAAAATAAAATAGCAGGGACAATGAACATACTAATGATTTTTTATTGTTTCAGGCTTGGTGCTTGGCACAAGAAATACAAAATGTAATGTTTGTGCTGGGCTCGGTGGCTCACACCTGTAATATCAGCACTTTGGGAGGCTGAGGCAGGTGGATCACTTGAGCTCAGGAGTTCAAGACCAGCCTGGGCAACTTCGTGAAACTCCGCCTCTACTAAAAATAAAAAATAAAAAAACTTAGCCAGGCACGTTGGCACACATCTGTGGTCACAGCTACCCAGAAGGGTGAGGTGGGAGGATCACTTGAACCCAGGCGGTGGAGGTCGCAGTGAGTCCAGATCATGTCACTGCACTCCAGCCTGGGTGAGAGAGTGAGACCCTGTCTCAAAAATAAATAAATAAATAAATAAAAACAATGTTAAGGACATCAAAATCTAGTAATTAAAAGTGATTTATAATTGTAATCCCTGCTCTGGGGTTGAGGGTTACATATTTTTTAGCCTTTCCTCAATTTTATATCTGTCTGTCACAAATTAATGACTAATATCACACCCAGCACAAAGTAAGCCTAAATTTTGGTTTCCATTTTTTCCTTTTGCATTTGAGAAGATATTGAAACAAAAACAATAACTAACCATAATAGTTTCATTTCATCTTATAAATCACTTGCAAATGTTTTCTTTGCAGAAACACTACTTGTTTATATACTGAAACATACTAGAGATGGTCTTATTCAATCTATTCAGCTACTGAGTAGAATTTCAGGGCAGCAAAATGCACTGATTCTATTGGGTGTAAGGATAAATAAAAACCTTTTTTTTTCTGTCCTTCTCTGTCTTTCTAAGGCAACAAATAAATCTGTTTCAGAGCTGATTTTATCCTAAGTTCTTTCTAGCGCCCTTCCCTTTGCAGAAATGTTGTATTAGTCAATGGAACCTGACATTTATATTCATCACTATTCTTTTATGAACAACTCCATGTGTTTTGCTTGCATTTCTCTAAGTTTCTACCCTTAGCTGAGCGGGTCCATATATCAAGAGTAATGTCAACCAGCACGACATCCAACAATCACACTCTGACTCCAAGACTTTTGTAAACAGTCCGTTTTTAAATAAAACCTAAGTTTTAAGGTGAAAGGTTTACTTATAATTTACATGCTATTATCTTAAAAATATAGCTTCAACTTTTAGCAAAAATTAATTGCTTTGTAAATCCTGATTTTCAGAAGCTGTGACATCTCTTCTAGTGTGATGACTGGCCTCTTCCATGATAGAATGGAGAATTTTGTAAGAAGTATGTTTGATTCTCAAGTGGGAAACCTTTGAGTACACGCAGGTCATATCACAGAACAAAGAAACAAATTTAGGCAATTCCAAATTTAGGCGGTGACACTTTCCTACATAGAACTCTTTGTTTAAATATTATTTATGCATCAAGGATTAGCTCATTTCAAGATAAAGTCACTGTTTTCCTCTCCCTTTGGGACTAATAAAATAAAACCTTATTAAATAAAAAGTAATTGACAAATAATTCCTGAGAGCATCAGAGCCACCAACTTGTTTTCCAAAACAGAAAAAACAGTGCTTACATTATTTTATTCTTGTGATGCTATCTTAACTTTGGGGGGGGGAAGGTTAAATTATTCTGAAAGCTATGAACCATCTACATATTTATTCTTTTTAAAGGTTCTGTGGTGTGTTAGCATCTGTATTGCCAGAAAACAAAATTTTCTTCAAAGTTATTCTTGGGCAGGCCTGGGACTCAACCCATATGTCTCACAGTTAGTTGCAGCACAAGGCTTTAATTTATGAGGCTTGTTCCAAACTCGTCTGCAGTGTTACTTGGTTCGGTGAATGTGTTGCGCCACCTATTGGTGGGCCCTCAGAAGTTCACTTTTCATTATTAGACGATAACATGTTTTAAGCATTTCATAAAAATCATGTTTTTTGAGGGTCTTCAAGATTTCAGAGTATCAGGGTGAAGATGAACAAAATATTACTTTCATTAAATTATTTTCTCTACAGTAACTGAAAAGGCATTATTTTTCCACGTAAGTCCTTAGACCGGATGAATTAGTAGAGAGAGACAAAGAAGTATTTTTTCATCCGCCCTAGACTTCTCTTAAAATACCTTTGCTGGCTTTTCTTCTGAGCCGTCTCTTAGGGAGATCAAATACACGTCTGTGCATCGGCTCGTAAAGAAGGAGAAGAACACCATGATGGCCTAAGAAAAAAATAATCACATAAAAGAGTGAGAATCAGGCTCGACTATTTTCTTTCACCATTTGTGGAGATACATACAATTTGAAGACTCAAAATCCCTTGTGGATAGAAGCCGAGGGAGAATTTCACAGTACATAATTTTCAAACAACAAATATCTTTCAGAAAACACCTATACCTTATTATAGCCTTCCTAAAACCACCCTGGCCTTGCTCTCTTACAGACTGCTTTTTCCTCCCCGAAATACTAAATAACTGAAAGCATCAAACTGCAGAAAAGGTTGAAGTTTTGTGCTTTTCATGAAGATTAGGGGAAAATCAACGCAAGCAAAAATGCTATTTCCAGTGATGTTGAGTACCTTGATTCATATCTTCCTTTGTGTCTTTAGAAGAAAAATATCACAGGTGTATACATATGTCCCAACTCATCAAATGTATATATTAAATATGTGCAATTTGTTGTTTTTCAATTATACATCAATAAAGCTTTTAAAAAAATCTGGAATTGGATAAGACAGAGAAAGTACTTTTAGCATTTTCTGTTAATACATCTCCCCAAATAATCACCATTTTCTTCCTTTTTTAATCCTTAGTATAACAAAGGGCAGTTGGGCAGCTATTGATGGGGAAACTCAGCAGTCAACTGGCTTGTAAATTAGAATCTGTGGTTGTAAAAACGGATTTGTATATCACGGGGAGTGGGGAGTGTGTCTGCCTTGTAAATTTAATTAAACAGCAGGTGCAAAAATCAGGTCGTATGGCTTTGATGTGCCCCGTGCGAGGATGACAACTAGACAATGATTCTAATATGAAGAAATTTGCATACATTTGCATTGGATAGCAGAGAGCACTGAGCTCTCACCACTTTCATATTTTATTTCTAGGAAGTTGAATAAGATTTGAACGAGCACTTTCTATTTAGGCATTGCAGAAAAATACAAGCAAGGTTTTAGCAGGAACACAGAAGACCATGTGGACTGAAGCTAAGCTTTCCTGACACACACTTCGAAACACAACCACCCTTGCTGAAAAATACAGAATGCCTAGAAATGGAAAAAAAAAATAGAGAGCAAGGAAGGAAGAAAAAAATGTATTGTATTTCTGGGTTTTAAATCTTTCACAGAGAGTGTAACGTTGATTAAGATCTTCCTTCCTGGGGCTCTATCCTGGGGTGTCACACCATTCTCTGTTTCCACAGTCAGCACTATACATTCAGAAATGATAAAGATTGGAAAAAAGACTTTTCCCATACAGCAAATTGCATTTGATATAAATAGTTTTTTTTTAAATAATGTATTTTCCTGACTTATGGGATAGGCCATATTTTTGATAACAGCAAACTGGAGTTTAGTATAAACATCATTCTTCTGCTCCTTGCGATTTCTTGCTCAGGTATTAGAACACAGTAAATAAACAGTCACTACGAGAACCCAGCATTATTTTTAAGGTGCTGTAGGCACCGTACCTAGCACAGAGGTGCTGTAAAATAGCACTAAAGAAAGAGGCTCCAGATAATTAATCTGCAAGACCCTGATACTCAAGAGTACCCTCTTGTATAATTTTATTCCTTTACAGGTTCCCAGCTCCTCATCAAGAATCATTCTGGCCTCTTTACTCACAGCCACTCTGCATCTCAGTGTCTGGAGTTTCTGGTTCTGAGACCGTAAGAGATTGATCCCCAGTTCTGTAGCACCCTTCTCCTGAGTGGAGCCAGTGTTCTCTCAAGCATAGCAGAGTTGGGTATTCAACTATAAATCCTACCGATCTTTAGGGATGCTAAAAGATCCAACGTCGGAAGAAAAGATGAAACTGGGTTGTCTGCAAATTTGCTTTGACTATTATTTATTGAAACCAAATTCTACTATTATGTATATTTAGGAGACTTCAGACAAGTCAGCTTGTAAATGCACAATTATTTAATTATAACATCATATAACTTATTCTTTGTTCTAATTAACTTGCTAAAAGTCATAAATGTGATAAAAATATCTTATAATACTTAGGAAGGAGGAAAACCTGTTTTGTATTTTTAATCTTAAAGTGCATTTTTCAAACATTCTGTATTCTAATTGGGCATTGAGTTACTTGTCTTCCCCCTTGGGTTGCCAACTCCATGAAGACAGGAACTACTTCATTTTGTAACTACAGTGTCCTTAGTATTTAATCCAGTGTCCAGCATATGGTAGGAGTTGCTAAATATGGTTGACTAATTGAAATAGTGAAAAACTAAGTGAAGATCAAGTATAGGTGCCTAGGCTGTGAAGAGACAGCATGCGCCAGGTGCTAAGAAAAGGTCCTGGTCGTTAGGACGTACATGGTCTGATAGGACGCAGAGACACAGACTCAAAGCAGGACTATGCACAGACATGTGATTCCAGGTTCCAGTGTTTTGTTGAGGAAAGAGAAGGCATTGTGAGGCCCATCATATGAGTAAGTGCGATCAACAGCGACTGCTTGGTAAAGGTTGCTATGGTCCTTATGCAATGGTCATTAATGGTCCTTAAAGTCTTGAAAGGAGATGCCTCCCTGTAATTCAGCTTGCTATTGTCAACCACATTTTCAGGATGGAAGGAAAGGCCAGACAGATATCCAAGTGTCACAGACTAGCTAAGTGTGTCTGTTCAGATTTAGTGGCTCCTCCCATGAGGTCTCTCCTCAACCCTAACAATGTTGAATTTAGCTAGCTGCTGGACGATGGTTGTTTATTGTCCATCTCTACAATGAAGTTATGGGCCCCTTGATGACAGGAACTATATATTCTCAATGCCTAACATAGAACCTGGCACAGAAAACATGCACATCAGTGATTGTCCAGTGAATACCTGGATTCAAGTCATGATAGCAATGGATAAAAAAATGTCCTCTCAAACCCAGGATTATGCAGTATGTAACCACAGGAGACTCTTTTCAACCCAACCCAGCCTTTCTTCTTGGAATAAGAAAGTATGCCACATGCAGCAAGCTATGCCCTCCTCTAAATAGCATTGCTTCACTGCTCACTCTCTTCTGTGCTCCTGATCGTATCACACATATCTCCATCATGGGAGCATTGTTGTGTTTGGCTTCTATGTCAGTCTCTCATATTTAATTGCAACACTGTAGAAAACAGGTATGGGTATTATCTGTCTTTGTGCCCTCAGCACCTTGTATAAAATCTAACACCTGCTAGATGATTAATAAATGTTGGTTGAATTAGTTAAATAAATTAAATGTGAATGACTCAATAGGCAAACATGTCATATTGCTTTGCTTTTCATGTGGGGATCCTGAAGAAGAACATAATCAGAACTTCTCACCCAATACTTACTGTACTGTAAATCCACTCAAATGGATTTCAGGTAGGTCAACAGTCCAGTTATCAGGGCCATCAGGAGGCTGTGCATCCAGGGGTGGCCTCTGTTGGAGAATCTGCTCTTTCCCTTGCAAATGTCTGCACACATATCATTATCTATGTCTGCCATTACCCAAGGACAAGGTCAGAAACTCCTGAAGGAGGCTTTTTTTCCTCAAGATTGCTAACTGAAAAAGAATAATATGAACTTACTATTATTTCTTCCCAGATGCAAACTCTTTCCGCACGCTGGCTTCTGCACCATGCAAAACATTTGATGTATTAAAACTACAGCTTGTCCTGGTTACACAAGTGCCCTCTCCAGTCAGTGAGCCACTGCCTAGAGAAAAAACTCACATCTTTACATAAGGAAGAAAAAGAAGCATCACACAACCTTCAGTTCTTGGTCTAGCAAGCAGCTCTCTTAAGAACCTAAAACTGACTTCTGAATGTAAAGCAAATACTATGATATTCGTTCTGAATTATTGCCACAATGAAATGGTTGGAGAAAATCTGTATCATAAAAAGTTTTACTGTTCTTCTTGAAGGATGACTTTCTTTCAAGCTGAAAACAACAACATCATTGACAAGTTTTACTTCTCAGAATATTCCAAATCCTGAGACTTCTGCATAATTCATAGCAAGCCAGCAGACAGACATGTTTGGAGTCTCAATTTTCTCATGCGCCTAATAGAAGGTGGTTGCAAAGACTGTAATATGCAAGAAAATTTTGAGAAAGTATCCAGGAGTGTTTGGTTTAGACTTCCCCTAAAACATCCATGGGCAGCAAAGTGCCTTGTAAAAAGTAGGTGCTCTGAATGGTTGGATGGACAGATGGATAGATGGATGGATGGGTGGGTGGATGGATGGATGGATGGATGGTTGGATGGATGGATAGTTGGGTAGATGGATGTGTGCATGATGGATGGATGGATGGATGGATGGATGGATGATTGGATGGATGGATGGTTGGGTAGATGGATGTGTGCATGATGAATGGATGGATGGATGGATGGATGGATGATTGGATGGATGGATGGTTGGGTAGATGGATGTGTGCATGATGAATGGATGGATGGATGGATGGATGGATGGTTGGATGGATGGTTGGGTAGATGGATGTGTGCATGATGAATGGATGGATGGATGGATGGATGGTTGGGTAGATGGATGTGTGCATGATGGATGGATGGATGGATGGATGGATGGATGGATGGTTGGGTAGATGGATGTGTGCATGATGAATGGATGGATGGATGGATGGATGGATGGATGGATGGTTGGATGGATGGATGAATGGATGGATTTGTATCCTCTGATTCTCTTTGTGTTTCTGCTCTCCTTTCCAGTGTTGAACAAGTCCCCTTGACCTTCCTTCAGATGGCACAATAAAATCCAAGCTGAGCAGCCTTTAACATTGATCTCAGTCCCATCTTAAGGGCAGCCTACTCATTACAGCTGGCCACCTGATGCTTCCCAGACCCTTGGGAGGCTGGAGTGACATCTGGAAAGCACTTTAAAGATCTTGCATTTGGGTCCTTTTCACTGGAACAGTAGAGAAAATATATATTGTGAATCACAGACATTGATGTTAGCTGCAAAATTTCTCAGTGGAGGCTCAGGCAATTATGAGAGTCTTTAGTGCGACAGATCCTAATGAGCTGAAGAGCTAGTGAATTTCCAAGGGTGAAGACAGATTTTGAAGAAAGAATCTGATACTCCAAAGAATTCTGCTGGGGTCTCGCGACGCTAATGCTACTCCGTCTTCCTTGCCAAACACTTGGTTTGACAGCTGCATTTCTCAAGATGCCTTATCATACAACTGTGTTCACACTGAACATTTCTTTTTATCCTGTGTGTAACGATCTCATGAGAAGGCAATTACTATTCAGGCTCATTGTCTTCAAGATGACTATTACTCTTCACAAATTCCTTTGATTTGATAAGCTGTGTTTCTTCCCTTCATCCCACAATGATTTTCAGCAAGTCTCTTCCAGGTTAGCAGTTATACAGATGCCTGGGGCCATCCCCCCATAACTCTGTGATAAACAGTTTCATTCTCCAAAATGCCACTTGCTGTTCTGACACCTTTAAAATGACAATTACACTATGCAGTCCTCTCTTTATATCTTTGTTTATAATTATGATTTCAAAAGTGGTGGAGATGCATATTTCTTACTTTTGAAACAAATCACAGCTTAGTTTATACTCAATGCTCTTGCCTGACATGGAGCAGAAGTGAGTGAATAGGGTGCAAGGACATCGCAGATTGGAAAGACACATGTGGGTGGGAACAGAAAGACAGCCATTGAAAAGCTTGGTTATTATAGGGAAACACCAGAAAGTACAAAATAGCCAACATGGGAAATCATAGTATTTTGCTTGCTACTTATACTTTCAGTTCCTGTTCCCTCCTTTGTTTCTTGCATGAGCTTTGGAAAGGGCAATACAGATATTTTTCTTTGTCACCCCTTCCTCCTATCATGACTTGAATTTGCTAATAAAACAAGAATCATTTTAGGTCCAAAGGGAAAATTTGCATTGCTAAATATAAGTGGTCCCTACAAGTAAGAGAGCACCCTTATCACTAATCATCAGAGAAATGCAAATTAAAACCACAGTAAGATATCACCTTCACCTGTTAGAATGGCTATTATCAAAAAGATAAAAGATAAATGTTGGTAAAGATGTGGAATAAAGGGGACCCTTGTGCACTGTTGGTGGGAATGTAAATTAACATACCATTATGGAAAAGAGTGTGGAAGTTCCACAAAAAAGTTAAAAATAGAATTATCTTATGATCCAACAATCCCAGTACTGGGTGTATATCCAGAGGAAATGAAATTAAGATCCCTAAGAGATATCTGCACCTCCACGTTTATTGCAGCGTTATTCACAATAGCCAAGAAATGGAATCAACTGAAATGTCCATCGACAGATGAATGGATAAAGATAATGTGAGATGCATGCGTGTGTGTGTGCGTGTGCATGTGTGTGATCACATTGGAATACTATTTAGACTTAAAATAGAAGGCAATCTTGTCATCTGGAACAACATGAATGAATCTGAAGAACATTATGTTTAGTAAAATAAGCCAGGTTTAGAAAGACAAATACCTCATGATCTCACTTATACATGGACAGACATGGTTGGGGAGATGTTAGTCAAAGACACAAAATTTTACTTAGATAGAAGGAATAAGTTCAAGAGATTCATTGTACAACATGGTGACTATAGTTAGTAACAATGTATTGTACACTTGAAAGTTGCTAAGAGAGTAGATTTTAAGTGTTCTCACCACAAAAAATGTTAAGTATGTGAGGTATTGCATAGGCTAATTAGTTACATTTAGCCATTTCACAATGTATACATATTTCAAAACAACATATTGCAATGAATATATACAATTTTATTTGTCAATAAAAAATAAATTAAAAATAAAAGCGAGCAGCCTTGATGGGAAGTGATCCCAGTTGAACCCTCCTCACATGCACTTGTAGTAAAATTATTTATTTATGGAAACTGGGCACCATTGTTGTGAAAGACTCTTTGGTGGCAAACGTCACACATCGGCCTGCACATTAGTACTGCTGTCTGGGAAAATAAAATGTTCCAGGATTATAAAGAATAGGCAAAACAATCATGGAGTTTGTCTTAGTTTGGGTTCTCCTAGAAGCAGACTTGGAGACAAAGGTATGATAGCAAGTAGCTTATTTAAATGACGATCTCTGGAAGCATCACTAGAAATGTGGGGAAATGAGTTAGGAAAGGGAAGGAAACCAAGAACTGGTGTGTCGTGGAGCAGATTCTCACCGTGGGCAATGGAGTCCACCCCACAGTGGTGCTCTGGGAGATGGACGAGATCACACCTCAGCTCCATCCCAAACAGGGGTGAGGGACCTGGGGTCTTTATCCACCAACCCTACCAGCCATTGGTTGGGGGCTACTTTCAGGGGGCACAGAACACCCTGTTCTTCCAGCCTTCCTGACTGCCATTCAGGGAGCCAAAGAAAGCCCTGGCAGAATCCCAGGCACAGGTGTATGGAAATGGAAGCCATGCGGTCAACGTGCGCCAGGGTAAGAATGTAGAGAAGTTGCTGGTAGAGCACCCACAAGGTTGGCTACAATGCTGGTGGGTACGAAAGCTGCTGAAAAGAAATCTCCCACCAGAAGTGCAAGGACAGGCGTCCTCCTTCTCTATCAAGTTAAACAATAAAATAACTTAGTACAAATGAGACAAGAGTGAAGTCAAAGACAGTTCATTTTGCTATTTTAATACACTGTTTAAATGTCCCATAAATTGCAACATTGGAGCATTCAACCCCTCTCCAAGACTACTCAAGAAACCCATACAGGGCAAACTCTGATGAATGTTTCCCAATTTATTATTATTATTATATTATTATTTCCTTCCTTCCTTCCTTCCTTCCTTCCTTCCTTCCTTCCTTCCTTCCTTCCTCTTATTCTTTCTTTAACATGGTAACATTATGGATGTCAGAAAAGACACTGATAATATTTTGAAAAGCATTGATCATATATGGGATTTTGTAAAACTGTCCATTATTGAATTTTTTCTGTGACTTTGCTTGACCCCCTTTTCAATTCATTGAGCATATGCTTACTATTAATAACCTGAAATAATTTGGCTGTTTCTTAATAATCATGACTGATATCTGTGAGATACGTATTCTAAGTCCATTTGAGGGATGAATTGATTCTCTAAGGAAGCTATGAGATCGAGACCACCATTACTCTCATTTTGTAGATGAGGAATTAAGGCAAGATAAATGCTCACATACACCCCAGGCTCACAGAGCTACTGCATAACAGAGCTGGGTTCTAAAGTCAGGTCATCTCTACCTAAAGTTCATTTCTCAACTACCCCACTCTGGTTCCTAATGATGACCGAGCAACTTTATGAAACCATCAGTGTATGTAATTTGTTGTAGACATAAAATCCTTGAAGGACATATGATTTTATTTTAGGTACCAAGTGGTTTCAAAGAATTACACTTGCTCACATCAGCATCTGCTTTTCGGTGTTGGTTTTCTTTGCCCTCTTCCTCTTTCTGCCACAATATCAGGGCACCCTCCTCACAGACTAAATATTGAGAAAGTCCCATTGGGTAGAATTTTGTGTTCAATAAATAATCACAATTTCATTTCACAAAGAGGAATGAGTATGATATTTGTATCAACTGTTGTGGATTTTCTGAAGACATTTTTCTTTTAATTTCCATGTTCACTTCTAGAGGAGTCCGATATCTGAATAAGTTTCTGAATGACATAGGGAAAGGAGGGGTCTGAAATTAGGGCTCATGCAAATTTAATTTGAGCAGAGATCCAAATCTAATAGCAATTTTTAAAAAATTAGGAAATTTATCTTACCAGAAAATATACTAGATGTAGCCAGAGGTTCTTCCTTTCACTCACTACCATATCCACAATGTTTAGAGTAGGGCCTGGCTCTTAGTATGAAGTCAAGAAATAATTTCATCAAATGTTTTATTTTTAGCCCTGTGTTAGTTTTACAGAAAAGTTATGGAAAGGGCACAGGGAGTTTCCATACCCCTGCCCCCAGAGGCCCCACCAGCGCGTCTTACACTAGGATGGCACATTTGTTATGACTAATAAATTATAGTAAGCCAATATTGATACATTTTTATCAACTAAAGTCCATAATTTATTCAGCTTTCATGTTCCAGAATCCCATGTAGGAAATCACATGGCATTTAGTGGGAATATCTTTCCAGGCTTTGCTAGCTGTGACAGTCTCCCAGACTTTCCTTGTTTTTGATGACCTTGACAATTTTGAGAAGTACTGGTCAAGTATTTTGTAGAATGTCCCTCAGCTGTAATTTTTCTAATTTTTTTTCCATGATTAGACTGGGATTATGTGCTTTTGAGAGAAAGATCTAAGAGGTAATCTTCTATTGTCATCCCACCCTATAAAGAGTAAATAGCAGCAAGATGACTTGTTATTGTTGATTTGACCTTGATCACCTGGCTGAGGTCATGCTTGTCAAGTTTCTCCTCTACAGAATTCATCTTTTCCTCTTTCCCTAACTGTACTCATTAGAAGAAAATCACTACACCCAGCCCACATCCAAGTGATAGGGAACTGTGCCCACAGCCTTAAGGATAAAATATCTACAGAAATCATTTGCAAATCTCCTGCGTAGATTCGTCTTTTTCCCCCGTGTAGTTAGCCATCCATTTTTTTATATCAACAATGATTCATGGATATTTGTCAGACACTTTTGTTTATAATACAATACTACTTTATTTTGCTCCAGTCTTTGCAGGCCTTACCATGGGAGACTCTTTCATTTGGCTCCCTTCTCCCTTTGTCACATCCCTATCATTGTGGGATTTTCATTTTTTGTTGTTTCTGCCCTAGCTCATTTTCTGGCACTACAAGATGTTCCAGGCTCCTCTTGCATATTTTTTTTTCCCAGTTCTAGAATCAGACATTTTTTCCAAGGAGGTTTGGTCTCTTTCATGAGAGAATGGTATTAGAAAACAACATCTGGGCACTAGGTGTGTTTGTTGCTACTGGAGTATCACTACTTCTGGGTCATCATAGCTGACACAGCAAGAAAAAGCATGTATATGCTAACTTGTATACAGTCATGCAACTCTAAATAGGTCTGTGTGTAACCACCTGTATTTTAAGCAATATTTTTGAATGAAAGTTATAGGAGAATATTTTACTTTCATTTTTATTGATTGATTGACTGTTAAACAGAGACAGGGTTTTGCTCTGTTGCCCAGGATGAGTACTATGGTGTGATACTAGATCCCTGCAGCAGCCTTGAACTCCTGGGCTCAACTGATCCTCCTACCTCACCCTCCCTAGTAGCTGGGATTATAGGCGTGTACCACTGCACATGGCTAATTTTTTTATTCTAATTTTGTGTAGAGACAGGTCTTGAACTCTTGGCATCAAACATTTGGCCTCGAGCAATCCTCCTGCCTTGGCCTCCCCAAATGCTGGGGTTGCAGGCACGGGCCACCACACCTGGCCCAGGAGAATATTTTACAAATTAATCAATGATAAGCCAAAGTGGGATAAGGGAGGAGCAACTCAACTTCTAGACAACAAAGTAAAACCATAAAGCCAAGGGGTTAAGAGTGAGATCTGAGAAAATGCTGATAATACCATGAAATACACACAGCCCACAGTTGTAAACTGCACAGCAGCTTATACACTATGTGGGGATCACGCTCTCTATTAAAAGCTGGCATAGATCCAGCCTTCTTAGCGGGGCTAATACATACCAAGGCCATGAAGTCACCGGTCTGCTTAATTCAATTGGGTGAATTCCTTACGTATATGTGGATAAGCTGTGGCCTTCACATTACAAAGCAGATGTGCAGAAGGTAGAAACATTCCAAGAGAGAGCAACCACAGGGCAAAGCAGACACAAGGCATGCAGGAAAGACTACATCATAGACAAGAATTCCTTATTATAGAGAGGAAAAGAGGCACAGAGGAGGATGGCAAATTACCCACAGAGATGGAGCAAGTCAGGGCCCAGCTAAATGTGGATCCCAGGCTGGCTGACCTCCATCACCTCAGTTCCTTCCCTTGCACTCCATAACTTCTCATTCACGGGCTGAAGACCCCCTTGGAAATGCACCAAGCACAGAACAGCAGAGCCCCTGTGTAGGAGACTCTGCCTAGGAAGCAGTGTAGTCAGAATTGTAACTATCAAGGGGGCTCAGTGGCTCCCGGTGTGGAAGATGATGCCTGGAAGTATTCGTGGAGAGGTAAACTGTGTTCAGTGAATAGAGAGACTCCAGCATAACCTCCCAGGCACACTCTGTGGCTGTCGTGCATGTAAGGACAACCTATGGGAGAACCGCCAGTGGCAGACGGTGGCAGAAAGGAAGTAAGAAGGAAAATAAGCTAAAGACCTGACTTCAAAAGGCAGTAGTTAAAAAAGAAAAAAAAAAGCTTATTTCTATCTACAAAATGAGTATTAAGAGGTAATTTGGTCTTTGTAAGGAAAAAAATCTAGAGAAATTAACTAGTGTTTGAAAAGGCAGGCAGTAAGCACCAAGTAACAGAAGGTGCTCCCTTCAGGGACTTGGTGTGCTCACAAAAAGAAAGCATCCTTAAAGCAAGGAATCATGGAGATGACCTCATCATGCATTTCTTAGAGTGGATGGGACTGTCCATCTCTCCTGGGTTCCAGTTTTAATTAAAGGCAGCTTGCAGTGTAACATCACCCTCACAGCCTGCTAAAGCTTAAGACTCTGAGATTACATACAAGGCACGTGAGTAGGGGAATGGGGGGGAAATAGAGTAAATAGGTGATTTCTGGTACAAATGGGGAAAGAATGAGTTTAGGGATGACTCATTTTTTCCTCCTCAATACTATCATATTCACCCAGAAATAGCAAATTTCAGCATTCAACTCATCTAGACTGCTTGTTGAAACCCCAAAGTGACAATTATTTGAAAGTCATGCCCCTTCAACATGATTTTTGTTTAATGTGGGATAAGGTGAAGCACAATCCACCTCAAGACCAAATACACTCAGAAGCAAGCCAGAATGCAAATGTTTGCCATCATTCTCATCACATCAGCTACAAAGACACAAGATGGATATGATAGCAGGAGCTTCTGCCAGACATCTACTCACAGCAGCCTCCCTGGGACAAACTCCGTGTGGCATCATGACACTTCATTGTGCATGGCCTCACAGAGGGAATCCTTTGTTGTTTGGGCTAAGACTGCAAAAGGCTGAGCTGCCTCGCTGGGGTAGAGTCAATACACTTGCTGATCACCAGCTGTGTCCTACGATGTGCTTCACACAACATTTCCATAATCTTTAATACTTCCTCGCATGGCAAATACTGTGACCCCATTTTTACAAGGAGGATACTGAGACTTGGAGAAGTCTAAACAGCAGAGCAGAAATTCAATTTCAGATCAGTTTTATCCTCAAAATTTACATTCTTTGCAAATCACTGTGTTGTCTCCTAAGTGTTTTTCTGGTATGTACCATCTTGCTTTTTGATGATTTTTTTCTTAAGAAATGGAAATCCCCAAACAGGAGGCAGCACATGCGGGGAAAAGAGAACCATTTGGGATTCAGACAACCTTGATTCTCATTCAGTCTCCATTATGACCTTTGGCAAGCAGTCGGAAGCTTCCATCTTCATTTCCTGATATGCCAAATGATGAGGAATGAGTAAACCTTCTCTTCCAGCTTCAACATTCTAGATTTCCTAAAGAGCTACTGTTTGCATAAATGAATGCAAATTAGCATTAATCTCCTTGAACTGATATTAACAAACTTTTTCTGTGCAAATAAGAGTCCAAGAAAAAAAATGCTGCACTTGGGTTTCTAAAATCTATCTAAAATGTTACAGAATCCAAATAGTTGGCCATTCTTGTCTAGCTTTCAGTCTCTGAACTAACATACTCTATTTTAAACGCAGGTTCAACTCCAGTCTCTCCTCATAGCCAAAACCAGCTGCTGTCTGGCATGCTCCTTTTAAATAGACTATCTTAAAGTCTAAAAAAAAAAAAAAGCTGAGCTCTTTTTTATATTGGAGAAGCCGCTTGTCACTACGGTGATTTACCTCTTCAATTTAGCACTTAATTGATAATACAAGCTGTAACCTGGCAGCTGGGGCACATTGCCCCTTGATGATTTAGGTAAACGGTCCTCAAACCCCCAGTTTCAAAGCCTTGGGAAAAAGATTCCTCAAATTCTGTCCTCCAGTTTCTATAAATCCCTAAGAACATAGTTGCCTAAATCCCCTCTGCCCCAGCCCTTTTTCGGAATGTTAGTGTTTATTTCACCTTGGGTTGCTCTCCACTCATTCACTAGTCTACAGACTCACACTCATGCCCACACAAACTCACTAATGTACACACTCATGCACACACATTCATGGACACACACACATTCATGCACTCACACACTTAACACATACACATTCACTCATGCACACACACACTCATGTGCACACACACTCATGCACACACATACTCATGCGCACACACACACTCATGCACACACTCATTCAAGGACACACACATACACACTCATGCACACACACACTCATTCACACACACTCATGCACACACACTCATTCAAGGACACACATACACATTCATGCACGCACACACGCGCGCACACACACGCGTGCACACACACATGCACACACACTCATTCAAGGACACACATACACACTCATGCACACACACGCACACATGCACACACACTCATGCACACATTCATTCAAGGACACACACTCATGCACACACACTCATTCAAGGACACACATACACACTCACTCATGCACACACACATGCATACACACTCATGCACACACACTCATTCAAGGACACACATACACACTCATGCCCACACACACTCATGCACTCACTCATGCCCACAGGATCCAATTGGCTGGCCTGCACTTGCTGAATTTCGCCTGAGATCTGGGGCTATAGAAAGGGTCGTGCAGATAGTATCCCGTTGCCTCGAGAGCTCTCTGAATTCCCTCCCTGAATTCCCTCTCCATTTGATTCTTCTTGCTTTTCCCCTTGATCTTTTTCATTCTCCCTCCTTCCCCTATGTGGCAACTTTCCTTTCTTTTTCTTTTTTTTTTTTTTTTTGAGACAGAGTCTCTCTCTGCCGCCCAGGCTGGAGTGCAGTAGCACAATCTCAGCTCACTGCAAGCTCCGCCTCCTGGGTTCACGCCATTCTCCTGCCTCAGCCTCCCAACTTTTCTTCCTTAACCACACTCCTGCTGACTCCCTGGCCTTGCCACATGGCACCCACCCTTCCCTCCTTCCCATGGTAACCATTCTGCCATTGTGGACCAGTGAGGGTCCTGACTGGAAACTCACAGCCCTCTCAAGCTGGGTGATTTGAGGCGCTTTTACTAAAATGACTATTTACAAATGTATGCAGAGCATTTGGGGAATGCACGAGGGATTATGCAGTGGCCCAAGGTGAGCAACAGCAGGAGATGTTGGCACCCCTGACTCTCGAAGGAGCCATGGGTAGGAGCAGATTCTAGACCTTGTAAAGGCTGCTTGAAAGGAACTGTGGCCCTCAGGAGAGGGACTCAGCCAACCACACAATCTGGGTGGCAGCAGGAGGAGAGGGCATCGATATGTAACAACTCCTGTGCCCCATATTCTCCCAGCATCTACACTAGTAAGCCCAACTAGCAGTCAGCCTCATAAACAATCCGTGTGACTCAGAGGAGGCAAAGATGTATGAAAATGTTCATATAAGCATGAAGGCCAGTTGCTGGTAAATGACCAGTTCCACAAATCCTGCTCCCACATTCTCCCTTCCAGTTTGTGCTGAATGTCCCTATTTTAGTCCGTTTTCATACTGCTATAAAGAACTGCCCAAGACTGGATAATTTAGAAAGGAAATAGGTTTAATTGACTCACAGTTCTGCATGGCTGGGAGGCCTCAGGAAACTTACAATCATGGCGGAAGGTGAAGGGGAAGCCAGGCACCTTCTGCACATGGTGGCAGGAAGGAAAATGAATGCAGGAGAAACTACCAAACACTTGTAAAATCATCAGATCTTGTGAGAACTCACTCACTCTGAGAACAGCATGGGGGAAACCGCCCCCATGATTCAATTATCTCCACCAGGTCTCTCCCTTGAAATGTGGGAATTATGGGGATTACAATTCAAGATGAGATTTTGGGTGGGGACACAGCCAAACTATGTAAGTCCCCTTTTCCCTAGTTCAGCAAAAGTGCAAGCTCTGCAAGTGGCCTGTTTGCACTTTTCCAATGGAAGCTGAGAGGAACATTTTCAAGGTAAGCTACAGAGTGAGCATAAGATACTTTACTATACTTTTAGATAGCCCAAAATAAGTTCCAGAAACAATTGCATCACATGCAAAAATCTCAGCATACTTTCTGCTTTTTGTCTGCCCTCATTTGATGTCTTCTAGACTGGCTCATTTAAAATGATGTAAGTACAATTGTTACTAATTTATATATATATATATACACACACACACACGTATGTAAATGAGAAAAATAGGGAGACATACACAGAAAAAGGTTAATCACCCTGGGACATACAGCTGGAAAGAATCAGACCCAGGACTCAACCCAGATCTGCCTTGCTCTTCGCCATGACTCTCCACATCATCCTGTCTGTCCCGGTGGCCACACGTAGTTCCTCATGCCCCAGCACAGGCTCTTCCCTGCTGAGAAAGCTGCTCCCTGCCTGACCCCTTCTCACTCTACCTTCAAGACCTCGCTTCCTCTGCCCATTGGACCTGCCAGTCTCTCATGCCCACAGATCTATTTGTAAAATCTCATGTCTGATTACATAGAACCCCCGCTCTAGATTCTTCCATGGCCCTGATCACTCTGTGTTATAACTCTGTGTATTGGCTATTGTGGCCAGTTTTCTACAAGTAACCGGATTTTTCCTCTGAATTTTATGGGATTTCTCCTCATTGGCACAATATGCAGGGCTCAGGGTTGTAGCACCCCTCATTATGTCGAATGACCCATCTCTACATGTTTGTTTCTCATCTCCAGGATTCTGGTCCATGTTGAAGAGTTTTCAACCAAGGGAGGAACCTCTCTGGCAGGGGACACAAGAACTGTGTCATCAAATTGAACCCTGAGACAGCCACAAGGCCAACTGGGGCTCTTTAAGCCCCTGGAGGTTAGGCTGATGTGAATAGAGTTCATGCTATTGGCTGCACTAATTGATCCCCTAATCCGGGGGAAAGAAGGTTGCTGTTGAACAACAGGAAACTCAGCAAACATGCAGACAATTTGGGGAATGGAGGGCTACTCAGTGGAGAAGGGGCATGAGCAGTTACTGCAGCTCCACAGACAGTGGAGGTGCCCTCAAGATTTTTGCAGTGCACAACCTACACAACTAAATATGGGAGGAAAAGAGCTGCCATATTCGGGACAGGGAGGAGGATTGGGATCCCTACCCAGAAAATGATGGCTAAAGTGTTGCCTAAATGCAAGGGGAACCTGGAAAGGGTAACAGAAGAAAACCACAAATGGAGGCTATGGCCTCAGGATGAAGAGTAGAATCAAGAACTGGGGTCTCTCCCTGGATTTCTTTGCTCTAGAATATACTTTTTAAAAATTCTACTTTATGCTCCTTGCTCACCTTCAACTTTTGTTTCTCTGGTGCCTTAGAACCAGGGAAAAGGTAAGAATAAAGTGCAGCGGAAGTTCAACAGAGGGTTCAGATGCAGGGACAGCCAGAAGAAGACTAAAAAGAGCCTTATCTACCAATCCTACTGCCTGCTAACAAAGTTACCAAAATGTTTCTACCATCACAAGTTCAAAGGAAATGGAAGCAGCTGTTCTGATGGAATTTTTTTTTTTTTTTTACTGAGAAAAAAAAGTTTGAAGTCCTTTTTCTCTCAGACAATGATGTGACTTAGAATCTAGGCCCTCTTGTTTGCTTGTTTTTCCAACCCGTGCTGAGAAAATTAGTATCTAAGGAAATCTTCCATTTCTGAAATGGCTCCAGGGAGAAAGAAAAAGAAAAACAGACTAATTCCAACTGTAGTCTAACCACACCATAGCTATGGTATTTCACCTTTTGTTTCATGCTTTTTTTCCTCTAAGATTTTAGGAAAAAATATTCAGGATTCCTTAGGTACATAAATGAAAATATATATAGTTAGTAAATTGAGTATGAAACGCCCAACTCCTTACACAGAAGAACATTCCAAGTAAAGTAAGCTCATTTCATATTCTGATCCTAAATGTTCAGACTGATTCTTTAACTATAAGGAAAAAAAAAATCTTCCAGTAAGAGAACTCACTTACTATGATTCAAATGAATGCAACTGAGGCAAATCAGCAAATTCACTTCTCAAACCCAGTTAAAAGTCCCATTTCTTTAAATTGAGGAGCATAATGGAAAATATAAATCCCAGAGAAAGATACAAGTTAAGAAAATAAGGCTTTCGATTCTATAATGCTTAGAACTGTATGGTACTTTATTATGCCTATGTGGTGGTGCCCTCGAGATTTTTGCAGTGTGCAACCTACACAACTAATTATGGGAGGAAAAGAGCTGCCACATTCTATCTCAACGTTGAGCAAGAATAAAAAATAAT
Organism: Homo sapiens; assembly: GCF_000001405.40. Taxonomy (NCBI): domain Eukaryota; kingdom Metazoa; phylum Chordata; class Mammalia; order Primates; family Hominidae; genus Homo; species Homo sapiens. The sequence goes on along the minus strand of NC_000002.12, from coordinate 7,185,345 downwards.
CTTTACATTTCTCACATAGATGTTAAAAGGCAATGTGAAATAGTGAAAGGAAAATAAACCCTTGTTTAAATCTTGGCAGTATACTCTTGGATGAATTAACTCAACTCTCTGTGTATTTGTCTTAGTCAACAAAATGGAGATGACAAAACCAAACCCAAAGAGACACGGTGAGAATTCAGTAACTATTGTAATGTATGTTCCCCATCTTCTGCCAAATGTACAACATAGTATGCATTTGAATGATATTGTTAATAAGCAGCGTTTAACACACTGTGACAATTTTTTATTCATTTACTTTACTTGAATTCTTTGAAATGTTGTTGTGAATGGAGAAGCATCCATCTCAATCACCGTGTGGTATACTTTCCTATTGTGCAAAAACCAGAAAGCTAAAACCCTAGACTCCTTTGAATCTAGGGTACTGGTTGTGAACGAATTTCTCCGAGTTAGATGCTCTGGTGCAAGAACTGGAAGTTGGAGGTGCTGTGGAGTCCACCTGCTTACGACTTCAGCTGTTGCTGGTGGTGAACACAGCCATGGAAACCTGGGGATTTTCTGCGGGGTGGTTTCAGGGTCCAGTCACTAGTTCACAGGTGTTGTGAGGTGGTTGTGGAAATGACAGCAAAGGTGGTGATCCATAGTTTACATCTTTGTGTTTAATTCAACAGTCCCAGAAGTAACTGGCCCGAGAGAATGATGGAAAGGCTTATAGATGTCTCAGTAATTGCAAAAGCTGAGGTCAACATGATTCCTACAAAGTGAATGGCATGTTTTGAATTAGGGATTAACATATGATAATGAGTTCCCACAGCCAGAATAAATGGGTCTGGAAACTCAGGGGTTACAGGAGGAATCGTATTTTCACTAACTCAACTAATGATTCACTCTCTCCTAAAGGTTTCACTGTTCTTCCCATGACTTTGAGCTCTGCTAGTTAGAGCTCTCATCACCCAATATGTGAATACTTCCACAAAGGTTGTACCACTGAACTGGACCACCAGGTGACATGGGACCAGCAGGCCAAAAAAGAGGGTCACTGTGTTGACCCAGGTCATTGATACTGATTTCTAAGGAGTAATAGCTTTGCTGCAACAGAACGCCAGCAGGAAAGGACGCTCTGAAATCCAGGAGATTCTCTGAAATTCCTCCACGAACCCCGTATACAGCTACAAAAGCTAACAGATGTTTTCAGCAGCCCATTATAGGCAGGACTACCCAGGGCTCAGCTTGTGAGGAAGGATGAGGTACCTCACCTCCCCAGGTATAAAGCCCTGACAAATTGGGCCAGAGAATGGGTAGTAAAGGAAGGAAGTTATTAATACCAAATATGGCTCTAAGAGTAGCTGCAGAAACAAAGACTTCAATAGCCTCCCCTAAGTTCTTCTCTATTCTATTCGTTTGTGCACATACTTATAATTGTTAAACAATTTCCTTTTCCTTCATCTATTTTCCATGTTGCTTGTTTATAAGGTATGTTGTTATAGTAAAACTGATTTAGCTTGAATGTTATGACTATAGGATTGCAGGGCAGTATCAAAATATACCACGATCCAGGGATGAGGCAGTAATTTATAGGACTCCGGGTCTCTCTTTTTTTTTTTTTTTTTTTTTTGAGATGGAGTCTCACTCTGTCACCAGGCTGGAGTGCAGTGGTGTGATCTCAGCTCACTGCAACCTCCACCTCCCAGATTCAAGCAATTCTCCTGTCTCAGCCTCCTGAGTAGCTGGGATCACAGGCACGCACCACCACGCCCAGCTCAGGTCTCCCTTTTTTTGAGACAGGTAAGTACATGTTACCTTGGGCAAGGGATAGTTACATTACATTAGGTGGGATATGCCTACTATGACGTTGTTATTGTGTGACCACTTAAATACGGGTGGCAAGAGGTATCAGATATGGAGTGGCAGTATGGTGGGTGTGTGGAAGAGTACAATATTGATAGGCTCTTGGTATCCTTTCCAATCTCCTGCTTGTGTGTCCTTCTGTATTTCACAAACTAGAAACATGAAAACCACATTTCCAAGACTTCCTGGCAGCTGGAGTTCTGGTCATCAGTTAGGTTGTCTGAATGAGATAAGTGTGAGCAGGTCATTATCAGGAGGCCAGAGCGAGGGGGAAGCCCTCTGACTGCTGCTTTGCTGTTGCCTCTGGCGAGAGAAGTCCTAAAGAGCTGGGTGTTCGGCCGCAGCAGTCAGGAGCTCCATCGCTGCTGAGCGGTAGCTGCCCCCTCAGTTCTGGGCCGCAGCAACAGCAAAGTCTCCTTAAAGCCCAGGCGCCCAGTGTTGCTTTCTGATGCCCTCATGTTCTTGATTGTGGTTATGCCATGTTCTGGGAGTTACTCTCAACCTAGAACCTGTGTCTCTAGCTTTTCCCACAGTGTTGAAAGAGCCCAGTTTTTTTCTATTGAAATCCTTTCTGTTTACAATAGTGAGGGTGGTCCATTTTCCACAGGTGAGCACTGAATTTTACTCGTGGCATCTCAGTGATAGAAGATGGGAGCCATCCACACAAAGGGGTATTTTATCACTGACGTTATTAAAACTCTTGGCGCATGATGATAATAGAAACAGACTGATTTTAATTGGTTTCATTGTTATTTTTAGATTATCTAAAAGCAATGCACCTATTGCCTGCACCTGGGGTGGACTATTACCACTTCCCCATTTGAGAATACCTGGCTCACAAAATCCATACATGTAATTGCTGTCTGTTACTCACAGAAGCACATTTCTAAATCATCTAATCACACTTAGGTCCTATGTACTCTTAATTTTCATACAGCTTTAATAAAATTTATCTGATTCTCCCATTCTCAAAAAATAAGCCACAACAATTTAGAAGAGCTGGTGAATAAATACCAAGATAGGTACAGTGAACCAGGATGAGAGTTAATATCTTAGCTGGAAGGAGCACTGCATTGGAGAAAGGTCATCTGGGCTATAGCCTTACTTCTAGTTCCAAATAGCTACATATTCCAGGGCCAATTATTTTTGTTCCACAAAAAATATTTGTGTGCCTGTTTAGACCGACCACTCAGTACTAGAACACAAATGCCCTTCCCTGACCATCCTTCCCTCCATGAAAATACTATTCAAACCCCTTAACAATATTTTTTCCTTGGGACAGTTATAACCATCTGACATATTAATTTAATTGTTTGTGCATTATTGTATCCTCTGCTAGGATATTATCCCCTTGAAGTTGGGGAGTTTATTTTGTATATTTTCAATACCTAGTGTATGGCAGATGCACCCGATAGCAATAAATTAAGAAATGAGGGTGGCCCCGTGGAGCTTGTTGGGGGAGGATGGTGAGTGAGGGTGCTATAAGAATGCATGCTTTCTGCAAGCAGCCTTGTGGTTCCCTATTCAGCCACTGGACTGTCCATGCATGTAAGTTCCCCTAATAAAACCCTCTGTCTGGTCTGCTGGCTCCCAGATTCTTCTTTGGCCTCTTGAACCTGGTCCCCTCCCTGCTGAGATAAGAGGGCTCTGGCATGACACTGGATCAAAAGCAGCACCTGACATCTGCACAGTAAATATTTGATGAATGAAACTATCTCAGAATGAATAAGTTAGAGTGCATTTTCTCAAAGAACTGACCATGTAGAGAAGAAAACTAGACATGTATATTGATGATTTCAATCTAAGCCAGTGTAGGCCAAGAGCCACCAGCACGATTTAAAGAAACGCCAGTAAGAGATTATATTAATCAGCTATGGGGCCATGTGTTTTACCAAAAATGGAGTAGACGTGAGTAAAACAAGAGAGAAACTCTTTCTCTCTGACGTGACAATCTGAACTGGTAGTTGTCCTAAGGTATCGCACAAGGGTTCTAAAAACCCATATTCCTTCTAGCTTGATGCTTCACCTTCCAGTAGAGCATTCGTTTAACTTTGGAAACATATTGAATTATCTGTGCTGGGGAAGAGAAGCAGGGTAAAGAAAAGGGAAGGAACAAAACTATCCGAGTCCTAGCTCTAGAGATTCTGGTATTGTTGGTGTGAGGTGTTTATTGTTAAAGACCCTCACGTGAGTCTAATATGCAAGCAAGATTGGAAACCATCACCCTGTAGGGTTGTACTTATTCCTGTATTCAAGCAGGCTGAAAGGCAGCAGAAGTCAGCAGCAACCCCTACGCACATTCCTGATGCACCACACTTGCCAGAACGGGGTGTGTTCTCTGAAAGCTCGGGGCAGCCCACAGTGACCTGTGTGCAAAGCAAAGTGCTAGTTTTTAACCAGGGAGTGGGAGGAATGTGCATCCCCATAGGCAGGTGATGGAGATCGCATCAAGGGAGGGTGTGGGATACTTGTTCTAGTCGGCACTGCTCCCCAGCCCGCTATCTACAGCTGGAGGAAACTGAAGAATCAGAGGCCGAGGAGCTCAGCACCTTGCACAAAAAAGCTCCAGGTGCACTTGAACACCATCAGCATACGAGCCAGTGCTCTGGAATGAGGGCCCTGGCAGGACAATAATCTGCTGGGATTGTATAATAACATTTACACCAAGAATGACTAAGGCTGAGACAAAGGTAATGCAAACCATGACTCTGCAAAAACTTGGCAGAAAAGAAGGAAAGATCAAAAGACAGCTTTGTTGCCTGTGGGGAGAATTCCAGAAGTTGTCACATGGTAACATTTTAGTTCCACTTTTGTAGGAAGGGACTCACTGTAGACAAAATTATAAAAATAGTAATTCAGCTTCTTTCCTTTTTTTTTTTGGACCAATGCTCCTGCCTAACCTAACACAAGGAGTTTGACCTATTCTTGAGATGAGCTTATTTACCACAAACAAGAAAATTTATTTCAGAGCTATCAAAAGCAACATCTGTATTGTTATTCTTTGACAGAAAGAGGAAAGAGCCACAGGGGAACTAGCATTTGATTTATTGAATTCTCCCTGAACTCCAACCATTTTTTTATTTGGTTGGCAGAGAATTTGGGGGAAATGCCTTATTATTATTATTATTATTATTATTATTATTATTTCTTTCTTTTTTCTTTCTTTTTTTTTTTTTTTCCGAGACGGAGTCTCGCTCTGTCGCCCAGGCTGGAGTGCAGTGGCACAATCTCAGCTCACTGCAAGCTCCGCCTCCCAGGTTCACGCCATTCTCCTGCCTCAGCCTCCTGAGTAGCTGGGACTACGGGCACCTGCCACCACGCCCGGCTAATTTTTTGTATTTTTATTTTTATTTATTTATTTTTTTTATTTTTAACCAATAAACTTTTTATTTTAGAAGATTTTTAGATTTACAGCAAAATTGCAAAGATGTATGGAGTTCCTATATCCCACGCCCAGTTTACCCTATTTATTAATATCGTACATTAGCATGGTACATTTGTCATCATGAATGAACCAATATTGGAACATTATTACTAACTAAGGCCCACACTTTACTCAGATTTCTTTAGTTTTCACCTAATGTCCCTTTTCTCTTCCAGGGTCCCATACAGGATCCCACATGACATTCAGTTTTCTTCTCTCCCTCCGTAGGTTCCTCCTGGCTGTAAGTTTCTCAGATTTTCCTTGGTTTTGATGATCTTGACAGTTTTGAGGAGTGCCAGTCAAGCATTTTGTAGACCGTCCCTCAGATGGGATTTCTTTCTTAACGAACCTAGCCTGAGGTCCTGGGTTTAGAGAAGGATGGCCGTAGCGGCAAAATGCCTTCTTCACTGCATCATACCTACTATCATATCATACTACCGACATGACTTTTATCACCGTTGGCGTTGACCTTGATGGCCTGCCTGAGTGAAACACATTTCTAAACTTTCCCTGTTGGCATAAACAAGGATACAGGGCGTGATGACTTGAGTCCTGATGGTTTCCAACGTCAATCATGGTGGCGAGGCTGAGTATTAAGGGGCAGGAAAGGCACGTTCTTTCCAGGAGGCCCCATCAAGAAAGCAGGAAGAACTCTATGCCAGAGCATAAAAAACTTCAAGGCGCCGGCACGGTGGCTCATGCCTGTAATCCCAACACTTTAGGAAGCCAAGGCGGGCAGATCACCTGAGGTCGGGAGTTCGAGACCAGACTGACCAACACGGAGAAACCCTGTCTCTACCAAAAATACAAAATTAGCCGGGCTTGGTGGCGCATGCCTGCAATCCCAGCCACTCGAGAGGCTGAGGCAGGAGAAGCACCCGAACCCGGCAGGCGGAGGTTGTGGTGAGCCGAGACCGTGCCACTGCACTCCAGCCTGGGCAACAAGAGGGAAACTCCGTGTCAAAAAAAAAACAAAAACAAAAACAAAACAAAACTTCAAAGCATATTAGAAATTTAGAAATACATTCTTCAAATGTATTGAGGTAAGACTACTACCCGCACTTTACAGAGGAGGAAATTGAGGCACAGTGCCAAACACACCACCAAGCCGAGATGCAAATCCACATTGTCTGGCCACAGGGTCCAGGCTCTTAATTACTACCCACTGACTCACCAATGCGATCCTTTGTCTTAACTTGCATTTCCCCGATTACTGGTGAGAATGGGCATCTTTTTTTGATTGATTGGCTATTGGACTTCTGTTCAAGACCTCGATTTGGAGAGGTGTATAAAGGGGGATCCATGAGGAACAGGTTCAGGGTGGGACAGCAAGTTTTCAGAGTCAGAGCTGGCAGAGACCTGGTGGGGGGGCATCTCCTGCTCAGAGTCAGGGCTGGGTAACATCGCTGGTATCAGCACCTAGAATCATCTCAGAGTATAATTTAGGCAATTAGCCACCTTGGCTAGGGTGGCCAGATTTTGCAAATAAAAATACCAGATGTCCATTTAAATTTGAACTTCAGGTTAAGAACAAATAAGTATGTTCCAAATGACATCGAGATTTGCCTGAGGATCCTGTATTTTATCTGACAGTACCCACACTGGCTGCCTTAGCCTTCAAGCCTGGTTTTCCAGCCTCCCTGGAATTTCTGTGAATTACTAAGTAACTCTTTTTTTTTTTTTTTTTTTTTTTGAGATGGAGTCTTTCTCTGTCGCCCAGGCTGGAGTACAGCGGCACGATCTTGACTCACTGCAACCTCTACCTCCCAGGCTCAAGCGATTCTCCTGCCTCAGCCTCCCAAGCGGCTGGGATTACGGGCACGCACCACCACACCCGGCCAATTTATTTTTATTTATTTTTAGTAGAGTCGGGGTTTCACCACGCTGGCCAGGCTGGTCTCGAACTCCCGACCTCAAGTAATCCACCCACCTCAGCTTCCCAAAGTGCTGGGATTACAGACACAAGCCACTGTGGCCGGTTCAGTATCTCTTTCTTTATTTTATTTTATTTTATTTTTATTATTATACTTTAAGATTTAGGGTACAAGCGCACAATGTGCAGGTTAGTTACATATGTATACATGTGCCATGCTGGTGTGCTGCACCCATTAACTCGTCATTTAGCATTAGGTATATCTCCTAATGCTATCCCTCCCCCCTCCCCCCATCCCACGACAGTCCCCAGAGTGTGATGTTCCCCTTCCTGTGTCCACGTGTTCTCATTGTTCAATTCCCACCTATGAGTGAGAACATGCAGTGTTTGGTTTTTTGTCCTTGCCATAGTTTACTGAGAATGATGATTTCCAATTTCATCCACGTCCCTACAAAGGACATGAACTCATCATTTTTTATGGCTGCATAGTATTCCATGGTGTATATGTGCCACATTTTCTTAATCCAGTCTATCATTGGTGGACATTTGGATTGGTTCCAAGTCTTTGCTATTGTGAATAGTGCCTCAATAAACATACGTGTGCATGTGTCTTTACAGCAGCATGATTTATAGTCCTTTGGGTATATACCCAGTAATGGGATGGCTGGGTCAAATGGTATTTCTAGTTCTAGATCCCTGAGGAATTGCCACACTGACTTCCACAATGGTTGAACTAGTTTACAGCTCCACCAACAGTGTAAAAGTGTTCTATTTCTCCACATCCTCTCTAGCACCTGTTGTTTCCTGACTTTTTAATGATTGCCATTCTAACTGGTGTGAGATGGTATCTCATTATGGTTTTGATTTGCATTTCTCTGATGGCCAGTGATGGTGAGCATTTTTTCATGTGTTTTTTGGCTGCATAAATGTCTTCTTTTGAGAAGTGTCTGTTCATGTCCTTCGCCCACTTTTTGATGGGGTTGTTTGTTTTTTTTCTTGTAAATTTGTTTGAGTTCATTGTAGATTCTGGATATTAGCCCTTTGTCAGATAAGTAGGTTGCAAAAATTTTCTCCCATTTTGTAGGTTGCTTGTTCACTCTGATGGTAGTTTCTTTTGCTGTACAGAAGCTCTTTAGTTTAATTAGATCCCATTTGTCAATTTTGGCTTTTGTTGCCATTGCTTTTGGTGTTTTAGACATGAAGTCCTTGCCCATGCCTATGTCCTGAATGGTAATGCCTAGGTTTTCTTCTAGGGTTTTTATGGTTTTAGGTCTAACATTTAAGTCTTTAATCCATCTTGAATTAATTTTTGTATAAGGTGTAAGGAAGGGATCCAGTTTCAGCTTTCTACATATGGCTAGCCAGTTTTCCCAGCACCATTTATTAAATAGGGAGTCCTTTCCCCATTGCTTTTCTCAGGTTTGTCAAAGATCGGATAGTTGTAGATATGCAGTGTTATTTCTGAGGACTCTGTTCTGTTCCATTGATCTATATCTCTGTTTTGGTACCAGTACCATGCTGTTTTGGTTACTGTAGCCTTGTAGTATAGTTTGAAGTCAGGTAGAGTGATGCCTCCAGCTTCGTTCTTTCGGCTTAGGATTGACTTGGCGATGCGGGCTCTTTTTTGGTTCCATATGAACTTTAAAGTAGTTTTTTTCCAATTCTGTGAAGAAAGTCATTGGTAGCTTGATGGGGATGGCACTGAATCTATAAATTACCTTGGGCAGTATGGCCATTTTCACGATAGTGATTCTTCCTACCCATGAGCATGGAATGTTCTTCCATTTGTTTGTATCCTCTTTTATTTCATTGAGCAGTGGTTTGTAGTTCTCCTTGAAGAGGTCCTTCACGTCCCTTGTAAGTTGGATTCCTAGGTATTTTATTCTCTTTGAAGCAATTGTGAATGGGAGTTCACTCATGACTTGGCTCTCTGTTTGTTTGTTATTAGTGTATAAGAATGCTTGTGATTTTTGTACATTGATTTTGCATCCTGAGACTTTGCTGAAGTTGCTTATCAGCTTAAGGAGATTTTGGGCTGAGACAATGGGGTTTTCTAGATATCTTTAGTAGAGACGGGGTTTCACCATGTTAACCAGGATGGTCTCGATCTCCTGACCTCGTGATCCGCCCGCCTCGGCCTCCCAAAGTGCTGGGATTACAGGCGTGAGCCACCGCACCCAGCCCCTTATTATTTTTAATATCAAAATTGTTTTGACACGTCTCAGAAACAATGGGTGAAAAAAAGGGACCCTCTTTGATATGCAGTTGTGTAAATGTGAATACAACACCTTTGCAATACACAGCAAGCAAAAGTTGCCCAGAGGTGACGTGTACAACAAAAGTCTAGGAAACCCTTTAGTCCTTGCTTTCTTTTTAATGAGTGTTTTTTATCTCCCCAAAAAATCTTTAATTAAGCAAAGGAAAGCTGTAAGTCTAGCTGCATAATACATTAACAGTGAGGTTCCCCTTCAAATAGCTTGACATGTCCAGAGCTTTACAAAGAACATCAACTTACCTGTTGGCCAGCTTTGCTAACTACATATTAAATTTCAGAATGATGGTGAAGAAGCCCAAAGATTTTGTTTTCAGATTTCATATTTTAAAAACCGTATTTGATGCACTTTCTAGCAAAGCAAACATGTCCAAATGCTCTGGAATCCATGGCCTAAAGGTCATTTGGGTCCAAGCGTCACTGTTTTCTAATTGTAGGAAAAGAAAGTATAAATGGCATGTAATAATCTGTTGGGAAGTCATGGGGAAGTTGGGAAGAGAACACAGAAAACACAATAGGCTTTGGATGAGACAAATCTACCGTGGGTCAATCATTCCTGTTCTTCAGTCCAGAAGCACAGTTTTGTTTTGTTTTCCCAATAGCTCCAGGCCTTTGATTCAATTTGTTAACTCTATCTTGAATGGTCCAATAAGTCCCTGGATATGCCAATAAAATGCAAGTTTTATCAATAACCAAACATTTCCACTAGCCAGCATTTATGTTTATACTCTTCCTTAGAGCAAGCCCTCCTCTCAGAATCATTTTAAAAATCCACATTTTATTAGTCTAGGTTTTCCATAGATAGATAGATAGATAGATAGATAGATAGATAGATAGATAGATAGTCGGTAGATGATAGGTAGATGAGACATAGATAGATGATAGATAGATAGATGGTAGGTAGATGATAGGTAGATGAGAGATAGATAGATAGATAGATAGATAGATAGATAGATAGATAGATTAGATGATAGACACTAGAGGTTATTTATTATGGGAATTGGCTCACATAATTATGGACATGGAGAAGTCCCATGATAACCCTCTGCAAGGTGGAGATCCATAAAAAATGGTGGTGAAATTCAGTCCCAGTCCAAAGTACAAAAACAAACAAACAAACAAACAAAAAACCAAGAGCTCCAATGTCCAATGGCAGGAGAAAATGGATGTTCCAGCTCAGGAGAGAGAGAGTAGGGAATTTGCCCTTTCTATATCCTTTTTTCTTTCAGGGCTCTCAAAGGATTAGATGATGCCTGCCCACATTGGTGAGGGCTGATCCTTACCCAGTCCACTGAAACAAACGCTAGGCTCTTCCAGAAACTCCCTCATGGACACACCCAGAAATAATGTTCACCAGCTATCTGGGTATCCCTTAGCCCAGTCAAATGGACACATAAAATTTACCATTGCACACATATTTCATGCTTCTTGTTTCTCTGAACTTTGGGTCAGCATATATCTGGCTGTTAATTTGATAAGTGTCTAGGACCTCAGCCCAGGCTCAGAATGTCAGGCCCATCCTTCAGGCCTTGGATTTGCCTGCCCATTAGGTTATATTCTCTCATTTTCTTGATAGGAGACTACAAATGTCATTTACTGGTATATTTCACAATAATACTGTGGCTACTAAGTGAAAATATAATGCTTTGTAAATATGACCCTGGCTTGCTTTTCAGAATAACATCAGTTTGAAAACATTCAGGCCTACGTAGTTCCCAGACATGCTCCCTGTGTAAGAAGTAATGGAAACAGGGAGATTGGAGAAGCCAAGGCCCTAGGATCCCTGGAAGATTGTTTATTTTAAAATATGCAAGTTTCTCAGGACAAAAGGCAGGATGGCATTACAGGACAAAATAATATATGTGTCTTTTTTTATGCATCTTCACTTGAAATGTTACATTCTGCAAATAAACACAGAAATAAAAGGGTTTTGTGCCACACAGACTTGGCTTCACATCCTACTGCTGCCCCTGGAAGCTTTGAGAACTTTGGTGAGTTATTCAGCCTTTAGAATTATTGGTTTCTTCATAAGACACATGGAGACAATTAACCAGATTTTTGGGGTAGCATTGGATGAGGTAACACAGTAAAGATTCTACCACTCAAGGTAGAATCTCATCCTATTTTTGTCCTGCTCACTACACTCTCCACACTTGAGTTTGGGATAAGGAGGGAGGGCTTCCTCGAGGAGATAATATGACAAATTATTAACTACCTGCCTAATTTTTGTTTTTTGATTTGCATTCACTAGAGGACACAGCTTTATGGCAACAGAAATAATATTTATTTCAACAGCCACTCCCTGAGACCCACTACTTAAATTTCCTAGCTAAGCAAGAGATCTATTGTGCAACATGGTGACCATTAATAACAATTGTGTTGTATATTTGAAAATTGCTAAGAGAGTATATTTTAAGTGTTCTCATCACAAATAAATGATAAATGTGTCAGGTAATACATACCTTAATTAGCTTGAGTCACCCTTCCACAATGTAAACAACATATTTCAAAACATTATGTTGTACTCCATAAATATACACAATTTTGTTAATTAAAACATGTAAAAAATAAAACTAAAAGAGAAATTACCAGCTAAGGAATACAATGAGAAATTAAGATGTCATACCACCTTGTCTCAAGAGTCTTATAGAGGAGTAAGGTAAGTTTCTGACAACATATAATGTAGGGAAAATAAAAAAAAGCTTCAAGAAACAACACCAATGAGACTAGAGCCCAGGTGAAAAACAGTTCCATTAAAAAATATCAAGGTAGGAAGGATGTGGGATCCAAACTGGTCCTTAATATCCTGGCACCTAAACATTTAGAGTCACCTGGGTGTTCAGGAAAAGAGCTTGTGGGTTCATGTGTAGCTCAGTACTCACCACATTTTTTGGTAAAAAAGAAACCTTCCTTTCTATTTTCCCTCCAAAGAACCATGTTGGTCCAAGCAAGTTATCAAATGAGAGGAAGAGACTGGATGATTTTTAGGTTCATATCAAAAGAAATGATATCAAGTTCAATCCCTCCACCGTGGATCCTGGTTTCCCAGGAGCTTGCTCCCCAGCCTAGATTTCATACAGGTGAGAAGAACACAGGGGTTTGTCAATGAGCTCTGTCTTCATTAGAATGAAAAAGGATGAAGACTAATAAAGAGGGAAACAATGAATCAACACAATGTATCTGAAAACTGGCCAAAGCCATGCATTCATTTATTTAACAAATATTAATAGAGTACCCATATGCCAGGCATTGACCTTCCTACGGGGGACAGAGCAAAAAAAAACAACCCAAAACCTCTACCTTTGTATTTTCAGAGAGCTTGTATTCTTGTGCCAACAGGCAGGGAAGAAAAAGAATAAATAAATAGGTGGAATGTGTAATGTATTTCTTCATGATATTTGCCATAGAGGAAATAAGCCAGGGAGGGGATGAGTAGAGTGAGAAAGAAGAGAGGTGATGTTACCTGCCTGGGCTAGGAATCTTCATTGAAAAGGTGGCATTTACAGAAAGACTTGAAGCCAGTCCGGAGCAAGCCATGCAAGGAACCTGTCTTTGGAGAATAACCTGTGGTGAGTCGGGGAAGGTGAGGATAAAATAAAACCAAGTGACAATTGCTACAATAATCCAGGTGGCCAGTGAGGTGGTTTCTGGCCAAAGGAACCAGAAGAAGGGGATTATCACTACCTGTAAAACGAAGACGCTACAAATGGCAAGTTGAGGCGTGAGAGAATCAGAAGTTTGGTTTTGGATACTATGCTTATTTTCTAGAACTGTCCTAACAAAGTACTACAAGCCAGGTGGCTGAAAACCTCACCATTTTATTGTCTCTTAGTTCTGGAGGCTAGAGGTCTGAAGTCGAGGTGTCAGCAGGGCTGTGGTCTCTTTGTGGATTCTAGGAGAAAATTATTCCTTGCCTCTTCTAGCTGCTTTGGTTGCCAGCAATTTCTTTCATTCCTTGGCTTGTGCATCCATGACTCCCATCTCTGCCTCTTCTTCACATGACCTTCTGCCTGTGTCTGTGTCTCTTCCCCTCTCCTCTAAGGTCACTGGTCATATCCAAGCTTCCAGAAACAATGCCAATGAGACCAGAGCCCAGGTGAAAACTGGGCCCTAGTCACATTCTGTGCATTTTCAAATCACAGAAGCCAAATTAGGTGGAGGGATTTAACTTTATATAATTTATTTTGGAAGGAACCTAAAAGTCATCCAGTCTCTTCCTCTCATTTGATATCTTGCTTGGATCAAAATGGTTCCTTGGAGGGAAAATGGAACGGAAGGTTTCTTTTTTACCAAAGAGTGTGGTGAGTACTGAGCTACTACACATGAACCCACAAGCTCTTTTCCTGAACACCCAGGTGACTCTAAATGTTTAGGTTCCAGGATATTAAGGAACATCGTGATTACATCTGCAAAGACTCTGATTTTTAAGGGAAAAGTCCCAGGATGTCTACATATCGTTTTGGAGACACAATTCATCCCACAACAGACATAATGTCATGTTTTGCAATTAAATATATAAATGTCCAAGAGATAGGGATGAGATCTCTCCAAGAGAGAGATGTCCAAGTAGGGGATATTAACATGGAGGTCACTGCTGTAGGCAATAATTAAAGCCACGAGATTACATGGGAGCATGATGGTAGAGAAGGTTGTTACTGAAAACAAAGGGCCAAGGCCGTGCTTGCATTTGGAAGTCAGGAAGGAGAGGAGAATCTGGCAAATGAGGCTGAGGAGGAGCTGGCAATGAGAGAGACAGAAGCCTGGAGAGGTGGATCCCTTAGAGCTAAGCAAAGAAAGGGTTTCAAGGAAAAGTGAGTAGCAGAACAATTAACATGGTGTTCAGAAAACAGCAAGAAATATGAAGATGGGAAAGCAAGGAGTGGGAGTTGTGGCCTGGGTACCAAGACAGTGTTTTGTAAATTCCAGGTAATCAATGAACCTAGGCATGAAGGAAGAAGCTTCACACTCTGAGGGACACAGCCTGGAACTCATCCATTCAACAGACACTTACCAAGTGTCACTCTTTGCATCACAGCTCCCATCCTGCTTCCATCTTCATGTCTCCTCCAACTGTCCAGCCTTTCCCTTCACTCACTAAGACCATGGAGATTACAATAGGCCCATCCATGCAAGAGAAAATCCAAAATGTGCCTTACAATGAGCCAACAGAGAGGAGAGACAGAGAGAGAGAGAGAGAGAGAGAGAGAGAGAGAGAGAGAGAGAGAGAGAGGAAGCCCGGTCTATATAATAGGCATTGTTGCCAGGGGACAGGGAATGGTGCAGGAACTATCTTGGTCACCAGTTCACAGCATGTGGCCTAGAATACATCCTAAACTTCATAAATGTAAAGTCATCCAAATGCAATGGTAATTGAACTGGGAGAAGGCAGAAGACTGAGGTGCCCCTGAGGAGCTCAGTTGAGGTTCGTTGAGGTTTGCAGTGAACAGTGAAAAAGGAATTGGCTTCTGTGATTTGGTGCATTCAGACACCAGCTTCGCTGCAGCAGCAGTCAAGAGGGAAATCAAAGGACTGCCATCTACACCAGCAACATTTCTCACTAGCCACAGAGTAAATCCAAAATAGAACTGGGATTTTACAGTTGTCCCAATGTTTGCCTTTTTTAAAGAGTAGAACTGGAAACCGTGAAATATTAAATCAGGGTAATGATGCTCTGGTAACTTCAACACAAATAGTCTCGTGCTACAGAAAATCATCTTTTTTTTGGTGTTTGTCAAAGTAATATTGAATTACATATTTTTTTGAAAAAAAAAAGGTGATGTGTTTAAACACTGTCCTTGTGGCAGCCACCTGTTTGTGGTGAGGTATCTGAAAACAGGCAGATATGTATTCCTGGCAAATGCACGAGCATTCTAATGCCTGTGATAATGAAAACTATAATAAATATTAATACATCAAGGGTTTGATGGTGAACCTTAGCTTTCAATCACTAAGAAATACGCCTAGTATTCTGATGAATTCAAGTTTTCTATGCTTCATTTCAGTGCAAAGTGGATTACAGCTTTTTAAAAGTAACGTGAAAGTGTATTTGCTCAAGGGGTTGGCTCCAGGGAGCAGGAAGCATGCTCCTCTGCTTAAATCCTTTTAGTCAATAATTCAAAGATCGCTCTTGGGGAAGCGCGTGTTAAACTTGGCCTCCATGCAAAAACAGTCTCTTGAGCAAAGGGTGCTTTCTTGATTCACAGCTGCTTCTGAACTGCCAGGTGGCAGCTACAGACTTTTTCTGAAAACTGCCTTTGGATAAAAAATTGAACTCTCTCTCCATTTCTGCTCCAGGATTCTGCCTCCCAAATCATCCATGAGCAACGCAATCCTTGCCTCTCCACCCCACGGGTGCCTTCACCAATTGTGGAAAGACAAGCAGAACAATCTTTCACCAGAAAGGGCCCATCCCTTATTCCTAGATGAGTCGGGAGTGGGTTCAGGGTTACCTCTTAGCTTTTCCCCTTGCTAGTCTTAGAAAGTGCCAGGTGCATCTTGCACAGGGACCTTGGCATCTCCCTTCACTTGGCTTCCTACCAGTACTTTTCCCCGACCCTCTCCAGGGTCCCAGCATCATCTCGCCACCACTGCTAAGTTCTGGAGCATGTGACTTTGCCCCATAATGTTGCTGCCTCTGCCAGGTGGACAAATCCCACATCCTATTTTGTTATGGATCCTCTTATTCTTTAAAACAAGCCCACTGTATGCAAGACGTCTTCCTCTCATCAATAAGGAATGCCCCTCATGGAATAAGATCACTGTACTGATTAAAAGAAAATCTCCTTCAACCCATCGGTGGTAAAGATAGAGAGGAAAACAGAGAGTAAAGCAGATAGAGAATCCCATGCTGACACATAATCTCCTGAGGTTTTCTCTCTGACAAAGAACATTCACATGTCTAGCCTTAAATTTCCACCAATAAAGTGGGAGATTTCAATTAGAATGGTTCCCTCCAGCCCTCAGCACCTTTGGTTCCATAGCTGGCGGCCACTGAGCTTCGGTCCCAGCCGCCGTGGTTAAATGTGCCATCTGTGTCTGTCCCCTCCTGTCCTGCCAGTTTCACTATGCTGAGCCACAATCACTCTCTGGAGTTTAAACACACAGAATCAAATAATCCAGGGGCACACGCTGGGGAAACATTTCTCAAAAGCACACACCACAAGAAACATGTCAGATTCTAAAATCTCATTATAAAATGTTATAAAGGCAACACAAATAGAGGGAAAACAGACTAAAAATCAATACACTCCAGATTTTCTGGAAGTAACTAATGCATCCAAGCTGATCTTAGAATTCCTTCTGGAAAATCCTGAGGTTCACAATCTCTGCCTTAAGATTTCAGTCTCAATATCTCCTAAGTTGAGTATCTCAGTGTCTCCTCTCCTTTCTATAGCATCCCCTGCTTCACACCCTCAGTGATTCTGGAAATCAACATCAGGTAAGCATGCAGCCTTTCAACCCTGCACACAGGGCACATACTTATTTCACTTGTAAAGATCAGACCTAGGTACCTTGTTATACTTGAGCTGTTCGCTCTTTTTTCTCTTTACATGTAAAACTCATAGAAAGGACAGAAAGGGGAAAAAATGAGTGTCTTCAACCACTCCACAAGATTTATTTAAGCAAATGCCCCCACCTAATGCTGGGTGAGCTCTGTCCTTGACCCCAGGCAGCGGTCGCTATTGGTCAGTCCTCACCTGGCAGCCACACAAGGCCCTGTGGCCCCCAGCTAGGGCCGCCTGGGCTTTGACCACTCTCACCCTCCTGCTGCAGTGCTGGGGCTGCCGGCGCTGCTGTGTTTCCATTTCAGGCACAGCAAACATGTGTAAATACTTTATTAAAATTTTTTTTTAAAAGCCCAACACATGAAGTGAAAGCTGTTCCTCTCTGATTGATTTTTCAAAAGCTCCCTAGACTGCTCCTGCTACAGATGTTTGCAAAATGATTGGATGCAAAGTGGGCTTAATTCATAAAAGCAATAAAATGTTGCTTATTGACTGAACAGATGAACTAGCTGAGGGGAGATAATTTGGAGTGTTCTTATTGGAAATGCTTTGAAGAAATGTAATGATAGTGGAGAGACAGAGTCTTATTAGCTGTGGTAAATATATTTTCCTACAGAAGGATTAGGAGATTTTGAAATAACTGGAAAATAACCCTCAAATGTTTAGTTATAGTGACATTTGGATCAAGCATGTGCAACTTTTAACCTTGGAAATTTATATATTCCTTGATATGCACAATTTGAAATCCAGAGATAAATTTCTGATGTCATGGGAAAAATCTAGCACTGGGAGTTAGGACCACTGGGCTTGAGCCTCAGTTCAGTCACTAACTCTACCTCTTCACCCTGTAAAGTCAGGAAATAATCAATGCTCTGCAATAGGTACATGCTGGAGAGATCGAATGCGCCCTCACAGTCTCGTCTCTCGAGGGGCATGGAGGCTGGTGCAGTGTGGTGAAATGCCCCAAAGAGCTCCAACCATCCCAAGGAGGCACGCTGGCAACAGCTAGGAAGGAGGGAAGCGGTCTCCTGCCCCTGCTTCAGAAAAGCAGCCCTGCTTGTGCCCGTCACACAGGGCTCCTGACAAAGACCTTGCCTTCCAAGAAAATGTGTTGCTCTAAA
This sequence comes from Homo sapiens, assembly GCF_000001405.40. Lineage (NCBI taxonomy): Eukaryota > Metazoa > Chordata > Mammalia > Primates > Hominidae > Homo > Homo sapiens. Next base: position 7,167,305 of record NC_000002.12, on the reverse strand, counting down.
TAATTCTGTGAAGGAGTAGACTTAAGATAAGTCATACCAATTCAACTTGTCATGCCTTGAGAAGTAAGAAAGTAGGTAAGAAAGTAAGAAAGTAAGAAGAAGTTGTAGGTATGCAATTATTAGTATTGTCATTTGAAATAGGGAAGAAGCAGCTTTTGTTTTCTCTATTGCCATCTTCTTCTTCCAGGTCACTGATCCCATTGGATTACATCACTATGATTTGATTATATTTAAATATTGATTTTTGTATATAAGTTACTAAGCATGAACACATGCACTGAATTTTACTTAGCAAACAAATGTAATAGATATTGGTAAAATGGATTGTTAGACAATAGTGATGCCTCCCTATTGGAGGTAAGTTCTGCTAAAATCACCATGAGGCTGTATTCAGAGACTCATGGCCTCAGACACTTCTAGACTGACTCCAAAAACACAACTCCTCCATGAATTCCAGGGACTAGGTCCAGGAAATCTATAGCAATTTCATTTGCAATGTCAGACACAGAACATAGAGTAGCATATACAAATGTTGGTATCTGGCTGGGCGCCGTGGCTTGTGCCTGTAATCCCAGCATTTTGGGAGGCAGAGGCGGGTGCACCACTTGAGGCCAGGATTCCAGATCAGCCTGGTCAACTTGGCGAAACTCCGTCTTTACCAAAAATACGATAATTAGCAGGGTGTGGTGGCATGTGCCTGTAATCTAGCTACTTGGGGGCTGAGGCATGAGAATCGCTAGAACCCAGGAGATGGAGGATGTAGTAAGCCAAGATCACGCCACTGCACTCCAGCCTGGGCGACAGAGGGAGACACTGTCTCAAAACAAAAACAAAAACAAACAAACAAAACATATTGTTGTCTTTCCAAAACACATAATCTGCTGGTAACTATGATATACCCTCTGCTGACAACACATGCACCCTTCCTCTCTCCTACTTTTCATTTTCTGTTACTGTTTGTGGCCCCCAATACTCAAGATTTATCATACCAGGGAAAGCAGGTCAAGATTCCATCTAAAAACTGCCTCCCATATTGTGTTCTAGAGTTGTTTGTTTGTTGTTTTTTTTTTTTTTAGTTTTAGTGGTTACAATATAGTTCTGGCATAAAATGGAGGTAATGCAATATTTACACAAATTGTTAATTACTTTAAATGTCAATGACATGAATATTTACATAATCATTATGGATAATTTATATTGGCTCTGAGTTTCTAGTGTCTGACACATGTTAGGTATTTAAAACACATCTACAATGAAGAACATATTGTATATGCATAACTGAGTCTTTTATTCCAAGTTCCATTCTGATGGGCTGGCAGGAAAGTCATTTTTAGTCATTCCTGTGGATTCCTTTCGCCCTACCTCCCAGGGAGGCACCCCAGCTCCTGGCATCCCATAATGGGTACCCTCAGGGCCTATTTGACTGTACAGGCACCACTGAGATGGGCATTGTCCTTGTCAATGTGGCCCACCAGGTCAGCATCTCTGTGGGAATCTTTTGGAAGCCTCCAAACCATTTCAGATCTGGTCCCATTTGTTTATGCCTTTATTCCCTGAGAACCACTTTTTCCTGGGGTCTAACAGCTGCCCTGGGCCATCACCAGGAAACAGCTTTCAAGCTCCACTTCTATGAGGCTGAAAGACATCACTATTTGCCCCCACCGGGAAAATCATTGTCTGTCTATTAACTACCTGTCTCTCTATATCTCTATTATCTATCTATCTGTCTGTCTGTCTGTCTGTCTATCTATCTATCTATCTATCTGTCTATCAATCATTGCTGAGGTCCCACAGTTGCTCTGGGCCATGACCAGGAGACAGCTTTCGAGCCTCACTTCTATGAGGCTGAAAGGCATCACTCTTTTCCGCAGCTGAGAAAATCACTGTCTATCATCTATCTCTCTATATCTCTATTACTTATCAATCAGTCAATTGATCATCTATGTATCTACTTATCGTCTAGCTACCTATCTGCCACCTGTCTACTTAACATCTATCTGTCCATCTACCGATGATATATCTATTTACCTACCTAACATCTATCTATCATCTGTTCGTCTACGTCTTATCTATATATCTATCTCTCCATCATCCATCTACCTGTCATCAGTCTAGTCCAAGGAAACTCTTTTCCCTATTCTGCTCCAAACCTATTGGCTTACTTCTGCACACTTGCTTTTCCTCAGTGACCTTAAGTAAAGCCAGATCTTGCAGATTAGTTCTGTTTTCTTCCATGCAGTACAAAACCCTGCTACTTCCAAATGGAGGATTATAAAGTGAAAAATAAATGGAGATAAATGTTTTCCAATCTGTGGCTGTATTTTTGTTGAAGAAAAAAAAAAACCACTGACAGTCAACTTAGAAATGTACACTGGTTCAGGGTCACTGACCTAAGGATGGAACTGAACTTCAACCCCACATGTGGCTTGTTCATTTGAGTTTCTCATTTTGTTTCATTTTGCCACAATTGAAGCATAATTCTTATGAAGCAGTTTTGGAATTCAAATTTTAGTTGTTTCATTCATGAGTAGTATGACTTTGGGTAAGTCACACAAATTATTTGTGGTCCTGTTTCCTGTTCTGTAAAAGGGGATAAGATTTCCTATCTATAAAAAGTTCAGATAAGATAAAAAGCTCTTATCACATAGTACCTGTTATAAATTAAGCTCATGATAAATGCTTGCTATTGTTATCACATTAGAACTTCTAAGGAAAATAAAGTATTTCATACCTTGTAATGTAGTTTTACATATTGTTAGTTGGGAGGTGACACATCTGAACTTGAAATGAAGAGCACGTGCTGCTTAAGTATGCTTAAGGTTCTTCAGCATTGCAAGTAGCGGGCAAGGGCAGCAGTCTTGCTCTGCCACCTTCAGAACATCTCACACAGGGAAAATGCTTTACATTCAAGTCTACTCTCTACAGAGCCAAAACAGATGCTGGTCATGCGATAGGTATCACTTGATAAATAAAGGAGGTAATGTTTTTGGCATTGTAAATATGGCACATAGATGTCATGAGTTCCATCAGAAAAGGAAAAAAATAATAATGAAATGAGAAAAAATACAAACATGGATGGGTAGAAGAATAAAAACAATGAGATTTTAAAAATAGAAATGCAGGAAAAAAATAAGCTTTATTTTTCTTGGAATTACTGTATTGAACATTCTGGAATACTGATCAGGCAGTAACTCATTAAATAGCAGTGGATCTTGATGTATAAAGCCTAGGTCCATATGGCAAGTCACAGGGTGACAGCCTTCTGGGAGGTAAATTGTCCCCACACGTTTGCCTTTTTAAAACGATTATACAGTGAACTTTTTATTAGGATGTAGGGGCAGATTACCACATGTAAAGGAGTTTCAAGGCAGCTTATCCCATCAAATGAAGACCTAAATGTGTTTGCATATTCTGTGAGGAAAATGTATACTTTATAAGAAAACACAACTTACCTTATATAGTGTTTCATCTTATTAGTTTCAAGTTATCTGTGATTCTCAGTATGTAAGTCCAACAATCAGAATGTAAAATGGAAACCATATTTAACTGAGCTAGGGAAACTTATTTCTTGTTCTTTCTCTACCATCAACCAGTTATGTACTGTTGGCAAAGCAGTGAGAAACATGAAGTCTACGTTTTCCTCATACATGAATTGAAAGGATTGAAATAGATTGTCTTTAAGTTGCATCATCATGTCCTTTCTTAGGGATAATTCAGTAGTATTGATGATATCATTTCACATCCAACTTCATTGGTCCTCCAGACTATCCATGACCTTGATAGAGCTGGGCCTGAGAGAACTGGTATTTATTGGTAAAGAGGAAAAAGGAGAGTATCATGACTCATAGCTCAAGAGAGTCTTTTACTTGCCTCCAAACTCCTTTGAAGTTGAACAAAGATAGATGGGGAGTTTCAGCTCTGAAATTGGGCATTAGTTACAGTCCAGAGAGTAAACGACAGCTCCCTCCATTCTCTTCACCAATTTTAATGAGTAAAATGAGGAAAGTTGGGTATGTTTAAATCTCTTTTGAAAGTGTGGAGCTGCATTTCATATTGTACAGAAGTTTCCCTCAGGTCAAGCACCCTTCTTTTAAATTTCACATGGCTATGCTTGTTAAACTATGAATATGCATCTGATTAATATTTCTAGAAACGAGAGTTTTAAAAAATCTACTGCAACACAATAGCCTAAGAGCATTATGAGATGGACATATTATTGGACCTGAATGGTCTACTGCCACGGATCCTCTATTATCTGCTTTCAGGTAAGAGGCAGGAAAGAAAGAAAGAAAATCACAGAATCAGAGGTCAGCTTTTCAATATGCAGTTACCCGCATTTCAAACACTCAGCTAGCAGGAGAACAAAGCAGAAGAAATAATACACCTTCTTTGAATGAAGGTGCATGGAAGGTGAAGTTAAGAATATCCTCGACTCTGCAAGAGTAAATTATTTTTTAAAATATGCAATGAGACAACTTACTTCAGCTGTAACTACAGGGGTATAAAATTTTATAACTTTTTAAAGTGCTGTTAGGAAAATGGATTATAGAAAGGGGAGGAGACAGAAGCATATATAGATGATAGAAGGAGAGATGAGGCAGGAGATATAGAACATGTACCCAAAGACTTCAAAAAGTACATAGCCTTTGTTGCAGAAATAATTCTCCTTTTTCTGGAAATATGTTTTAATATTAATATACAGGTTGGACATGGTGGTTCACAATAGCAAATTTCAGCACGTTGGCAGGCCAAGACAGGCAGATTGCTTGAGCTCAGGAGTTTGAGACAAGCCTGAGCAACATGGTGAAACTGCATCTCTCCAAAAAAAAAAAAACAATTTTAGCTGGGCATGGTGGTGTGCGCCTGTGGTCCCAGATACTCAGGAGGCTGAAACAGGAAGATCACTTGAGCCCAGGACGTCAAGGCTGCAGTGAGCAGTGATCGTACTACTGCACTCAAGCTTGGGCAACAGAGCAAGACCCTGTCTCCAAAAAAAATTGTTTATATATATGTGTGTGTGTGTGTATATATATATATGCATAAATATTACATATGTTAATTGTACATAGGTATGTATATATAAATATATATAGTATATGTATATATAAATATATAGTATATAGTATATATATAGTACTATATATAAATATATAGGTATACATATATAAATATATGTATATATAAATATATAGTATACAGATGTATGTATACATATATGTATATACTGCATATCAAAAATATTTCAAATATCATTGTATTTAATACACATACACATATAATAAATAATGGTGTGTGTATTTCACATAATTGATTATTCTAGCAGGATAGAAAATCTTGAATTGTAATTGTGAAATTGCTGGAAGTTTAGTGTGGACTAGATTGAGGATTAAAACCTCCAGGGGGGCCTAGTCTTGGAGGTGGAACCCATACCCATGAGTTCTACCTCCTGAACCTTATCAGGTTATCAGGGTATAAGTAATCTGAGAAAAATTTCCTCCTCATTTCAGCAGGGAAGTGGACATATGCACAGAGCATTCTTTTCTTTTAACATACGCAGAGAGCATTCTTTTCTTTTAACATACGCAGAGAGCATTCTTTTCTTTTAACAAAGGACTGCCTTCAAAAGAAACTATTTTACCAGAGCTCAACCACAGTGAGTTTGATCACAGCCTCACTGAACTGTGAAGGTAATAGCCCAGAAGCCTGGGCTCACCAAAGGCAGAAACCTACTACACAGCAACTGGGCATTGGTAAAATAACAGTTGATTACAGCTAAAAGAACTGCCAGGCTCAAGTCATATTTAAGAAGGAGTCTTTATAGAAATGCAGACAACAGGGAAGACAAAAACAAAGACACTAGAGAAAATTTTAGCCTCTGACACCTAAAGCTGCAGCAAACAATAAACAGTCTAACTCATGGCCAGGTAAACATGAAACCTCGTACTGAAGGTCTATCTGCCCCAATTTCTTTCACTCAGTAAATCATGCTGAGCTTTCAACAAAAGACTCAAAAAGCAACAACAACAACAAAAACAACTAAAAGTAACTCAAAAAAGCATAATAAAAAGACAGAGTCTGAAGCAATAAAGCAAGCATCAGAACCAGATATGGCAGAGTTTTAGAATCATCACACTGGGGATTTAAAATAATAATTAATATGCAAAGGGCTCTAATGGAAAAAATGGACAACTTGCAAGAACAGATGGTTTGTGTAAGCAGACAGATGGAAACTCTGAGAATGAAGGGTAGAAATCAAAACACTGTAATAGAAATGAAGAATGCTTTTGATGGACTCATCAGTAGACTGGACATGATCAAGGAAAGAATCAGAAAGCTAGAAAATATGTCAAAAGATACTTCTCAAACTGAAAAGCAAAAGGAAGAAGAATGACTGGGGAAAAAAAAAAGGGACAGAATATCCAAGAAACACAGGCAGCCAGGAAAGGTGTAACATACATGTAATGGGCATACCAGAAGGAAAAGAAGGTAAAGGAACATAAGAAAGATTTGCAGCAATAGTGACTGAGAATTTCTCTCAAATTAATGTCAGACACTAAACCACAGGTTCACCAAGCTCAGAGAACACAGAGAAGAGTAGATTTTTAAAAAATCACCCAGGCATATCATATTTAAACCACAAAAAATGAAAGATGAAGAGAAAATCTTGAAAGAAGCCAGAGGTAAAAATAAATAAATAAATAAACAAAAACCCCTTACCTATAGAGATAGTAACCAAGATAAGAATTGTATTGGACTTATTTTCAGAAACCATGCAACAAAGAAGAGAGTGAAGTGAAATATCTAGTATTGAAAGAAGAGAGCCACCCACCTAGAATTCTATATCCAATGCAGTTAGTTTCCAAAATTGAAAGATAAATAGACTTTCTAAAATAAACAAAATTCAGGGAATTTATCACCAGTAGAGCTGCCTTGCAAGAAGTGGTAAAAGAACATCTTCAGAGAGGGAAAATGATACAGGTCTGAAACTCAGATCTACATGAAAAAAAGGAAAGCATTTGGGGAGTGAATGAAGGTAAAATAGTACCTTTTTTATTTTTAATGGCTCTCACAGATAACAATTTGTTTAAAATAATAACAAGAATGTGTTCTGTAACTATAGCTTATGGATAAGTGAAATGAATGACAGCTATTACAAGGAACAAGAGAGAGGAATTAAGAATTCTGTTATAAAAGATACTTGCATTTCCCATAAAGCAGTATAGTGTTATTTGAAAGTGGACTTTGATTGCAAATGTATATTGCAAACTCAAGGGAAACCATTAAAATGTTAAAAGAAGTGACTCTGAAAGTCAGTTATTTCCCCTTTTTGGCACTTGTGTGTGGTACTGGAGTGATGAATACAAGAATCTATGCATCTGTCATAGACTGCACATGTCAAAGAGTAAATTTCAATGTTTGCAATCTAAGAAATCACAATTAAACCAGATGTCAAGGAATCCAAGAATGGACTGTCAAATGCCAAATGAATCTAATTGTATCACAGATGTAGGAATAACTTCATTGCAGAGAAGAGGAGGAGCTGACCTAAGTCAGCTTGGAAATATTTGGTTTTTGTTTGTTTGTGTTTTAACAGAAAATTATAAGGCTAAAGAGAAAGACTATTTGTAAGTTTGCTTTTCATGATGGCATGGATTAATATATCTTTAACTGCTGTGCATGTATACTGGGGTTGAACAAATAAGAAATAGATGGAGGATGGTTGGAATCAAGTTTCTCACTGTTGGAAAGGGAAGTTGCCAGTAAGCAAGAAGAAATAGCTAGAATGAATGCGTGATGAGTGTTGGATTAGAGTCAGAGACATCAAGTATTAACTTGTGTGTGTGTGAGTGTGTGTGTGTGTGTGTACATGCATACATGTACATATACATATACATACAGATGAAACATGGGGGCATATCAAAGGGATACATGAGCCAACATGAAAAAGCTCCCATTGCCAAAGCTAGACTGATTTGAGCAACACAAATAATATAGTATTGGATTACAATCCATAGGATAAAATAAATCCATAGGATAGAATAAATTCATTTATGATTTATAAATCATAAATAAATGATCACATATTCAAGTAAATAAATGAGAGAAGACACATCATCCTTACATAAGAACCTCATGCTGCATATGTAGATACTCTCCACTAAAAGGTGTGCAGCTTAATCTACCTTCCACACCCTTGGGAGTGGTCTGACTTTGGTAACTCACTTCCAAGAATAGAGTAAGGAGAGAGAAAATTATAACTTCACAATGGAGGAACTTGGCAAAAACTCCTTAACTGAGTGAAGAGGTTAAATCATATGACGTTATGTGGATAATCAAATATCCCCTGATACAACGTGATAAGACAAACTCTAATCATGAGACAATACATCTGCCTTTTACAAAATGGATGACCAGTACTCCTCAAAACTATCAAGGTCATCAAAAACAAACATACTCTGAGAAATTTTCACAGACCAGAGGAGGCTTAAGGGAGGAGCATGACAACGAAATGCAGTGTGGGATCCTGGGTTATACTCTGGAAAAGAAAATGGGCGTTAATGAAAAACTGGTGATATCAAAAGATGGAGTTTATTTATTAGTATATTCCCTGTACTAACTTATTTTTTTTTAACAAACATACAGTGGTAAGGCAAGATGATAACGTAGGGAAAACTAAAACTGAATGATGGATGTAGGGAAACTACTACCCCATACTCACTCAAAACTTTTCTGCAAATCTAAAATCATTCGAACAAACTTATTTTTTAAAAAAACTATTGTGCAGTGTTAATTTTTTAAAAATTTTATTGTGTAGAATATGGGCTCAATATATTGGTAAATAAAAGTTTTACATTTGTAAATAGCTTAGTATAATTTCTGGTACAATGTCAATAATTTGTAATACAGTAGTTTAAGGTAACAATTAAAAAGTAATGATAAATTTGTCCTTGATTGAGGAATCACACTGAGTTCTTCATAGTAAACACCTTCAAGTCAAAACCCAATATTGATTTTAGTGAGCTTGTTTTCAGCATGTAGGCAGGTTTCTTCCCACAAGTATTCCCTTGGCTAATAAGAGCAGCTCTAACATGTCTCAGAAAGAATTATACAGCAAGGAAATTCAAGCATACTTTTTAAAAATATATGCATTTATATACTTTTCCTTAGATTTCTACTGTCATTGTATCTTTCTTTTCCTTTTGTGCTAAAATTAGTTTTTGGTGTTTAATGTGTGTTTTCTAAGCTGTACTTGTTTTGGATGTTGGCATGGGCTGTTCAAGAAATCATCAAACTTTAATTTTCCTAGTATTCCATTACACACTGGGACACATGCAAGTTGACTTTAGAATTCTTCATTAATTAAAGTCATAGATGTTTTTACATGTGAGGTGGAAGGAACACGAAACTCAATTTAAATTCCAATGTTACACTGTATCTGAAAAACAAGTTTATAAAAAGAATGTGAAGGACTGACAGAATTTTCAAATGCATGTTTTTTTTTTCTTTTTTCTTTTCAACTTTGTGCTTCAGATGAATTTTCTGTGAACATACTGTCGGAGTGAAGGATTTCATGTTTCTTAGCTGCAATACTATTTCACAGAACATGGAAATCAGAGACAGAAAAGAACTATGAAATCATCGAGTCTGCTCCCCAACACTACAGGATCCCTCCCTCCATGTATTTTTCGTTGTTTTGTCGACTTTGAAATGACTCAAGCAAGGAGGTTTCCATCACTTCCCTTGGGAGAATTTTCAACGGTTTCATAGCCCTCACTGTTAAGATTGCTTTAATTTTCGTTTGCTCAATTTTCCTTTGCATAATTTTATTTTGTCTTTCCCAGTTACACTCCCTTGGATGTCCACTCCTACTTGCCCCAATACTTAGAGGGAGTTATCATTTGTTTGTCATCTAAGGCATGGGTTTCGTTTTTTTATTTTTTTTTTCTAATCTCCACTGTAGTCTGAAATTCAACACCCAGAGTCTTCCTTAATTATTCTCATTGACTTCCTTTAGAGACAATTAGATTTTAGTCAGTTAACATCAAATCGATTTCAGCTAAATATAACTAAATTATTAGCACTTCATTTATTCTGTAACTCTATACCATGTGTTTGATATATTCTTGGATAAAAAGCAGCCTCTTCTGCAATATTTTTAACACTTATTTAGTCTAGCACTATGCTAAACATTGTGCAAAGGGGAAATACACATTGCTTTTTTTTGTGAATTTAAATCCAAAATTCGATAGCCCCCACCATGGCAGGAGAGACATAGGCCATTTCCAGACAACCAGTTGGCCTGATTAGAGGGTGTATTAGACCATTTTTGCGTTACTAAAAAGAAATACCTTTGACTGGGTAATCAATAAGAAAAGAAGTTTAATTGACTCACAGTTCTGCAGGCTGTACAAGCATGGCACCAACATTGCTCAGCTTCTGGGGAGGCCTCAGGAAGCTGTTACTCATGGTCAAAGGCAAAGTTGGGGCAGGCACATTACACAGCAAAAGCAGGAGCAAGAAAGAGAGGGACAGAATGAGGAGAGGGGTGCCGCACACTTTTAAACAACCAGATCTGGTAAGAAATCACTCACTATCCAAGGACAGCACCAGGGGGATGATGCTACACCATTCATGAGAAATCTGTCCCCATGATCCGATCTCCTCCTGCCAGGACCCAGCTCCAACAATAGGAATTACAATTCAGGACATTTGGGTGGGGACATAGATCCAAACCATATCAGAGGGTTACCAATTTTTCAACTATACATATGCTTCTATGTTTTTCTAGGAAATTCATAAGACTATAATAGAATAGGTTATGATTTATTTCAAATGAAGGACATCTTGTCAACTGTTACAAATTTAAAGATATTTTCAGTAATTTTAAAACTTTATCTTTTCATATTAGAAACTTAACTGTGTTGCTTTTATTAATGACATGGGAATTAGGGTCCTCCCCTAGGGAGCAGTGTGAGATCAGAGGCATCAACTAAAACGTATTTAGCCTGAAGCAACTGAAATCTGAGGGTCCTTCAATTTCTTGCCTCCTTCCACCCCATTAGTACTCAGAGTTGCCGGGAATATTCTCAGGTATGTATGTGTGTGGGGTGGAGGACAGGACGATTTGCAGTGAGAGAGTATTTCTATGTAAGCATACTTGGTCAATTGCCCAAAGATAGCTCTGAAAAAGACTGAGACCTAAATCTCTAATGTTCTAAAAATGTATTATTATTTATAAATGTTTTTACCAAGGAAGATTACTCAAATTGCCAAAGCTTTAGGTCACATTACTGTAAACTCATTGCTATAGTTTGGATATTTATCCCCTCCAAATCTCATGTTTAACTTTGATTCCCAATGTTGGAGGTGGGGCCTAGTGGAACGTATTTGGATCATAGGAATAGATCCCTCATGAACATCTTGGTATTGTCCTTGTGGTAACGAGCGACTTCACACTCTATTAGTTCAAGGAAGAACTGATTGTGGAAGAGCCTGGCACCTCCCTCCTCTCTCACGTATCCTCTCTTACCATGTGACATGCTGGCTCTGCTTCGCCTTCCACCATGATCAGTACCTTCCTGAGGTGTTCACCAGAACCAGATGCTGGCTCCACACTCCTTGTACAGTGTGCAAAACTGTATGCCAAATAAACCTCTTTTTCTTTATAAACTAACCAGCCTCGGGTATTCCTTTATTACAATACAAAATGGACTAAGACACTGATTTTTGTTGAGCTGTTCACAATAAGGGACTCTCTAAACCACAGCATCAGCCAAGATGAAGCTTCCACTCATTGACCAGAAGTTAAAGGAAGTCATCTATTATATTTGTCCCTCTATCAAGAGGGAAGAATCCCAGAAATGTATTATGAAATTCTCATGTCAAAATCAATCCATCCAGACTTGGATAGACAGTCATTTTATTCCCTAAATTATTACAAGTTCTGGTAGTTCTACAATTTTAATTTAAAAAAATCAAACCCTAAGTGACCTTTATACAGAACTTCCTGAGCTACAAACTCCCCTTTTTTTTCCTTAACACATTACCCATCATTCACTATAAAATTAAGAGTTCTGTGGAACATATTCTGGGAAATATTTCACCAATGCATCTCCTACAAATCTAACATGGTGAATTTTACACAGTAAAACTTAAAGCATGCATTTAATTTATTTGATTATAATATAAAGAGGTAAAAATTCTATAAAAATCTACATGACACTTAATGAATAGGAGTCCCTATTTCTTAATTACTAAACTGAACAAACACACCATGACACAGACAAAAGGAGTTAGATCTAAAGGTTATTTTGCTCCTGAATGATTTCATGGGGTTTATAAGCCCTACTTGACCTTGAGTGTCCTATTCTTGAATGTCTTTTTCCACCTGAAGTATACTGAGCCAATCACCCCACACCGCCACCTGGGTGATAAATCATGCAGAATTACTGTCTGCCTCAAGCCTCACCAGAGGTTTCCTGAAATGCCATCTGGGCTAATGTTACTTATCCAGCTGTATTTCTTAAATCTTTAATTAGCAACAGGTTTTTTGTATGAGGACAGAATGAAACCCCTGGGCTACTTCATGTGCCAGTGAACCTCACATGCTCCTGGGAAGGTTGGATACAAATATGTTCTCTTTGCATTCTCCCTCCATAAATGCTCTTTGTTGGAGTCAGGGGAAAAAAATTGTTCTGGTACAAGACAAAGCCTCCACAGTTAAAGAAAACACTAGTTAATCTATAAAGTCCTAATATCCACATGATTTTGTCCATAAAATCAGATAATTTGGAAGATGAATATATTCTTGCTGATTTCACATCTACTTCTCTCAGCTTTTAAAAGAGGAAGAATTGAAATCTCCAACAATGATTGCTAATTAGTCTATTTCTTCTTGCAATTCTTTCAGCTTTTGCATACATTTTTTGAAGCTTTTTGTTAGGTAAGTGAACCATTATAACTATTATACCTATTGATAAATTCACTCCTTTATTGTTCTGAAAAAATATTCTTTATTTCTGGTAATATGTATTTCCTCTCTGAAATATAATTTGAATGATAATATAGTCACTCCAGCTTTCTTTTATAACTGTTTCTAATCTTGTCATTTTAATCTACTTGTATCTTTATATTCAAGTGTATTGAGGTACTAGAAGTGCTGCAGTATATACCTAAATCTTGCTTTTCAATTCAATCTGACAATCTCTGTCTTTTAATTAGGTTGTTTAGACCATTTACACTTATTGGGATTTTTGCTACCATTTGGTTTATTATTTTGCTATTTGTTTTCTATTTGGTTCATCTGCTCTTTGTTCCTCTTCTTCTGCATTATTTTGATTAAATTTTAAATAATTTCCTTTTTGCCATGACTTTTAGTTTAGTTATTTAGTGGTTGCTTTAGGATTTATAATATATATCTTTTACACATCACAGTCTACCTTTAGGTGATTTATACTACTTTTAGTATAGTACACAAGCCATAGAATCATAACTTGTACAGTATCCCTTCCAAACCTCCGTTTTTCTTGTTGTACATTTTACTCATGTATGTTATAAATTCTATAATATATTCATACTTTCATTTAAACAGTCAGGAACATTTTAAATATATTTAAATAATAAGAAAACAACCTTATATTCTTTACCCATGTAGTTACAATTCCAAGTGCCCCTTATTCCTTTAAGTAGGTGCATATTTCATCCAGTGTTATTTTCTTTATGCCTGAAGAAGGAAATAATACAGGTCTTTTGGTGATAGATTCTGTCAACTTTTGTATGTGTAAAAATTTTCTTACTTTACCTTCCCTTTTGAAAGATATTTTCATTGTGTATATAATTCTGGATTGACAGGTGTTTTTATTCAATGCTTTGAAAATGATGCTCCACTCTTTTTTTTTTTTTTCTTGTATTCTTTCTGATGAGAAGTGTGCTGGCATCCCTATCTTGTGTTTCTATGTATGTAGCATGTGTTTTATTATTCTGGCTTCTTTTTAACATTTTCTCTTTATTACTAGTTTTTGGAAATTTAATTGCAATGGACTTTGATGTAGTTTTCTTCATCTATCTTGTACTTATGCTACATTAAACTTCTTGCATACAGTGATCTATAGTTCAGCTTTGCAAAAATATTGAAAATAAAACTCCTTTTATTGGTTCAAATACCCACCCTTCCATTTCCCTTTTCCTTTGGAAAATGTAATTACATGTATATTGGACCACCTGAAGTTGTCCTTCAGCTCACTGATGCTCTTTTCATTTTTGTTTCCTCTCTGCAATTTATTTTTATTCATCTCTGTTTTTACATCACCAACCTCACTAGTCTTTCCTTCTATAATGCATAAACTACTGTTAATTTCATTTAGTGTATTTTTCATCTCAGATAATGTAGCTTTCATCTGGAGAAGTTATATTTATATTTTTTCATATATTTTATTCCACTATAAATGAAATTATGAAAAATAATTATAACTATTTTAATGCCCTCTTTTTCTAATTCTAGCATCTGAGTCAATTCTGGATCATTTTTGATTTGTTGATTTATCTTTCTGCTTTCCTGCTTGAGTGCCTGGTAATTTTTTATTTGATGCTAATCATTGTGATTTTACCTCATTAGTGGCTAGATATATTTTCTTTCCTATAAATATTCTTGAGGATTTTCCCCCTGAGATGCTGTTAAATTACTTGAAAACAGTTTGATATTTTGAAGTCTTGATTTTAAGATTTGTTAGAGTGTACCAGAGCCGTATTTAATCTCAAGTTAATTATTCCCCACTATTGAGATACCACCATTCTGAGCATTATACCCAGTATCTCATGAATTATGAGAATTTCCAGTCTGGCAGGTAGGAAAAGCCACTGTTCTTAGCACTGTGGTAAATGGGGCAATATTCTCTCTAATACTCTCAGGTGATTCTTTCCTTAGCCTCAGGTACTTCCTTCACATGCATTGAATTCTCTAAGCAATATTCAAGGAGGACCCTCTGCAGATTTCTGAAGTTTTCCTGTATGTAGCTCTTTCTTCTTTGGTATTCTGTCCTTCCAATTCTTGCTGCCTCACTGTACCTGGGCTCTCAGCTCCATATTCTTATCTCAGGGATTTTGCCAGATTCTGCACTATGCACCATGGCCTGGAAATTCCCTCAAGACATTAAGCTAGGGAAATCACGGGGCTTGCTTAACTTGTTTTCCATCTCTCAGGAATTCCTGCACTTACCACCTGATATTTAATGTCCTAGAAATAGTTCCTTCACATAGGCTTCCTGGTTTTTATGATAGTTTTAAGTGGCAAGGTAAATCTGGTCTCCGTTACTCCATTTTAGCCAGACCTGGAGATCTCTCTTTTACCAAAATTTTAATGAAGTCTTAAAAATAGTGAGGTACAACATAAATATTTACGATGATTATTAAGTAAGACTTAAACAATCACATTAAATCCTTAACAGGCTAAACATTTATCCATTTCACAACCTATTTCCATTTATGCAGTGCCAAGTCCCCAACAACCGCCAGGGGCCTCAAAATCCAAAAGAGTCCGGTATTCAGGGAAAGAAATCTGTCTTTACTGGCCATGCCATTATTTTTTGCCTTGAATTTACAGCGTCCTTGAATGTCAGATATTGGAAATATCTATTTTCTTCAAAGGAATCCTTACCCCCAGCCCTGGGGATGCACAAACATACCTCTTATTATTTTATGTACTGCATGTTAAGTAGCATTTAATGTGGGGGACTAATACTTCATCCTGTTCGTGCTGTTCTTCTGGGTCATCCAAGACTAGCTCAAAATCATTCTTCAATATTAGAACAAAATACCTATATATTCCCTATCAGGAGTGCATATAGCATCACTCCCTATCCAATTCATAACTGTCAGAGAATAATGTGTTAGTTTGCTAGGGTTGCCATAACAAATTGCTGCAAACTTGGTGGCCTAATACAACAGAAATGTATTCTCTCACATTTCTGCAAACCAGAAGCCCGAAATCAAGATGCCAGCAGTGCCTCTCTCCCTCTGAAGTTTCCAATGAAGAAGCTCTGCTTGCCTTTGCTGGCTCCTGGGGGCTGCTGATGTCCCTTGGCTCGTGGCAACATCACTCCTCAGTTTGTGCTCTTCAGAGTTTCCCAATGACTGGGTGAAGCTCACCTACATAATCATGGGTAATTTCTTTTCCCTAAAGTCAACTGATTGTAGGTGTTAAACACATCTTCAAAATACCTTCACGGAAACTCTTAGTCTATGAATACATAACTAGCCTAGCCAAGCTAACACATGAAACTAACCACCACAAAACCTATTTGCTGAACTTGTCCACCTTAATATGGCATCTGGGAAACTCAGGGATCTGCGAAAATATTCTTAGCGGTCCTCAAATTCTAAATAATTAAAAATGTGTTTTTATAAAATAACAATTCTTTCTCAAAATTATTTTACTGGTTTCAAAGAGGAAAGTTCCTTTTTTGAACATAATGACATGTTGAAACACATTTTAAAATATGAAGAATATCTCCTTTGATTTGAAATGTAGAAGTCTACTCCCTGAAGGCCAGCCACAGAGTTAGTGGTGTCCACTTCAGATTCCTTACTCACTTTACAGCCAGGCTTTATGAGATGGGAACTGACAATTGCCTAATGGAAACTTCAGCGTCCTTTATCTCTACTTTGTCTCCAAGGTGATACTTACTTGGGCTCTATCTGAAAGTCTGGCCCACGTTTTGCTGTTTGTCTTGAACTCAGCACAGCCTAGTCACCAATTCTGATTCTAAATCATGACACTTCAACCCCAGTCTCCCTGATTCTCAAGTCCCATCCCCATTTGGTATAAAGTAATACTATCCTTTGCTTACTTACCCCAATTTTAAGATTAGATAGGTGCACTGTATTTGCGAAAAAAAAATAGCCTAATAGTGAACCCCACAGATGATTATAACTGCTGGTCAAGAATGACAACAACAATTCTTCTGAACATGCAAGTGAAAAACACACAGGTGGTAACCAGTACTCCTTCACCTGCTGGCCTTGGTGTGTCTTAGCGGAACTGGATTCAGAGGATTTGATTATAACTCAACTCATCATCCTGTACTTATTCTTAATTAGAAAAATATGAAAAAAAAATGCTGCCTCCATCTATCTCATGGACAAGGCAAAATGACATCAACCTTCTGAGAAACATCTTCTTTCACAGTCTACACGGGTTTAATCTCTCCTTGGATGAGCTCTTAAAACACACTTGCACAGAAATCAGAAAAGTCACTCTGTGATCTCGGTCTCCAGATCTTTTTCAACTACAGACTTTGTCAAATAGCCAGAAAAGTACAAAACCAAATCCAGGGACAGAGGCCAAACTTATCTGGCATCAATAGATGTGTGGGGAAAAAAAAATCCCTGCCACTAGCAGAATGGGTGTGAAATCCCTGTTTCATACAGACAGTCAGGACGGATGGCCAGTTTTTCCTCTTTATTGTAATAAAACTAAAACATTGATAAATAAAAGGAGAGAAACAACCTTTTTATTTTACTTACTTGTTTTTAACATCTACATGTTCGAACCTGCACCCATGACCCTGTAGTTTTATAAGACTTACCAAAAAAAAAAGAAAAGAAAAATTAAATATAGTCCAGGTAGATAAGATCCTTGACTCTGTGTGTGGTTGCCCATACAGTAATGGAAAGCTTGTCTCCTCAAAGTCACCATCTTACTGGTTACCGCCATCACTCTACCACTCTTCACGAATATCCAGGTTTCATTCTTATTGAGGGATTGCTTATCCCAATACCAAGGTCACGTGTGGCCATATGGCTTTTCTTCATTTTCTCTAACATGGCTGCCAACAAATGACATGTAGAGGTTGGCCTGGAGGCCTGAGAATACAGCAGCACTATCAGCTGACCTGAGAGGAACATCGAGTAGTAGAAAGGAATAAGCCAGTGGTGTTTTACGACCCTGGAATCTGTGGTTACTTTGTACCCGTGGTATCCCCTAGCCTATCTGGACTGCTATCCTTTACTGCTGAACTTCATACCCACCTTAGAAGACACCAACAGCATCTACCTATTTGCCCCACCCCTCCTATTCCTTTGTCAAAGCCATTGTCCACATTGCTGCCAGTGTCAGCCTTATGGAATCCAAATTTGTTTGTGCCTTATTAAAATTGCCCTATGAAATACAGCCTAAAGCCAAAATCCATTGCATAGAAAACGTCAACCATGATCTGCCACCTGATCTGCAACCATGATCTGTTGCCAGTAGATTGCTCTCCCTCATCTCCCCAGAACGTTGGCCCTCATGTTCATCTTCTCACTGTGCTTGGGTTGCCGCCTTCCTTTCTTATCTCAATTTGCTGATGAAGTGTCCTCTGCCTGGAGGACAAATCTTTGCCAGTCCTCCTGTAAAGCCTTACCCATTCCTCAAACTCTGCCCAGATCCCTTCAATTCTATGACATTCTCCTTTGTACAGCCATCACCAACACTATCATAGTATCTTAAATACAGCTCTAATATTGAATTTGGTGTTTGAATTTGTAATTTTGTGTGTATGGATCAGTCTCTTTATGGAGAATGTGTGTTCTCTCAAGGTATTGTTTCCCCAGTTAGAACAATATAACTCAAAGATTGAGTCCTTTGCTTAAGATTAAGCAGTGGCGGGTGCCTGTAGTCCCAGCTGCTCGGGAGACTGAGGCAGGAGAACGGCATGAACCCAGGAGGCAGAGCTTGCCGTGAACTGAGATAGCGCCACTGCACTCCAGCCTGGACAACAGAGCTAGACTCCATCTCAAAAAAAAAAAAAAAAAAAAAAGATTAAGCAGTTTGGCCAGGTGTGGTGGTTCACACCTGTAATCCCAGCACTTTGTGAGGCCGAGGCGGGTAGATTGCCTGAGGTCAGGAGTTCAAGACCAGCCTGGCCAACATGGTGAAACCTCGTCTCTAGTCAATATAAAAATTAGCCAGGCGTGGTGGCGCATGCCTGTAATCCCAGCTACTTGGGAGGCTGAGACAGGAGAATTGCTTGAACCCAAGAGGCAGAGGTTGCAGTGAGCCAAGACTATGCCATTTCACTCCAGCCTGGGTAAGAAGAGCGAAAGTCCATCTCAAAAAATAAAAATAAAAAAAATAAGCAGTTAATAAATTCCAGTGCCACAACCCGAACCTGAGTCTACAGCACATGCACTTTTTTATATGTGATGCCTTTTTCCAACTGAAGTCAGGTGCCCCATGGTCTTGTCCTTTTTCTGCAGGCTGTACACTAAAGCAGTAACTCACAATGTTGCTGGAAGCATTTGAGACACTTTAGGGCTGAGTATTTTGCCACTTCCTCAACAGCTGTTTATTTATTACCAGCTGATTCTGTGAACACAATCTTGGTGATCTACAGAGTCAGGATGAGATCAGACAAGAGGCTTGGGATATTCAGCCACCTCTCTAGCTGCTTTTCTGTAAGGCTTTTGTGGATTTAGTGTCTAATTTTTTAATAAATTAAAGTTTGATTGAGGCCAGGCACAGTGGCTCATGCCTGTAATCCCAGCACTTTGGGAGGCAGAGGCAGGTGGATCACTGGAGGCCAGAAGTTTGAGACCAGCCTGGCCAACATGGTAAAACCCCATCTCTACTAAAAACACAAAAATTACCTGGGCATGGGGGCAGGTGCCTGCAATCCCAGCTACTTGGGAGGCTAAGGCGTGAGAATCGCTTGAACCCCAGAGGCAGAGGTTGCAGTGAGCCCGGATCATTCCACGGTACTCCAGCCTGGGCGACAGAGCGAGACTCTGACTCATAAATAAAAAAGAAATTGAAAAAGAGATTGATCGGGATGTATCAGGGTTTTTAGACCCTTTTTGATGAGATAGAGTGAACAATGTACCTTTCCCTGAAGATCTGTACTCTAGTTCTTTACTAGGTCACTAACTAGTTTGGGCCCAGCATCAGACCAGTATGTCTCTGGATGAAAAACAAACATCATTTAGGTGGTCCACAGGGTCTCTAGTAGCAATAACCCGGCATGAGTGTAATGGTGTGGATCATCCAACAAATGACAGTAAGCATTTATTGAGGACCTACTGTGCATGAGATATCAGGGTCGAAGACAGGGGCCTGCTTATAAAAGTTTTTTTTTTTTTTTTGAGATGGAGCCTCGCTCTGTCACCCAGGCTGGAGTGCAGTGGCGCCATCTCGGCTCACTGCAATCTCCGCCTCCCAGGTTCAAGCAATTCTCCTGCCTCAGCCTCCTGAGTAGCTGGGATTATAGGTGCCCGCCACTGTGCCCAGCTAATTTTTGTATTTTTAGTAGAGACAGGGTTTCACCATGTTGGTCAGGCTGGTCTCGAACCCCTGACCTCGTGGTCCACCCGCCTCGGCCTCCCAAAGTGCTGGAATTACAGGCGTGAGCCACTGCGCCCGGCCTGCTTATAAAAGTTTTAATCTAGTATTCCTATACAAAGGCTTAAAGGTATTGTTGATAAACTTCACTTTTTCTACACTGCAACTTCCCTCTCTGTATTTCAGGTTAGTAATTCCAAAGCTTTACAGCCAGCATCTTCTTGTTTATTGCCAATGGCACCCTTGGTGGGTCCCTGTGGAGTGACTGTGGGGAAATTAAATGTTTTCATGCTGGGTGCAATCCTTCAAAGAAAGTTCTTGCCTGAGACAAATTTTCTCCAAAGGTTGTAGTTAGTAATTTGCTTCCTGTTAATAATTCTACACACATTGATCTCACAGCAGCTGGTGATTATTTGGCACAAAACCCTCTGGGTTTATTTTAAATTTAGAAAAAATTTTGCTCTAGTACCTGCTTCCTGCTTAGGCATTTCCTTGGGAGACCAGAATATTCCAAATAATTTGATGAAAATGACCAGTGTTCTCAACAACAACAAAGCCTCAAACTTTTCATCCAGCTGCCCACAGGAACAAGAAAAAAAAAATGTTTCTATTCAACTGAATTCCTTCAGGCTGTTTCAAGAATAAAGCCATTTATAGCTTCATCCCAGTTCACTGAGGCATACACTGCTAAAATGAGGCATTTGCTTTTCAACACCAGCCTCTCTTTTTTTGCCCTTCTTGCCATCTCCCCTCAAAAAAGAATGTCTCTTTGTCACTAAGTGCCTACTATCTGTATTGGGAGCACATTCAATGGTAGGATTGAAGCTGCATTCAGGCAATTTTGTATTGCTTAGTGTGGCATCTTCCGCAGCTAAAGGATAGAGTAGGTGCTGGGTATACAGTAGGCACTCAAACATTATTGGTTGTGATTTATCAAGCAGACCAAACCACATTTTCTACTGAATCATTATCTCTTGTCAAATATCAAAGATTTATGTGGATGTAATACAATGGCTGCTTCTCTAAATAAAATGATTGCCAGTGCACTCTATAGGAGACATTCAGGGTTTGTCAGAGACAATAGCACACCTGAAGGTATGCAAATTTCCTAACTGGTTACCTTACCCTCAGGAACTTCAACAATTCATCCACTTAACATCACCTCTAAAGTGGGACATTTCTGTATATCACATTCATCTTTGTATTGTCTTACTCTAAAGTCATTAATGCTCCTATTGTCTTCTAGGTGAGTTAAAATTTCAACAAGCACCTATCATTCCCAGCCAGAAATTTATACCACAAATGCACATGTTCACTCTTTCCTCCCTCTACAGGATGGTCTTCACTTTTACTTCACTGATCAAACATTTATTTTCTTCTTCCAGGGGCATCTCAAGTAGTACCTTCTCCAAGAAGCCTTCTCTAACCAATGGGCAAAAGCAAGCACTCCTTCTTTCAGAGACTCCTATGAAAGTCATTTGTACCATTCATTTTGGTCAAAGGCATGTGTTGAGGAAAGTGCATAGTATTTGGAGTAGAATAGTTAAAATTGAATTCCTAATTAAGACTATTGGCCAATAATTGTGGCACCTTGAAAAAGCCTCTTACTTCCTTTGTATGACAGTTTCCTAATTTGTGAAGCAGTAATAATAGTATTATGTGATTCTTAACACCTTGTGCGAATCAAACCAGGTCATGATTATGGCTTGTAAAGTGCTATGCCATTGCTCATTTTCATTCTATGTCAGATGCTCTCCATACTGGAACGTGTCAGCTGGTCAATTAGAATCTGCTTCTTGGATACAGGAACTGGGTTATTTTGTCTTCCACAGTCATGAATGCTACCAGGATTACTTGACTTGAAGTAGAATGAAACTGAGAAACATTTAAAGAACCTACTGTGTGTGGTTTAGCACCTCTGTCTGCAATGGGCGGGGCTCTCACACGGTGGTGGGCAAGACAGGTGAGGAAACAGATGAGAGCCCTGCTGTGGGCCATGCTTGATAGTGAATGTGCCGGAGAGATAGGGATTAGGTGCTTCACAAAGACAATCACCTTCAAATTCCATTCTAAAGGGTGATTATGACCCTCAGGTAGAGAAAATAAAGAAGGGCATATTAGGAATGGAGCTAGAAATAACACACACAAAGGCCCAGAAGCCCACAGAGGGTTCATGTCAAGAAAGTGCTGAGATAGCATGACCGAAGAGGATCTCGGTTACAAGAGTACCGAGAGATGGCAAGGAACAGTATGAGTTCTTCATAGCAATGAGACCTCATGACCAGCTCAAAAGATATTATACTGTCCTTGTCCACCTTTTCATGGTCCTTAGCATGAGTGGGCCTTTGTTTTTTCTGGTCCTCCTTTCTTTACCTAGGGTGTGGTAGAGTGTGAATTACTATGACTGGTTTACCCACCCTTGCACTTAACCTGTCCATCTAGTTCCTGCAGCCTCACTCCTTTTCCATTTAATCCCTGTAATCATTGTACATTTCAGATATAATTCTTGTTATTTAACCTTGGAAAATTTTACAAAATACAACCCTACCTAGAGACCTACAAGAACAACAATAGTAATAAAAAGCACACTCATCCTGAGCCTCCTGTAACCCTTGAAACACATCTCTTATCAGAGGAAGGAAATAAATTAATCCTTGAAGACACTGAGGTCCAAAAGAAGTTTTAAAGAACATGCTGTTGGGTTTAGTAAATGCATTTAAGAATACCTGTGAAAAATCCTATTTGAACTAGAAAAATGTAAGCATACACACACAAAGGCTGATCTTCCCTGAGTGGGAGTAGATCATTTATGTTGTGGGAAAACAGATATTGTCTAGATAATGCTTAGATAGGACTTGAAGGCTCCAAATGCTGTCAACAAAAGAAAATGGAGAACTAGTTTTATATGACCCAAAAACTCATAGATCTAAGCTATGATTTAACGTTTCAACTTTCCATGGTTTTCCCATTGATATCAAAACATCTCTTGTCAATTAATCTTCAGCAAGTAGAGCATGTTCAATTTGATCTTTACTAGAAAATGCAATGTACCACAGGGAATCAGGAGATGTGGTTTCACTAAAGTAACAGTTAAACACATTGGTTCATTAGTCATTTTGGCAACATCCCAACAAAAGCCCAGGTTGGCCTATGAGACTCAGTTGTACCAGGTTGGAAAGTATTAGCCCTTTGTCAGATGGATAGATTTCCAAAATGGAAAGTAAAAATCTGAAATTACAAACTCTGAAATAGGCTAAGAAACCATCAGACAGAGTACTCTGGGTTTCTTGGGAATCTTACTTTAGAACAGGGAAATGAAATAAAATTTACAATGGGATTTATTCTGAACCTTTTTTAGATTTTGGTCAGCAGTACTATATTCTGTCAACTGTTTAAGTCCCAAGTACTCACTGATTAATCCATTTATTCACTCAAGTGGCATTTCCTATGGAACTCCCCTATTTTATATAAATATGAAACAAGGAACATCACAGGAAGTGCAAAGAAAGACATTACTACTCCCACACTCAGTATGAGTCCCCTTTACTAGTGTATTCTAGACACTCACATGCAATAAACATAACACATTTGTGGGAAACACACCATGTGGTGATGCTTAATGAGCCATACCCTTGTGGAATACCCTTCCCTTCAGTGTGGATAGGACTCATTACTTGCTTTCAACCTATGGAATATGGCAAAGGTGATGGGATATCACACTACTTATTAGGTCATGCTATATGACAAAGGTGAACGATATCACTCCATAATTACTTTACATCATAGGAGACTATGACTCAGTGGACTGGAGAGAAATATTTTCCTATAGTCTTAAAGAAGCAAACAGCCATTCTGTAAAGCACCTACGGAGAGGACCAAGTGGCAGGGAACTACAGTGGCCTCTAAGATCAGAGAGTAGCCAATAAGAAGCTGAGGGCCTCTGTCATACAACCATTGGAAACAAATTCTAGAACAACCGGAATGAACATGGAAATGGACCCTTCCTCAATGAGCCTCAGGAGGAGAACACAACCTAGATGAAACCTTGGTCTCAGCCTGGCTGCCTGATAAGACCTGGGCAGAAACCCAAGGTAAGCTATACCTGGCCCACATAAACTGAGCTCATGCATGCGTTATCCTAAGAACCTATGTTGGTAATAACTTGTTATGTGCAAAAGAAAAGGAATACATCCTGGATCCTAAGATTCCACTTTACAAGATGTAAAATCAATGTAGCCATCTTAACAGAATATTATGAATACTGCACTGAATCTACACTGAGAAAGAGAACTGAACAATTGAAAAAACACATATTAATGTTAACAGGTGCTTTGCTAAATGTGGTATAGCATTAGGTATTTCTCCTAATGCTATCCCTCCCCTAGCCCACCACTCCCCAACAGGCCCCGGTGTGTGCTGTTCCCCTCCCTGTGTCCATGTGTTCTCATTGTTCATCTTCCACTTATGAATGAGAACAGGCGGTGTTTGTTTTTTTGTTCCCGTGTTAGTTTGCTGAGAATTATGGTTTCCAGCTTCATCCACAGGCCCTGCAAAGGACATGAACTCATCCTTTTTTATGGCTGCATAGTATTCCATGGTGTATATGTGCCACATTTTCTGTATCCAGTCTATCACTGATGGGCGTTTGGGTTGGTTCCAAGTCTTTGCTACTGTGAATAGTGCAGCAATAAACATATATGTGCATTATAGTAGAATGATTTATAATCCTTTGCGTATATACCCAGTAATGGGATTGCTGGGTCAAATGATATTTCTTGCTCTAGATCCTTGAGGAATTGCCACACTGTCTTCCACAATGGTTGAACTAATTTACACTCCCACCAACAATGTAAAAGCATTCCTATTTCTCCACATCCTCTCCAGCATCTGTTGTTTCCTGACTTTTTAATAATGGCCATTCTAACTGGCATGAGATGGTATCTCATTGCGGTTTTAATTTGCATTTCTCTAATGACCAGTGAGGATGAGCTTTTTTTTTTTTCTATGTTTGCTGGCCACATAAATGTCTTTTTTTGAGAAGTGTCTGTTCATATCCTTCACCCACTTTTTGATGAGGTTGTTTGCTTTTTTCTTGTAAATTTGTTTAAGTTCCTTGTTCATTCTGGATATTAGCCCTTTGTCAGATGAATAGATTGCAAAAATTTTCTCCCATTCTGTAGGTTGCCTGTTCACTCTGATGATAGTTTCTTTTGTTGTACAGAACCTCTTTAGTTTAATTAGATCCCATTTGTCAATTTTGGCTTTTGTTGCCATTGCTTTTGATGTTTTAGTCATGAAGCTTTGCCCATGCCTATGTCCTGAATGGTATTGCCTAGGTTTTCTTCTAGGGTTTTTATGGTTTTAGGTCTTACATTTAAGTATTTAATCCATCTTGAGTTAATTTTTGTGCAAGGTGTAAGGATGGGGTCCAGTTTCAGTTTTCTGCATATGGCTAGCCAGTTTTCCCAACTGGCTGCGACATCTGTCACCCATTGATCTCCAGGGTTGATTTGGCCAATCTGGCTCGCTAGGCGGGTGTCCCCTTCCTCCCTCACTGCTCCACGTGCACCCCTCCTGAAGCTGCATGCTCAGTTGAAGAGGATGAACATCCCCAATAGAGGAGGACGGGTCTTTGGTCAAGTGTACATGAGTAGCTGCGCTCCCCTTCTAGAATCTCCAAACAAGCTCTCAAACTTCCTAATTTAAGAATGAAAGGGAGATATGACTAAGACACATAGAAGTTTAAAAGCATAATAAAGGAATCCTATGAGCAACTCTATGCCCATGAATTCAACAACCTAGATGAAAAAGAACAATTCCTTGAAAGTCACAAATTACCAAACTTCACCAAAGAAATAGGCAATATGATATTTCCTTTATCATATAGATAAATTAAATCCATAGTTTAAAACTTTCCAATAAAGAAAACTCCAGGCTCAGATGGTTCCAACAGAAAATCCTACCAAATATTTAAGAAATCATATCTACCAATTCTATGTAATTTCTTCCAAAGAATATTTCAAGAATTACTTCCTAACTTATTTCATGAGACCAACATTACCTCAACAATCAGATGAATTTCCAAAGAAATTATAAGAATATTATAAAGAAATATCACTCATGAGCATGGATATCAAAATCCTTGACTAAATATTAACAAATTAAAGCCAGCAATATATAAAACAGATAAATAATATTATTTCTCTGGGTACAGTATTCTAAGACAATGGTTTTCTTCTCTCTCAAAACTTTAAATATTTCATTACACTCTCTTGCTTGCATGCTTTCTACATAGAAGTCAGATGTAATTCTTATCTTTGTTCTTCAATTGGTAAATTAGTCCATTCTCACATTGCTATAAAAATAAATCCTAAGACTGAGCAATTTATCAGAAAAGTGGTTTAATTTTCTCAGAGTTCTGCAGGCTGCAAGGGAAGCAGGGCTGCATCTGCTTCTGGGGAGGTCTCAGGGGAGCTTTTACTCATGGGGAAGGCAAAGTAGGAGCAGGCAGTTCACGTGATAAAGGGAGGCACAAGAGAGCAAGGAGGGAAGTGCCACATACTTTTAAACAGCTAGATCTTGTGAGAATTCACTATGGTGAAGAGAGTAGCAAGAGGATGGTACTAAACCATTCATGAAAAATCCACCCCCATGATCCAATCACCTCCCACCAAGCCCTACCTCCAACACTGGTGATTACAACTGAACATGAGATTTGGGTGGGGACACAGATCCAAACCATATCAATTGGTAAGGTATTCCCCTTTGGCTTCTTTCAGGACTTTTTTCTTTATATTTGTTTTTCTGTCATTTCAAAATGATATACCTAGGTGTGGTGTTCCTGCCATTTATCCTGCATGGTGTTTTTGGAGCTTCATGGATCTGTGGTTTGGTGTCTGGCATTAATTTGGGGACAATTCTCAGCCATTATTGTTTTAAATATTTCTTTTGTTCCTTTCTCTCTTTCTTCTTCTTCTGGTATCTCTATCACACAAATGTTACATCTTTGGAATTGCCTCACAGTTTTGGAAATGCTGTTCTGGTTTGGTTTTGTTTCAGTCTTTTTTCTCTTTGCTTTTCAGTTTATAGGTTTTGATTGAGATATCTTCAAGCTCAAAGATTGTTTCCTCAGCCCTGTCTAGTCTACTAGTTAGCCCATCAAAGGCATTCTTCACTTCTGTTACAGTGCTTTTAATACTGTAGCATTCCTTTTTGTTCTTTCTTAGAATTTCTATCTCTCTGCCTACATTGCACATCTGTTCTTGTATGCTGCCTACTTTATTCATTAGAGACCTTAGCATATTAATCATAGTTGTTTTAAATTTCTGGTCTGATAATTCCAACAACTTTATCATATCTGAATCTGGTTTCAATACGTATTGTGTCTCTTCAAACTAAGTTTTGACCTTCTGGTATGTCCTGTAATGATATACTGGGTAAACATGATATACTGGGTAAAAGGAACTGCTGTACACAAGTTTTTAGTAATATAGTAGTAAGGTATGAAGAGAAGGGAAACATTTTATAGTCCTATTTAGGTCTCAGTCTTTGAACTTCACAAATGCTCCCCAGTCTTCCCCTCCACCCCCTCCACAGGTGGGACAGAATGGTCAGAGAGGGTGGGAGTTGGGTATTCCCTTCCCCAGGTCCCTTAGGCTCTGATAAAACCACAGTAAGGCCAGGTTCAGTGGCTCACACCTGGCTTTGGGAGGCCAAGATGAGAGGATTGCTTGAGGCCAGGAGTTTGAGACTAGCCTGGATAACATAGTGAGACCCCATCTCCACAAAAAGTAAAATGGAAACTAGCTGGGCATGGTGACACACTTCTGTAGTCCTAGCTACTTGGGAGGCCAAAGCAAGAGGATCACTTGAGCTCAGGGGTCCAAAGCTAAGAGTGAGCTATGATCATGCCATTGCACAGTCTGGGTGACAGAATAAGACTCTGTCTCTCTTAAAAAAAAAAAAATTAAAAACCCAGCAGGTTGGGCTATGGTTAATTAATTCCTCCTGAGGACAAGCCTTGTTAAGAAGAACATAGTACTCTGTTATATTCCAAAATGATTCATTTTCCCCTCTCCCTGCCAGATGCAAAAAGGAATTTTAAGGGAATTTTTATCTGATATTCCCTATGGGGACCTTGAAGAGCTTTTTGAGGTAAAACTCTTGAAAGGGGGGCTTCCCTATGATTGAGTCTCCTAGGAGTTTTTAACTGTCAGATTTATTCACACGGAGCCTTTAGTAGTTCATCAATTACAGTTCAGATTTCCCTATCCCGGTACTAGTTCTCACAGAGCTTTCTGCTCTGCTAGGTTGTTATTCTCTGTATTCACTATTCACCAATAGATCTTCAATTTAGGGGGCAGCAGTTTGCTCTGTGACCTCATTTCTCTTGCATAGCTAAGAACAGTGATTGACTTTTTAGTTTGCCCAGATTTTTACTTGTTGTTAGAATGCAAACAAGCCATAGACTGGGAGAAAATACTTACCTGCCAAGTGTCTGGCAAACATTTTCCCACAATATATAAATGACTTACAAATTTTTTTTATTATTATTATACTTTAAGTTCTAGGGTACATGTGCACAATGTGCAGGTTTGTTACATATGTATACATGTGCCATGTTGGTTTGCTGTACCCATTAACTCATCATTTCCATTAGATATTTTTCCGAATGCTATCCCTCCCCCCTCCCCCCACCCCATGACAGGCCCTAGGGTGTGATGTTCCCCTCCCTGTGTCCAGGTGTTCTCATTGTTCAATTCCCACCTATGAGTGAGAACATGCAATGTTTGGTTTTCTGTCCTTGTGATAGTTTGCTCAAGAACTTACAAAATTTAACAATAAAAAATGGTCATTTAAGCATATGAAAAGATACTCAATATCATTGGTCATTACATAAATGTATATTAAAGCCACAAGGTGAAACCACTGTACACTTGTTAGAATGGCTGAAAATTTAATAATAATAAATGGCAAGCTTAAGTCCTGGTGAAAATGTGCTGCAACAGGGACTGTCATG
This sequence comes from Homo sapiens, assembly GCF_000001405.40. Classification (NCBI taxonomy): domain Eukaryota; kingdom Metazoa; phylum Chordata; class Mammalia; order Primates; family Hominidae; genus Homo; species Homo sapiens. The sequence continues at coordinate 7,137,975 of NC_000002.12, read as the reverse complement.
CATTGCTAGGGGGAAGGCAAGACAGTAAGCTACTTTGGAAAACAGCTTTTCAGTCTTATATAAATTTAACCATAAACTTATTGTGTGACCAATCCTATTCAAAAGAAATTTAAAAATGGAACTTATATGAAAATCTATTTGCAAAAGTTTATAGAGGCTTTATTAATAATCACCAAAAAGAGAAATAATTTAAATGACCTTAATGGTGAATGAATAAAACATAGTACACTAATATTACTCAGTAACAACAATTGTGAACTATGATGCATGCCATAACAAAGGTAAATTTCACATACTTTAAGACATGTGAAAAAAAACAGACTCAAAAGACTATGTGCTATATTTTCTTCCATTTATGTGACATTCTGAAAAAGTAAAACTATAGAGTTGAAGAATAGCTCAGTGGCTTTCAGGGTTGACGAGTGAGGTGGAAGGGAAAGCATTAGTGTCATTATTTTGAGTGACAGAACACTTCTATACTTGATTGTGCTGCTCATTAAACATAGTTCCATGAATTTATCAAAAAGTGATTTTTACTGTATGTAAATTAATGAAAGCTAAAAATAAAGAATTAAATCAGGGATAAATAAATATATAATTACATCTGTTGTAAGTACTACAAAAGAGAACATGTAATAAGAAAACCCCATTATCTCAATCCCAAAACTCCTTAAGCTGATAAGCAACTTCAGCAAAGTCTCAGGATACAAAATCAATGTGCAAAACTCACAGGCATTCCTATATACTAATAGTAGACAAACAGATAGCCAAATCATGAGTGAACTCTCATTCGCAATTGTTACAAAGAGCATAAAATACCTAGGAATACAACTTAGAAGGGTCGTGAAGGACCTGTTCAAGGAGAATTACAAACCACTTCTCAAGGAAATAAGAGAGGGCACAAACAAATGGAAAAATATTCCATGCTCATGGAGAGGAAGAATCATCATCATGAAAATGGCCATACTGCCCAAAGTAGTTTATAGATTCAATGCTACTCCCATCAAGTCTTTGTCTTTTAACTGCGCATTTTAGTTCATTACAACTATATTATTATTATATGCACATATACATGCAAATATATTTGTGTATTTATTTTTACCACCTGATTTTATGCTTTGTAAAACCTGCAGTCAGGAGCTCAAATGCACCAAATTGGACTTCTAACCTACAGAGCTGTGAGATAATAAATTTTTATTGCTTCAAGACTCAACATTGTGGTACTTCTTCACAGCAACAATGAAAAACTAATGTAACATATTAAACACAATATCAAAACTTTATTACTTAATGTATGGTCCACAGATCAGCAGCAGTGGTAAAACTTTGGAGCTTGCTAGAAAGGCAGAATATGAAGCCCAACTCTCAGACCTACTGAGTTAAAATTTCATGATAAGAAAATAAAAATATCACGAGGTGGTTCATAAATTTTCAGAAACCATGTTATGAGACATTCGGTGTCTTGTTAGGTCAGTATTTGACGTCTTTCTTTTAGGATTATATTGTTTTTTGTTTATTCGTCATAGTGTCTTGATTCCCTGTCATTTCATTTTTTACTGCTGTGACTTCCTGTTCATTGAAACTTTCCCTGTGGAATTTCTGTATGTGTACATGTTTAAAGATCTTAGCTGAGGAGGTCTGCTGTGGGGCAGCACCTGAGTATCTCTATTTCTGAAGTAAATTCCTTCAGACAGGAACTGCATTTGCTTTACCAAGGGCTGGAGACACGGAATCCCGACTTGTCATTTTTAATACTACACAAGAAATGTGCATCTGATGCTCATACCTATATGAGATTCTGCTTGTGGTTTTGAATTCTTAGGGAAGATTTTTTTTGTTTCTACCTCCAACTTAGACTCAGGGTTGGAGATAGTTGATTTTCTAGTAGTTAACCAGAGAGTAAGTGCATTCTAATTTGCTCTTAGGCTAAAGGTGTAATGAAAATCACAGGTTTTGGTGGGTGGGCAGATACACTGGCCTTATGGTGGGACATTGGCTTTGAACTTTGTCCAGCACTCCGTGTGGCCTTGAAAACTGAATCACGCCTTCACCCTTTCGGCAAGTGTCCTCTGGGTGATGGCTGATTTAATTGCTCTATTTACCTCTCTTAGCTTCTCTCTAGAGTGTGGTTGGCCTCTGGTGGTCTTTATATTCTTAAAGGGTTACCGATGCAATTAAAAAGATGGTTTCTGTTTATTTCTAGGAAAATTCCTCTAAAAATTGAAAAGTGGTGGTATTTTATTTGCTTTCATCACTGAGGTCGGTCAGGAAGCATGGCTGCTGGAAAGGAGTCTCCAGTAGCAGATGATGGACAAGGCCAGGCAGGGGAGGGCACAGCCACGGGTCTTCCTCTGCCTTGCACCCCACGCGAGACTCACTTTCCATTCTGTTTCACGCTTTATCACTGAACTTGCCAAGTCCAGATGATGCTTACTGGGCTTGCATATTTTGTTTGGCAATTAGACTATACCCAGTTATGATGTGGTTTCCAAGATTAAACAGTTGCTAACCCAAATAAGCAATTCCAGGATGGATATTGATGTCACTCACTGAAGTAAGCCAGGCATGAAGAGAAGACTTCGATTTTGAAGTTTGAGATGGCTTCATTTGACATGTCCAAGTGAAGATGTAAACTCTGCTGCTGGTGTGGGCTCACAGGAGAAATATGGGCTAGAAACATAAATGTGCAACAATTTGGGGCAACAATAAGAAAAATAGATATTTTACATTGTCAGCTAGATACAGCTGTCTGCCGTTAGTGGAGAAGAGTGAATGTTAGCTGAAATTCACAAAGAAGACTTCTTGGAGATGAGCTGCAGGGTCCCCTGAGGCTCATGAAATATATTGCAGATGAGACATTTATATGTACTCAGTAGTTAGGTTGTTATAACAGGAGAATTCTGACAGCAGGCGCACCTGAGAGAGGTGGGCAGAAGAGAGAGGTGTTTGTTTACCTCATTATCTCTTTGCAAGAAAAAGAAAAAAAATCTCAAGATTCATTTTATTTTCAAGTGGTACAATGTTGTGTGAGGTTATTTAATCTTCCTTTAAACAAGTAAACAAACCAAAAGGAGCAGAAGGTAAATACCATAAACAGAAGCTGGAGAAGCCTCCAGAAAGGTAATCTTAGGCTGTTAGGCATCAGCCCTGCCTTCCCCAGCTTAGCAAGGCTACAGGTGCCGCCTCGCAGCACCTGCAGAATGTCAACCCCCGAGAAAGGAACTAACAGGAGCAGATTCCACCCACAAGTGAGGAAGTCTGGACTTAGCAGTAGGTGTTTTCCCAGACTCATGATCTAGTCTGTTTGGGTTGAGTTCTGTTTGCCTTAATTCTGTGGCTCTAAGATCTCTGCACATAGGCCCAGTCAGTGCGGGGATTTCTTCTCCATCCCTGGGGCCCTGCTGGTACTAGCACTGGGCCCTGGCTTCGCCACCTCTTTTCATGTTCTCCACCCCAGTTACACACTTCCTTCTGCTCCAAATAGACCAGATTTTTTATCTGATGTCTTCATTGCAAATGTCACCTCTTACATCCCACCTTTCAGACTAGGTCACCCTAGACCCAGACTGGCATAAGTCAAACAAAAGTTTGCCACCCCACTGACCCCCCTTACCACTTTGGGCAAGTCTGAATGTTAGACTCCTGGTTAGGATGACCTGGAGCTGACCTGGTCACCAGTTCTGATCTGATCCTGACTTCCCTTCCTTACACCTCAGCTCATGTCGGTGTCACACTCATGTCTCTGTTATGAATCCAGGTGGCTTATGGCTGTTTATAGAACTGTGTTCTATAAAACCTGGAAGTTTCTCAAAGATTCACTCATTTTATTCAACAAATACCGAATGCCTGACTAATATGAGTGCTATAGGTTCTGCAAGAAAGTGTAAAAATAGCAAAATGAAGTCCCTGTCCTGTCCTCATGAATGACACTCTAGTAGGGGTGGAAGTGGGAGAGAGTGGACAGTAAACGATCAAAATGGAGCCTGTTGAATGGCATTCAGTATCAGGAAGAACAATAAAGAAAGGTAAGGGTGAAGACATCTCCAACGTGGTGACGAGGAATGTTCCTCATTTTAGAAGCTCCACGCACAGGCCTCTGTAATACAACAGTGAGGTTTCAGTAGAGACCCGAGAGAGCTTGAGAATGTTGGACAGCAGAGTATTCCAAGAGGAGGACCACAGGGAGACGCACTGGAGTGCTCACAGCTCAGCACATTCAAGGAATAGAGAGGACATGACACATGCAGGAAAGAGAGGCATGGGCAGCCAGCAGGGGGCCCAGGCCAGCAGAGTGGCAGGGGATGAGGCTAGCAGAGCAGCAGGGGGCCAGGCCAGCAGAGTACCAGGGAACCAGCCCAGCAGAGTACCAGGGAACCAGCCCAGCAGAGTACCAGGGAACCAGCCCAGCAGAGTACCAGGGAACCAGCCCAGCAGAGTATCAGGGAACCAGCCCAGCAGAGTATCAGGGAACCAGCCCAGCAGAGTACCAGGGAACCAGCCCAGCAGAGTATCAGGGAACCAGCCCAGCAGAGTATCAGGGAACCAGCCCAGCAGAGTACCAGGGAACCAGCCCAGCAGAGTACCAGGGAACCAGCCCAGCAGAGTATCAGGGAACCAGCCCAGCAGAGTACCAGGGAACCAGCCCAGCAGAGTATCAGGGAACCAGCCCAGCAGAGTATCAGGGAACCAGCCCAGCAGAGTACCAGGGAACCAGCCCAGCAGAGTACCAGGGAACCAGCCCAGCAGAGTATCAGGGAACCAGCACAGGGGGCCAGGCCACAGAGCAGCAGGGAGTCACATCAGGCCTGTGGGGTGTGGTGGAAACCATCAGAAGGTAGTTAGCAGGGGAACAGCGCAGTTGGATTTCCCTGTGAAGGGCTCCCTCTGGGTTCTAGGTCAAAAATAGACTGCATTACACAGGCAGGAGGAGAAGCTCAAACTAATTGGGAGGCAAGAGAGAGATTAGGGCAGTTTGGATTGGAGCCTATCAAAGGAATTGGTGAGGATTTCAAATTCTGGATTTATTTTGAAAAGAGTCTGCTGAGATTTGCCACATAAGCAGAAAGAAATGCAACATGATGCACTTCCTGGTCTCTGGCTTGGGAAACTGCAAAGAGGGATTCTCATCCCCTGAGATGCAGGTGGCAGTTCTGTGTAGGAACAGAGGAACGAGGCCTCGGTTTTGGATAGGTTATGTGGTGATGCCTATTGAATATCCAACAAAAGCTGTCAGGTAGACAGATTGAGAAGTCTGGAGTTCAGTGGAGGGAGGCTGAAATATATACTCAAGATTACAGAAGTTATTTAAAGCAACAAGATGGGAAGAACAGCAAAGGAGTAGTGTATCTGTAGAGAGAAGGAAAGGGCCAAGGGAGAGACCTGGGCTGCTCCAGCACTGGGTAATGTCTCCAGGAGGACTGCCCCAGGGGGGACTTTGAAGAGCCCAGGACTTGTGGCTCCCAAACCTGTTTCAAAAAAATTCACTCCACTTTTTGTGGAAAGACACATGGCATAGTTGTTCTACCCACATTGGACCCAGACTGCTTGGGTTCAATTGCATCTTCTACCACTCACAAGCCTTATAGCTTTCAACAGGACAGTTAATATCTTACTGCATTGGTTTTTTTCATCTATAAATTGGGAATAATAAGGCTACCTTCCTAAACTTGTAGATTTATTATGAGGATTATATGAGTTAAATATCTTAGTAAAGGGTCAGACACAAAACGTGCACTGAAAAAATGTTAGATGTTATTATCTATTTTATGGCTTGGGGTTATAAATAATTTCCCATTGGAACAAAGAAGTTGACTACTCTAAAGAACTTTGTAAAAATGACTAGTAAACCTTTATAACCAACGTTTATAAGTAAAAACAAAGTATTAAGTGTGCATAATTATGCATTAACATTGGGAGGTAAACGAGAGCATCTTAATACTAATTATGGCCAAAAAAACACAAAAAGTGTTATAGAACATAAATGTCTCAATTGGAGAATTGTATTGTTTGCCAAAAACAGGGAAAATGTAAATTGTAGACATGTATAGCAGAAGACTGTCCCACTGGCAAAACTGTCAGTCGAGTCTCCTTTAGTATAAACTCTAATAAACATGTAAATGAGCCCAGTTAGAATATGCTGTTTCTGACTACTGAAAGCTTTCATACAGTAGCATCTACAAGCTAGTCACTCCTTTGTTATTTCTTTATTGAAGGAGCAATTTTCCAACGCAAACCTAGACTTGCACAGATGCATTTTCCTGAACTGTAGGATCAGGGAGCAGAGTGGCAAGCTCTGAGAGGCCTGGCAGATCAGGAAATTTACTACAGAGAAACTGCACGCCTTGTTCAAGTTTGCAGGCAGAACTGAGACAGAGCCTAGGTCCCAGGTTCTCACATTTAAACAGCGTGGCATTGCCTCCTCAGCCCAGGTCTGCCTCCCACCTAAAATGTTGGTACTGTTGGTATGAAGCAGGTCTTCTATCAACAAAAGGAGCAACGTGGTGGTGTGAGATCCTGCAGAGCCTGCCAGGGTTTTTATTCTGGTTTAGAGTACGCATATGGAATGTGCTTACTCTAACACTCTGAATAAGACTTCAAATCCAAGCCCTACTTGTTAACAGCGTATCTATCTTGAGACTTGTGCACTAGGCCACTTGGAAAAGCCAAGCTCCTACCCCAAAATATTGGTAAGTTGAATTCCCACCAAGTTGCTGTTTGAAAACTGAGTACCTGTCTGTCTTGAGTAGGCCTTTGCAGGTACTGCTGGGAAGCTCTAAGTCTCTAAATATTTGTGATGGTGAAAAGTTGTAATCAAGGAGATAATTGCTACCTGAGACTGTTTTTCCCTTTCCAGTGATATTAAAAGACATCTGTAAGAAAAATTATGTCTTGTATGTTCCAGCAGTTTGCACTTTTCACCTCTATCAACCTTATAAGGCAGGAAAAATTTTCCCTATTTTATGTATCTGGCCCAAGTTCATATACCGAGTCTAAAATAAGAAATGACACTGAGAATTATCTGAATTCAAAATGTTGGCTCTTTTCAACACATAATATCTACTTCTGAAAATGTGAACTTTCTCATTAGGTTTAATCTGTTAAACTTCTCTATTCTTATGTGACAATACCAAAGCATCTTTAAATTCTTCTGATAAAGTAACATAATGTGTTCATTTTGATGACAGAGCCAGGTGAAAATGTCTAGATGGTTCAACCAAAATTCAGAGAGAAATTTCTGTTGGATTAAGTCTCTAGTGTCAGGTCCACAATGTGCAGACTTTTGCCCCTTTAGATGGAAAAACAATATTTACCAATTTTTGTAATTGAAGAAGTAAATGTTCACCTCTAGAAGAACACTGCCAATTATGTGAATAGCATTAAAAACTCCAAAGCAAAGCTAACAAAAGTAGCACATTTTTATAAAACTGCAGAAGTTTGATTTAATCTGTGAGAATTTCTTCTTCACACAGATTTTTGTCATCTCTCTTAGCTCCAGGGGCCCCTTGATGACAAATTAGCAAGGTGCTACTGTCTTGAAACTAGCAGACATTTTAGCACACTGACATTCAGCATTGTGACCTGCTTCTTGCTAGACTGCTAATTAATATTTGCACTGGCTACAGAATTAGCTTGTTTTTTAGACTATTTCACATTCAAAGACTGCCTCCAAGGGAAGCAGGATTTTATTGAAAAGCCAACTTTAACTTTGTTTTATTAATATTTATAAGAAGAACCACTACAAAGTCTCTACTTTTGCTAGACCATGCAGGCATCTTGCATGTTTTGTACTGTCTCAACTGCACTGCAATTGGGCAAGATAAATAACATTGCCCCGATTTTGTGGTTTAGGAGACTAAGCCTCTAAAGTGTAAATAATTTGCCCAAGAACATGTCGTTGCTGAGGGCTGCAACTGAGATTCAAATCTGCTAACAGAATCCAGAGATGTTACTAAATGGACCAGACCATCATCATCCAGCTAAAGACAATCCACTAGACAGGGGAATAGAAATCAATTCAAACTTCAAGTTATGCACTGCTGCTATGAATGGAGTGTGTGTGCTGTTCCTCTACTCTCAAATTCAAATGCTGAAGCCGAAATTCCTAATGTGTTGGTATTCAGATGTAGGGCCTATGGGAAGTAATTAGGTCATGAGGGTAGAGTCCAGTGAATGGGATTGGTGCACTTATAAGAAGAAATAAGGGAGCTTACTCTCCTCGACCCCCCATCACGTAAAGGTACCATGATAAAACAGCCATCTGCAAACCAGGAAGGGCAACTTCACCAAACACCAGATCTGCCAGTGCCTTGACCTTGGATTTCCAGCCTCCAGAACTGTGAGAAATCAATTGCTGATGTTTAAGTCACCTAGTCAATAGTATTCAGTTATAGCAGCATGAACTAAGACATTGCCTAAGCAGGAGTCCTACATTACTATAGTTTTCCTGCTCCAAAAAAGAAAAATAAGATGTTCTTCGAAACCCAGTGATTTTACTGGGAGTTGTGTTCCTACACCAGTGCTCCCCTGCTATCCCACCAGCATGCAAATATTATCACAAATAGCTTTAAAAAACATAAAACAAAAACCACAGCCATTCTGACTAGTTGGTGCTCAGTGCTGCACCAGCTATTAAATATTTTGAATAGTGCTGAAAAAGAACAGGAAGTGCATCTTCCAGTGTTTCTTTGTGAAGACAAGACAGTTTTCTTGATTCAAGACAATATAGTTGAAGATATATGAACATATATTCCATCCACTCACCTATATCTTTGTTGAAAGAGTTACAAAAGTAAAATCAAAGAGATACATATATTTTTATTGATCCTATAAATTTCTTTGCAAAGTCACCCCAAAGTTAGCAAATTTTCCAACCTATATTAGTTCCTTCTAAAATACTCTGACTACAAAAATAATATAAAAATTCCTATTCTATTTTACAACTTTGGGATACAAATGGAGTGGATTTTTATATAAATCTTCTCCCAGCTCAGGCCTCATTTTCCTTTACATGTCTAATTTCTTCATGGGAAAACAGTAGGCAGAGGATGATTTTACCTAGCTGAAGTTGGGAAGTCAGAAGACCTGAGTGAAGGGTGCCTCCGACCTGTGGTTATACACAGAAAGCCGGGAGGCAAAGTTGGACTGTTGCAAATTTCAAATTTCATAAAGTCAAAGACCATGTCAGTTTTATCCACTAAACTATACTAAGAACCTAGTACAGTGTCTGGCATACAGAGGATCTCAGTAAACATGTGTTTAATGGACGCTAAGAAAATATCAAAGTGAAAACAAACATAAGGACTCCAAATCATGTGGTCAATTACAGAGATCCATGACCAGGAGTAAACAGAACAACAAGCTGATCAATCAGAAAAGCAGTAAGCAAAGAGCTTCAGGAGAGAGCTCGCAATGCGCAGTGATAACAGTGTCGGTGCATACAACACTTTATCTCCTCCAAGTAGGACTAAAAAATTTTGTATTCTCTTCCAAAAGGAGAGTGCTGCCTGGGGCAGGAAGGGGAGGTGGAGAGAGAGAGAAGGAAGGAAGGAAGGAAGGAGAGGGGAGGGGAGGGGAGGAGAGGGGGGAAAGGAGGAAGGGGGGAGGGGGGAGGGAAAGGGGAGGGGAAAGGGGAGGGGAGGAGGGGGGGAAGGGAGAAAGGGGAGGGGGAAGGGGGGAGGAGGGAAAGGGGAGGGGGAAAGGGGAGGGGGGAGGGGGGAGGAGGGAAAGGGGAGGGGGAAAGGGGAGGGGGAAAGGGGAGGGGGGAGGGGGGAGGAGGGAAAGGGGAGGGGGAAAGGGGAGGGGGGAGGGGGGAGGAGGGAAAGGGGAGGGGGAAAGGGGAGGGGGGAGGGGGAAAGGGGAGGGGAGGAGGGAAAGGGGAGGGGGAAGGGGAGGGGAGGGGAGGGGAGGAGGGGGGGAAGGGAGGAAGGGGAGGGGGGAGGGGGAGGAGTGAAAGGGGAGGGGAGGGGAGGGGAGGGGGGGAAGGGAGGAAGGGGAGGGGGAGGGGGAGGAGGGAAAGGGGAGGGGGAAAGGGGAGGGGAGGGGAGGGAAAGACATATATAAATGCCTAAGCCTGGGTCCTACTTACTATAGTTTTCCTGCTCCAAAATATATACAGAGATATATTTCTACAGACATAGATATAGATGTTTGTGATGGTTAATATTAGTTGTCATCTTGATTGGATTGAAGGATGCCTAGATAGCTGGTAAAGTATTGTTTCTGGGTGTGTCTGTGAGGTTGTTGCCAGAGGAGATGGACATTTGAGTTGGTGGACTGGGAGAGGAAGACCCACCCTTAATGTGGATGCCAATCAGCTGCCAGCTCAGCTAGAACAAACCAGGTGGAGGCAGGTGGGATAAGCTGGCTTGCTGAGTCTTCTTTCATCTTTCTCCCAGGCTGGATGCTTCCTCCCTCTCCACCTGCCCTTGGACATCAGACTCCAGGTTCTTTGGCCTTTGGACTCTTGAACTTTGGACTCTTTTGATGGGGCCTCTTGAGCCTTTGGCCACAGTCTGAAGGCTGCATTGTCAGCTTCCCTGCATTTGAGGCTTTTGGACTTGGACTGAGCCACTACTGGCTTCTTTCTTCCCCGCTTGCAGATGGCCTACCATGGGATTTCGCCTTGTGATCATGTGAGCCAATTATCCTAATAACTCCCTTTCATATGTACATATATCCTATTAGCTCTGTCCCTCTGGAGAACCCTGACCAATACAATGTTCTTTTCTGCCCTAGATGAAAGACATACAGTTCATATAGGCATATATCTCTGGAGATAAAGCAAAATCATACAGTATTCATATGATTTTGGCAATATTTAGCCAGAGCCACATAAATGTTCATCTTCTTTGAGTTGATATTGGGAATTTATTGACTCAAGTCTTAGCAGCTTAACAGAACAAAACAAGAGTCGGTTCTGCAGCTGCACAGAGCCCATTGTGGATCATCGTGGGCCGAGACTCCTCTGGGAGTTCTCCTCCAAGGATCCATCCATTGAGGGGATCCGGCATCCTTTGAGGAGCATCTGCTGGCTTCAGGCTCCCCCAGATGCTCTATAGCCATTCAGAATGGAGAGAAGAGATGGTGTGGAGAATGCCACCGAAAGTTCAAAGGGGCTGTTCCTTCTTCCCATGATCCACTGAGCAACACAAGTCACATGGTCCTCCTTATCTAAGAAGGAGGGAAATAGGACCTTCTAGCCCCAGCTGCCACAGGGCATACACTTAACATTCAGCTTCAGTTCTACCAGGCCCAAACCAGAACTAGCCTAAGTGGTTAATAATAAATAAATTATTGGATAAGTTTCCTATTGGATAAGCAAACTGGAGACTTTCAAAGCTATTACATGGCAATAAAAGATTGCTAGCATACATGCATGCTGTCTACAATAGAATGGATACAGAAAATGTGGCACATATATACCATGGAATACTATGCAGCCATAAAAAAGGATGAGTTCATATCCTTTACAGGGACATGAATGAAGCTGGAAACCATCATTCTCAGCAGACTAACACAGGAACAGAAAACCAAACACTGCATATTTTCACTCATAGGTGGGAGTTGAACAATGAGAACACATGGACACAGGGAGGGGAACATTACATACCAGGGCCTGTCAGGAGGTCGGGGGGTAGGGGAGGGATAGCATTAGGAGAAATACCTAATGTAGGTGATGGGTTGACGGGTGCAGTGAACTACCATGGCACATGTATACCTATATAACAAACCTGTACATTCTGCACATGTATCCCAGAACTTAAAATATAATTTTTTAAAAAAGCCTGAAATTAGGCACTTCCATGTAATAATACTTACTTCTTTAAGAAATGAATGGGAGTAATAGATTATGAGGCAATTAGCTTGACCAAGATCACATTGCTACAATAGTAATATTATGTTGCTATAATAATAATAGTGATAGTGATGATTGATGTTTATGATGGTGATAAACTATTTGAAAGTTGTAGAAACAAGATATGCAGATTATATAATAAACATGTATTTTTGGACAAAATAAATAGAGATCAATCAAATAACTGTTGATTTCTTATTTTAAGAAAAAATTCAAATTGAGGTTGATGTTTTACCCATTTTCATTTTCGTTACTTTTAGTATACAATTAATGCATGGCTTTGTTGGCAAAATAGAAAACAAAAGCAAATGAAAAGGAAAGAAAGGAAAGGAAAGATGATGCTTAAGCCCTTTAGAAACAATGGGATATTGACATCAACTTGCTTTGACTTCCGTTAACCTAATTGGAACGAGGGGATTTTATTTTCTTATAACAATTTTGGAGTTTGTCTTAAAATTTCCTATAGATTTCCAACAAACATGCTTATGTTATACAATAAAATTATACTGCATATATTTTCTGTAATATTTTATCAAGTTTTCATGTGAGTAGAAAAAATATCCATTATTATTTCAGTGGCTGTGTCATTCTACTGCATGAGCCTAGACTATTATTAGCTACACAGCCTTCAATTATTAAGATTACAGTTGATTAACTTTTGTTGTTACTTTAAAAAAACACTTTAATGAACATCATTGTATACCCATATTTTAGCAATTGATCAATAATTTTCTTTCAATCAATCCTTAAAAGCAGTTCAAAACACTGATCACTTTTAAAGCCTTCAATGCGTGCCACAGAGAGGTTGCAGTGATTTGTTTTCACACCAGCTGTGTATGTGTATGTCAACCCCTCTCGCCCTCTTCAACACTGTATATTCTTATTCTATTTAATCATTGTCAGTCTTCACAGTAAAAAAAAAATGGAAACTCTTTGTTGACTAATTAAGACCACTCAAGTTAAATTCGACACCTACAAAATATGCCCAAAACTTTAAGGTATTTAGATTTTATGCTACAGTTTTTTCTATGCTATTTAAAAAATTTTTCCTTACCAAGTTTCTCCCCACTTTGTGCATTTCTTGTTTCTTTCCCCTCTGAATGCTTAACATCTACTTCAAAAAGAACCTAGAGGATATATCTCTAGAACTGCACGTTTCCTGGCTACCTCTCTGCCTCAGGAGCACAGAGACAACAGAGTCAAGGGAACAAATTGTGCTAGAGCCCCTACCTCTTAGGAATTCCTAGGAGAAGAGACTCAGGTGTCTTGGCACTTAGGATGCTCCAAACTGAGCAATGCACAGGCAAACACAATGGCTGTAACCACCAGCTCCCTGATGGCCCTTTGATTTGGAATAATTGACTATTTTCATTTAAAGTTAGTGATCACCTATTGAAAATGTACTGTTAGTGGTTTTGCAAAAATTCATTCATTTTCCAAAAGACAAAGTACTGTGGACTGAAGGAGAGGCATCTCCCCTCACCTTAGCTGATAGAGTTTCTCCTTGGCAGGAGGTTCTTACACAGGAATATCTGCCCTCATGGGTGATCAGAAAGACCAGCAGATACCTCGGCAGCCAATGGATGCTTGAAGCTCCTGTCTGTGAGTCTCACAAGATAAGGGGGGAAACTGTGACTTCAGCCTGAGCCTCTCAAAGAGTGCCAACCTGGATGGATGTTGGAACCTTGTGGTGCAGGACTTGAGGTGTCCTGAGTGTGCTGTTCCCTCCTAAATGGAATACCTGGGGCGGCCAGCCTGCTCACACCTGGGTTCTCTATCAACAGATTTGAACTGGTGGAATATTAACACCCGGAGCCGCTTCCACCAAGGAAGATCGTCAGTGCTCAAAGACGGGAGGAGATGGATCATTTGTCATTTCAGAACTGAATCCAGAAGTTGTTCTTCAAATGGTAATGCAAATAAATCAAACCCCACAGGTTTTAAAGATCTCTTGCAATATTTATAATAGAAGAAACACAGAATGTTTATAATGAGAGAGAGAGGCAGTTGATGAAAAAGAGGCAGTTGATGAAAGACACATGGGCACCAACTGAGCTGGAGTTCACCCAAATAGAGAAAGAAATACTGATCCCACCTGACTCGCACCCCCATCTTCCTCTGCCCGCTCATCAGGTAATGAGCTGAGCTAAGCAAAGCAGAGGGAGGAGAGGAAGCCTTTATAGCAACATCCTTGGTGAGAATGAGGTCTTTATGGTGATATTTTAGCAACTGAAATTAAAAATCAAGGACTTTCTAAAAATTATTAAAAGAACATTTTAGCACGTATTGCCATGAGCCCACAAGGCATGGCACCTGCAGAAGCTGACCAGCAGAGTTCAGCTAACAGAATATGAGAAATCAAGGAAAAGCTGCCATAGAGATGGTTATCTTAGTCACACTTAGCTGCGGGAATTAATTTTAGAACCCCACGCTACAGATAGAGCTTGTAGTTCTGCATGAATAGGCTTAATAAAATGTGTAGGGTTTTTTCCTTCTCAGTCCTGAGTGTGGGTTTGGTCCTCCTCAATTCTCTTGCCATCTTCAGAAAGAGTTGAGTTAAAGAGGTCCTTGGATATTGTTAGAAATAGGTATTTGATCTGTGAGAAACTGAATTTTTGGCCCCTGAAGTCAAAATTCAGATAAGAAAAGAAGGCACAAAAATTACTTTTTTGGGGGCAGGGGGGCGGGGGGACAGAGTCTTACTTTGTTGCCAGGCTGGAATGTGATCTCAGCTCATGGCAACCTCCACCTCCCAGGTTCATGCAATTCTCACGACTCAGCCTCCCAAATAGCTGGGACTACAGGTGCACGCCACCATGCCCAGCTAATTTTTGTATTTTTAGTAGAGATGGGTTTTCAACATGTTGGTTAGGCTGGTCTCGAACTCCTGACCTCAGTTGATCCGCCCACGTCGGCCTCCCCAAAAGCTGGGTGTGAGTCACAGCACCCGGCCACAAACAGATTACTTTAAACAGACTCCGAGGAGAAGACGGCCTGGACAAGGTGTGTGGAGGCTTGGTCTCATGGAAGTTACCTATTGGGTCAGGCACTCTGCGCTGCCTCCAGTCTGCCCCTTCATTTTGCCTGTGCCTTGAGAGGCTGTTATATCCCAGGATATTCCTCTTCCAGAGCAAGAAACATGACGGTTACTCCAAAGTAAGTCTATCCTTCTGGCAGTTCCAAACTGAATAGGTGGGGCTAGTTAAGCAGGATCACTGCTTGTCTGAAATCGGAAGTGGAGATTTGAAGTACTTCTACCCATAGATTAACATGGATCCTATTCTTTAAACCAGCTTCTGTCTGGATGCAGTGAACTAAGGGAAGGGAGAACATGAAGGGGAAAAAAGGAGAAAAAAGAACATGACTCATTTAGAATGAAAGCTGACCCAAACCATAAAAGGTCACCTCCAGCTATTTCTACGCTATTGTAACATATATTCCCTGTAACGTTCCCTTTAAACTATTGTTCATTCCACGTCTTTCCAGAGTGCTGTAGGTACATGTTTTAGGGGACACCTCAGCAGGGGCAGGGTGAGGTCTCTAGAGATTCTGTTCAACCATAGTCCTCTTGCATCTTTCTGATGGACACCTAGCAAAATTCACAGTGCCTTGATCTGTCCTGGGAGTACAGATGAGGGCAGAGTAATTAAAGAAATTCCACTTTGCAGTTAAGGAATTTATTCCCTGAACCCAAAGATTTGAGCAAAATAACATAGGGGTATCACTAACCTTCTTGTATAGGGCGCTTTCTATTTCTGATGGAGGTGAATTGCCTTTCCTGCATGGAGGGGCAGTGGTTGCAGCAGAATTGAATGAGAAATAGCGAGACTGAGATCTGGCCTCCATTAGCCACAAAACTAGCTTGAAAAATGTGTTTTCCAAGTTTTCCTGACCACTCTAGGCTTGTCTGAAAATAAGGCTGTTGAACTAATTTGGGAATGAAATTGGGACTATGTAGCCCCGTGATGTCACTTCTCTCTCCTATGCCCTTGACAGGCATTGATAATTAAGATCAAAACTCTTGTCTACTTAAGTGGGATCAGGCTTCAGGATCCTACACAGGACAGCACTCCAAACAACCCCTAACACTGATCACGGTGCCTCACGGGATAAGACATCCGATTACCTCTGACAGCCAAGTTCCCTCTAGCCGTGAAGCTGTGTCCATCTGAAAGCAGGACCAAGTATGAATTCACCTCATCTATTATGAATAAATCCTTAGTTAACATGTGTTAGACATTTGCTGTATATAAGGATGTATACTCATTTTCTCCTTTATTCCTCATAACAGCCCCATCAAGTAGATAGTGTTATAAATTCTATTTCTCAGATTCAGAAGATGCAGCTTGGAAAGATGAGATGACTAATTAAGGTTACACAGCTGGCTCCAGATTCAGAATTTTAGCCCTGTTTTGGGGATGTGGAGTTTGAGCCAGTCAACCGAGACAACCTCCATCTTCTAGGAAAAATGTATCTGTTCCCTCTGAGGAATCCTGAGCACCTAGTACTTTTTAATTAACAAATATTCTGATTTCTCTTCCCCTTGATAAAAATGAGGTCTCTGTCCTGGTGTGTTGCAGATGCCACAGCCCTACCTTAGTGGGCCTGGCTTGCATGTTAAGAATGAGCCACCTAATGCATGTGGGGCTTAAAACCAACATGACGGGTTGATGGGTGCACCAAACCACCATGGCACATGTATGCCTATGTAACAAACCGGCACGTTCCAAACCACCATGGCACATGTATGCCTATGTAACAAACCGGCACGTTCCAAACCACCATGGCACATGTATGCCTATGTAACAAACCGGCACGTTGTAAACCACCATAACACATGTATGCCTACGTAACAAACCGGCACGTTCCAAACCACCATGGCACATGTATGCCTATGTAACAAACCGGCACGTTCCAAACCACCATGGCACATGTATGCCTATGTAACAAACCGGCACGTTGTAAACCACCATAACACATGTATGCCTATGTAACAAACCGGCACGTTCCAAACCACCATGGCACATGTATGCCTATGTAACAAACCAGCACGTTCCAAACCACCATGGCACATGTATGCCTACGTAACAAACCGGCACGTTCCAAACCACCATGGCACATGTATGCCTATGTAACAAACCGGCACGTTGTAAACCACCATAACACATGTATGCCTACGTAACAAACCGGCACGTTGTAAACCACCATAACACATGTATGCCTACGTAACAAACCGGCACGTTCCAAACCACCATGGCACATGTATGCCTATGTAACAAACCGGCACGTCCCAAACCACCATGGCACATGTATGCCTATGTAACAAACCGGCACGATCCAAACCACCATGGCACATGTATGCCTACGTAACAAACCGGCACGTTCCAAACCACCATGGCACATGTATGCCTATGTAACAAACCGGCACGTTCCAAACCACCATGGCACATGTATGCCTACGTAACAAACCGGCACGTTCCAAACCACCATGGCACATGTATGCCTATGTAACAAACCGGCACGTTCCAAACCACCATAACACATGTATGCCTACGTAACAAACCGGCACGTTCCAAACCACCATGGCACATGTATGCCTATGTAACAAACCGGCACGTTCCAAACCACCATGGCACATGTATGCCTACGTAACAAACCGGCACGTTCCAAACCACCATAACACATGTATGCCTACGTAACAAACCGGCATGTTCCAAACCACCAGGGCACATGTATGCCTACGTAACAAACCGGCACGTTCTGCATATGTATCCCGGAACTTAAAGTAAAATAAAAAAATTTAAAAAAAGAATAAGCCACTCTGCTAAACAGCAACCCCAAATCCCAACCCAGCCCTCAGTACAGGCCTTGCTGGGGATGAGAGACGCTGCTTGAGAAGATGATGGATCATGCTGTATGCCCATCTGGTCTCCAGCTCCAGGCTCTCCCAATTTTTCTTCATTTCTTTTGTTTTCTCTATTCAGATGTGAACACACTGTACTTAAATTCTATGGCCATGTGCTAAGCTGTATGTTAGCATGTCAAGGCCCAATTTACTGACATAGCAGTTTTCCTGTGTACCTAAAGGTATACAAATTCTGACTTCTTATTTGTATTTCATGATGTTTGAACTTTAAGTGAATGACCATGTTTGCAAAGAACAAAGCACATTTTGAAATATAGTTTTGAATCTCGAAACCATTACCACCTTTCCCAGTGGTGTTGGCCCAGCCACACCAAATGCCCTGGCCACAAGGGAATCTAAATTGGGTTCACTTAACAATGCTGTATTCTGCATAGAGAACTGGGAGAAGTCATGTTTACATCCACCACATTATCCCTGTGGTCCAAGCTATACCAGATACATAGAAGAAACAGTGGGGCCTAGCAAAAGATGGCTTTCCTTCTAGCTCCACCACTCATGACCTGAGTGTCCTTGGGCAAACCACGTAATCCTGTGAGCTCCAGCATACAAGCTTCTTGCTGAAAGTGTCCTCAGGAGAGCTAATCCTGGAGCGCCAGACACCAGCACGTGCACAGCAAAATTCCCTGTGTTCCCCTGAGGCTTGTGGTCCAGGAGACAAGGAGGGGATTCGGTCACTGCTCCTCTACATCCTTGTGAGGCCAGGACAGCAGCCCTGGGGCTGCAGGATGGATGAGATCATGAGTGATTGCAGATTGGGACCAGTCCCACGGTCTCTCTTCCCAAGGGATGGGTGCTGAAAGTCCTGGGCTCAGCGTTTAAAGACACGCTGATAATTTACAGCCTTTTATGAGGTTTCACATTCATTTTGGAATTTCTTTTGCCAAGTTTGAATCTCATGTTGGGCCTTTTCTCTTTTGGGTAAAAATATCTCTGGGCTGGCCCGGGCCCTGGAAGCAGCAGGGTTTTCTGCTACAACAGTGACACCTGCTGTTGAGGACAAAGTGGGTGATTTCTCAAAGACAATTCTCTGTAGGGCCAAGATTACTTTCATATTTCCAACATCTGGAAGGAGAAATCAATTCATTTTGCAGGGAATAAGTACTGCTGTGCTGAACAAGCAAAAAATCAAATGAGAGGCCAGGGATAGGAAGAAATAAATAAAAGGAAAGAAAATGTCTGCTTGGTTGAGAAACAAAGAAATCAAAGACCCCCCTGGCTTGGCACAAAGCAGCCTGGTCATGGGTCTGCCCTGCCAGAAAAGACTAAACAACAGGTGGCCCTCTCCACCCAGGACTCTGAGAAGTCAGAGCTGTCCCTGGGCACCTCCGTCGAAACACAGGACACTGAGACCAGGCATCCTTAGAGCAGAGTCTGTCCACAATGAAGCTGGCACCTGCAGATGGAACTGCTGAGGTCCTGTCACCATGGGGTGCGGGGAGTGAGAAATGAGAAATGGCCTCACTCTTCTGTCTGCCCTGCATTGTGAAAAAGAATCCTGTTTGCTCCAGGCTCACCAGAGTTCACCTGACATTGCAGACACGTTCAACAACATAGCTCCCTGATTCCTTTAACGCCCTAGAAATTCAAACAGGAAACATTTGGCATCTACGCCTATTTCCCATTTGCCCTGTATCTTAGGAAACAATTCTATCACTACTATTTTAATTCACCTTAACTTTTAAATAAGGCAGGATTTGAAGTTTCTGCAATATTTCAACTTCTTATCGTATAGATTTTTTTTTAAGGTAATCTTTGAAACGACCTGTTTTCCAGGTAGTCATGGAAATACTTCCAAAATGACTATTTTGGGGTTCCAAAAATATTTTCTCACCTGTATGTATATAAGGTTCAGCTTTCATTTTGACCCTGATAAGGAATCCATCAATTACATGCCACTAATACCTAAAAAGGAAGAGTCGTCGTTTGGTGGCAGGAGTGACAGTCCTGCTGGGAGGGGCAGAGCACTGTCTGCAGCTGGGTGACCTGGGAGATGTCTTCACCTCTCCAAGTTGAGTCATTGTTCTGTGTGCATCAAGTCAAGAAATCAGTATAACTCAAGAGTTTTTAAACTTTTAAAGAAATCTGTTGAATCTGTTTTGCATATACAAAACACAGTCCTGCATAGAAGTCTAATTATAAAATTATTTATAATACTTTTATATTTTATATATTTATTATATAATATATTATATAGTATTCTAATATATCATATATAATAATATATATTATTATATATTATATATTTTTGTATTTTTATAATAATTTTATAATAATAAAATATAAGATGAGGGTCCCTACTTTCCCCCAAAGCAGCCTTGAAGACTCCCTGGCAGCATGGAGACCGTCGGGGGGCAGTTTGCCAAGCACAGGGCAAGCCGCCCTGATCCCCAGCCCACGGAGCTTTCAAGCTCCAGCACCCCACATCTGCATCTCAGCTACAGAATGAGGGTGCCTCGGCCTGCTGGGCTCCTTCACAGTCACTGTGAGGATCAAGGGTGACTGCTCATCTGAGAAAGCATTGATTAATGCAAAAAGATAAACTAATATTGCACTGTTTAAAAGGAAAATAATAATTTTACTTCTGTAGGTCTCTCCTTTCACGACTATAAAATAAGAGCTTTTGATTAGGAGAAAATCATTAATAAAACATTGTTATCTTCAGGCAATATGTTAAACACAGTCATTTTCTTTGCTTCTTACATCGGCTTGCTGTGACATACATCTTCAGCTCCATTTTTTGGTTGAAGAAACAGGCCCAGGGGGATTTTGGAAGTCAGCTAGCAGCACACAGCAAGGCTGGTTCTCACGGCAAGGCTGATTCCCGTGTTCCTGCGATTCCTAGTGAGTGCTCCATGAGTCCCTGATCCCACACACTCCCCCCATGCTAGCCCAGAGCTCTGTAATTCTGCCATTCTCTGAAACTTTGTGCTCACATTCTTACAGTGGAGAGTCGTAGCTTTGCACATGGATGTAAAACCGATAAACTGCGATTCCAACATACCACAGCACTCCCCTCTCAGGCTCGCATCCATAAAATATGAGCATCCCTAATAAACAGCAGCTGTACCACAGAGCGGGCTGTGTCTTCAGGCAGAGTCTCTTCAAGGTGTTTCTGGCACATCTACCTGGGCTGTCTTGACTCCTCTACCCCAGACGTGTGGTTCTAGTCAGTGTCTGCTGGAATCGCATAGGAACCTGCTCGCATTCCCTGGTACGCCTGGACTAGCTGTTACAGGGAGACTTCATTTTTTGCCCCCATATCAGATTCTCCCCCCTCATTCATTTTAATTTCATTGATTTGCCCCTTATCACTTAATACATTTTCCTCCTTATTGGCATCTGGGCTGAAGGCTGCAACACAAACAGCAAAAGACCAAATCAAGATTTAAAAAAAAAAAAAAAAAGAGCAAAATATTCCCATTTCAGATGGAGGAGCAGATGGGGCTCTTGGCACTTCAGAGGATTTAAATTGACCCTCTGCACCAAGCTAGGGGAAGACAGACTGTCACTGCTGACGAGTAGGCACTAAGGAGACATGCTTTCCCTCTGAATATGCAGTAGCATTTTGGAGTTCTTTTTCCCTCTGCAGTGTAGGATGAGAAGGAGCCATAGGATGGATTCAGACTCTATTGGAACCTGAAAATGCAGCTGGGGAACAAAGACAGCCCTGGGCGCAGACTCTGCTCTTCCCCATTCCAGCTTTGTGTTATGGACCTGTCTATCTCTGACTCTCCGTTTTGTCATTTGAAGATGGGATTACAGCCACCTGCCTCTTGGCATGATTGCATGATATAAGATAAATGCATGGGAAAGTGCCCAGCTCAGTGCCCTGCACATAGTAGGTGTTCAATAAATTTGTCTTCATTTTCTTTTTTTTCTTCATATGTGTCAAGAGATGTGAATTTTTTGGAAACTCTTTCTTCACAACTTTCTCTTTTCACAGCTGGTAAAGACAAGGACCAGGTGGGGAGCTCTGACCTTCCCTTGGATGACATTTATAAAATACGCTCTGTCTATTCATAGGACAAGTGTGATCAGCATTTGAGACAGGAGAGCCTTATTTTAAACAGGTTGCGGGCTCGCCTGCAAATCTTCAAAATATGGGAATCTTGGACAACCCTGAGTCACAAATCTTGAAGCTGTCCTCCTGTTCAGTTATCAGAATATGCTCCAAATCTCTCTGTCTATTCATTTGCAGCTATTCCAAGCACTGACTTCTTTTGATTGGTGTAAACTGTTCATTTCAATAATTAAAAAACGGCTTCAAACAATCAAACTCTTTGTGCCTGTTACTAAAAAAAAATTGCATAAAACAAGAGTACCTAAATTGGTGAAAAGATGATTATACAATACTTCAAAATCGAAGAAAAGAAATCCATTGAGAGATTTATACATGAAAGTGTTTATTCTGAGGAAGATTATAAAGGAAGAAACGGGAAGAAGAATGGGGGCACAAAGAGGAAAAGCAATGACAATGAAAGAAGATGGAGAAATGTTGTGTGCAAGCTCTCTTTGAGCTTTTTGCCAGACACTTACACTTCTCTGTTTCAAACCTTTCATGGGAACCCCATTGCCCACAAAATGAATTCAACCTCTAAGGTACAGCACATAGGGACTTTTCTGATTGGTTTTGTCCTGACTGTTCTCAATTAATTCTTGATTATCTCTTGCATGCTCCTCTACTGATACTTCACCTCACCAAACAATCCCATTCCCCAGATTATGCCCAGCGTAGCTGACACATGGACTGTGCTCAGTGTCTGTTGTTTATCCAAAAATAAATAAATAAAAATGGTTGTATGTTAAATTCAATTGTTTATTAAGGCCATAGAAAATCTTAGAAATTGGAACCCCCACTTACTTCTGAAAGCAGTAGTCACAAGAGAAAATAAAAAAAGAAAGGCTAATTAGACTCCCAGACAGAGCATGCACTCCAGCCCAAGTGCTCCACCCTGAGTAGTGAAACAACACTCCTCTGTCCAGGCGGGATACCAGGTGTTGACAAGATGGAGAAATTGAACCAGAGTCTCTAGATTTAGAGGTAGCTGGTAAAGAAGAGAGAAAAGATAAAGTATGAGGCTGAAGACACAGGAAATAAATAAGTCATCATAACAAAGAGGAAGTCTTCCCAACCTCCTTCTTTCCTTGGGTCTCAGCACACCCCAGGCAGGCGATGAGAGAATTGTTCTGGAGAATGGAAGAGCCCAACATGTAAGATACAGTCCTAGGGCACCATCCTGTCTATCCCAAGCAACATGACTCTAAGTGAAGCTTGCCAATTAATAAGCCACACATACACATAGACCTTCCAATCAGCTTTTTAGTATTTGAGTTTTTAAGCAGAAAACCAAGCAGCACTAGCCATTTGAGGAAAGCCTCCAACATGAAAGACAAATCAAAATGTAAGAGCAGAGAAAAAGAAAATGGAGGCAATACAATAAGTAGAAAAACAACTTTTAAAAATAGATTTAATATCCCCAAGGAGATAAGATACTGTATTCATGAAACAAGAACAGAATGCTATGAAAATCAAACAATAAGAGAACCAAAGAGCTCTATATTAAAATAGAGTTTTTATAGAAATTAAAACTATAATAGATAAAATTTAAAACACAAGGAAAGGGCTGGAAGCTAAGTTTGAGAAACCCTCCTGGAAATTCAAAAACTATAGAAGATGAGAAATAAAAGGTAACAAAATAAAAAAATTAGTATGAAAAAAATCAAAGATCTCAAAATTAAGAATTCCAGAAAGTGCAAACAAAGTAAATTAAAGAGAATTATTAAATAAATGATCTAAGAAAATCTCTCAGAAGCAAAGTATTTTTATTTTCTATTGAATAACTGTGATGGGCTGAATAATAGCCGTTGAATGGTATCTGGGTCCTAATTCCTAAAACATGGAAATGTTAATTTTTTGAAAAAAAAAAAAAAGATTTTTGAAGATGTAATTAAGTTAAGAATCTTGAGATGAGGCAGTTTTCCTGGATTATCCAGATGAGCCCTAAATGCAGTCACTTGTATGTTTGTAAGAGGGAGGTAGAGGAAGATTTGACATACAGAGAGAAAGTGGCCATGTGACCATAGAGGCAGAGATTGGTGTGATGTAGCCACAAGCCAAAGAATGCTGTCAGCAAACAGAAACTGAAAGAAGCAAGGACAGATCCTCCCTTGGAGCTCTTGAGACAGCCCTGACAACACCTGGATTTCCATACAGCAATATGATTTCAGAATATTGGCCTTCAGGACTGCGAGACAATAAATTTCTTTGTTTTAGGCCAGTCTGTGATAATTTTTGCAGCCACAAAATAAGAATGATTAAAGTGAATAATAAAAGAATCATAGAGCTATATATTAAAATAGAGTTTTTAATTATGGAAATTAAAACCATAATAGACAAAATTTAAAACTCAAGAAAAGGGCTGAAAGCTAAGTCTGAAAAAAAATCTCCTGGAAATTTGAACACTATAAAACTATTAAAACTGTAGAAGAGGGAAAACAGGAAAAGGTAAGATAATAAAAAGGTTACTTGAAAAAAATTAAAGACCTCAAAAATAATAATTCCAGAAAGTGCTTTACTCAATAAATGAAAGAAAAGAAAGAAAAAAAAATCCAGAGCAAGAAACATTACAGCAAAATTTCAGAATATTAGAAGTTAAGATAAGAGACTAAAAGCTTTCAGAGGAGAAGCAAGTGTCTCCAAAGGAACAAGACTCAGATAGGAACCAAATTTATCGAACCTAAAAATGATTACTACAATACAATGCAGCAATATCTGCAGAATCTAACATTCTGAGATTGAAGCCATTTCTGATCTAGAATTATATATCCAAGCAAACCAAAATATTAGCCCCAAGTAAGTTTATGTTTTTCATGCAATGTGTCACTAGATTTACCACCTCTGCCAAAGTTCTCAATAAGAGACCAAAAGATTTGCTCCAACGGCTGAAGGAGGAGACTCCAAACAAAAGAGGAAGTCATTACATTTAGAAAACAGGAATACCAAAATATTTGTGACGTAAAATAATTTTACAGGATATTGGTAAAGTCCCAGTTGACACCAATGCCACAGACCCAGTGAGGAGCTGTCCGTGTTCCAGCAGATGGAAGGTCTCAGAACGGTGTCTCAAAATACAGCAATGAGATCAATATATTTTCTATGGAGTTGACTACATTGAATGGGATTCTAAAATTCATTTCAAAAAGAATCATTGCTGGGTACACAAGAAAAAATCATTCTTTAAATGAAAAATATACATGAAGAGCGTGTGGTTTGACCTTTAAATTCTCATCTTCCATAGTAGAAGTCAATAGAGAAGTCTTAATTTAAAAAAAAAGGAATAATCATATTGTTTAGAAATCGGATGTTTTATACCAGATTGCTAAAAGGGTTTGAATTAGTTGTCTCTGGGACCTAAGAGAGCTATGACAAGAGCCTCTAGTATTTTTTTTCCTAAGCCTTCTATTACTCTTTTGAGTTTTTTCAAACCATGCACACTTGTTACTATGATTTTAAAGAAAGAAATCATGGATCCCTCTCTGCAATAATAGGTCTCTCTCTTTCTATAAAGAAATCATGAGTCTTTACATGAGTCACAATCCAGTCTTCTATTTTTATATACAGATTAAATATCCTTTATTTGAAATGCTTAGGACCAGAAGTGTTTCAGATATTGAGATTTTTTCGATTTTGAAATATTTGCAGACATACATACCAGTTGAACATTCCCTAATGCAAAAATTCAAAATTTGAAGTGCTCCAATGAGAATTTTCCTTAAGCATCATGGCAGTGCCAAATGTTCCAGATTTTGGAGCTTTGTGGATTTCAGATTTTCAGATTAGACATGCTTAATCTGTATTATGTATATACAGGTGTGTGTGTGTGTGTGTGTGTGTGTGTGTGTGTGTATGTGTGAATTCTTTTCCACATTATTAAAATATGGTTCAAAAATGCCCATTAAAGATGAAGAAACCAAGTTTGGAGAAACTAAGCCATATATCCATGGTAGTAGAATAAGAAAGTCCATGATCTATGACTCTTCTAATCTGATACTTTATCCTGTAAATCCAGGCTTCCTCAGTGTTTGCTTCCTTTAGCCAGGACAGGCCTTGCTTTCTTTAAACCTATCAGCTGCTCTCTCTCTATCGGCTCTCACCATCCCTACTTGACAGGATGAGGATAAAGGATGTTTGCAGACACTGACTGCATCAGGCTGGGCAGCAGCCTCAAGGGTGTTTTGCAGACAACAGATTCAGCCTCCATCTTGGACCTGTCAAGATCCTTTCAAGGTTAGGGGCCAAATGGAGCTCAAAGCCACACAGGTCTTAACATGCATTCAAGTGAAGTAGATTCCTGCCCAGTTGTTCATTCAGACAAAGAAAGAGGTGCCACAGGGTGGCAGGAGAGAGAGAGCAGGGGGAAGTGCTACACTTTTCAACAATCAGATCTAGTGAGAACTCACTATCAGGAGAACAGCATGGGGGAAATCCACTCCCATGATCCAATCCCCTGCCACCAGGTCTGTCTTAATCTGTTCACATGTTGTTAATAAAGACATACCTGAAACTAGGTAATTAATAAAGAAAAAGAGGTTTAATGGACTCACAGTTCCACGTGGCTAGGGAGGCCTGACAATCATGGTGGAAGGCAAAAGAGAAGCAAATTCACATCCTACGTGGCAGCAGGCAAGGGAGAGAGCATGTGCAGGGGAACTCCCCTTTATAAAACCATCAGATCTCGCAAGACTTATTCACTATCATGAGAACAGCATGGAAAAGACCCACCCCCATGATTCAAGTACCTCCCACTGGGTCCCTCCCAAAACACATGGGAATTGTGGGAGCTACAATTTGAGATTTGGGTGGGAACACAGCCAAGCCATATCAAGGACGTGCCCTTGTCATGTGGGGATTACAATTCCAGATGAGATTTGGTTGGGGACACCGAGCCAAACCATATCAGATATAAAGTAGGGATACACAATATGTCACATACTGTCTTTCCCCTCAAGATATCTAAAGGACAGAAATTAATTTTCCATTAAAAAAAAAAAAAAAGCCAGGCATGGTGGCTCATGCCTGTAATCCCAGCACTTTGGGAGGCCGAGGCGGG
This sequence comes from Homo sapiens, assembly GCF_000001405.40. Classification (NCBI taxonomy): domain Eukaryota; kingdom Metazoa; phylum Chordata; class Mammalia; order Primates; family Hominidae; genus Homo; species Homo sapiens. The sequence continues at coordinate 7,111,085 of NC_000002.12, read as the reverse complement.
CAGATCACGAGGTCAGGAGATTGACACCATCCTGGCCAACATGGTGAAACCCCATCCCTACTAAAAATACACAAAATTAGCTGGGTGGGGTGGCACGTGCCTGTAATCCCAGCTACTAGGGAGGGCAAGGTAGGAGAATCGCTTGAACCCAGGAGGCGGAGGTTGCAGTGAGCCGAGATCACACCACTGCACTCCAGCCTGGGCAATAGAGCGAGACTCCCTCTCAAAGCAAAACAAACAAGCAAAAAAAAAAAAAAAAAAAAAAAAAACGTTTTAGACACTAAAACATTAGAGCTCAGAAGAGGAAAAAATCACTTTAAGCTCATCAGAAAAGGCCTCCTGGAGACAGGAGCATTTAATCTGTGTGATAATGAATTGGCAATTTTGATCGTATTCCAACATTCCCATTGTGAAATGCCTCATCCTTTCCCCATGCCCTTCCTTACTGGCTGGCCTGGCGACCTCCTTTGTATTCCACAAGGCCCCCTACCGATATTATTCTAAGACCCTAGCACTATTGCATACAGTTCTGTTTCCTCTCTGAGCTCTGAACCCCTTCAGGGTTTGGGATTTCTCTAAACCAAAGACTAAAGAGAGTGCTTGGCACTTATTTGTATCTATAAAAATTATGCACCATGAAAGGAAATGGCAATGTCTGATCTGGCTCTTTAGTTAAGCTCCTATCAAGGTCTCTGTGCTGTTGAACTGGACCATCGGAATTCCAGAGGGGAGTAAAGCCATTTTCACAAAGAGGTGTTTCCACATGGTTCAGTGGGGCCTGCTGTGTGCTGGGCCTGACTTCGGACTTAGTAGTGGCTGCACAGACTCGCGGACCATTTCCAGGCCTCTGGGTGGCCAAGCTGGGCCAGTAAAACGCAGTGCAATCAATGGCTAATGCAATAGCTGTTTGTGATCAGTCATTTCAAAGAATGTTTCTGAAATTAAAATCCAAAGTAAATGAAAATGAAGGTGTTTTTCCTCTTAATTCAAGACCAACCTTTCTCAAGGGACTCCTAAATCCTCTGGAAGCTGGGAGCCGGAATGCCAATCTTAAGATATATCCTGGGGGATTCAATCCGCTCTTAGATGAAAAAGGCAGGTCTTCAAGACTGAAAGTCCCAGCCACAGGGGCTCACATCATAGGCCCGAGAATCGTAACCCAGGATGGAAGAGTTGAGATTGTCTTTGGGAGCATTTTTCCTGATGTTGGGGAAGAGGAGAGTTTATTTTTCCACTCCCATTCACACCAGCTGCCACGGAGCAGCAAAAAAGCCCCTCCAGTGCAGCACTGCGGCCATAGACCACTGAGCCGGCCCCAGCTGCAGATGGACGCAGCAGCTGGTCCAGAGAGGTGCTGCGGCTGACTCCCCCCAACACACACACACACACATGCACACAAATGCACACACACACAGGCTTGGGGCTCAGGGAAGCAGCTCACTGCCTCCTTCGCCTCCCTCCCCAGATTTATGAAGCAGGAAGCAGCCAGCCAGAAAAGCAAAACAGAAGGGACCCAACTGCTCCTGTGTTTATTTTTCTTAAAGCCAACATACACCTAACTATTCCTTAGCTACTAAACAATATAACTACCTGCCACCTACCGCCCTGTCGGGAAGCTGACTCTCCTGAACCTGTCACCTGGACACAAAGGATAGTGCTATGTGCAATGCCATCATGAACATCCAGTCCTCAGAGGGCCCCGCCACCGTGGTCTGTGTGAAAGCAGGGCTGGGAGGTGGCAGTGGCATGTGTGGGTGCCTGCTCTGAGCCAGCCTCCTCACGGGAACTTCCACGTTTAATCCTCAAGTGCTGTCTGGGAGCCGGAGGGGAAGGAGGGTTGAGCATTCTGCTCCGACAGACACAGCCTTGGTGTGCCCCTCAGCAGGGGTACGGGGCTGTTTTAAGAGATAGCTGTGATCCCCCAGACCTTCCTTATAGCTTTCTAGGTGAATCATTTAATCACTGGTGTTTCCACTCTCATTAACTGATACTCGGATGTTCTTTGTGGTCTCACATGATATCCTGTATAGAGCTCAAAAACTCAAATTGGACCTCAAATGAAACACCAGTTTCTCATTTTACATGTGAGAAAATTAAGGCCTTGAGAGTCCAACCACACAGCTTGCCCAAGCTCACACAATTACTTTGACAGAGAGCAGAAAGTAGAACTCAACCTTTTCATAAACACCCGTAGTCTTTATGCAAATTTTTCTCTTGAAGGCAACCCAGTAGCACCACCTCTACTTCAAAAGAAAATTAATGATGTGTCGAATATGTAGCGTAAGTTCTCAAGTTCCGCAATGTGGTCCTATGAGCCAAAAGTGAAGATTTTTAAAACTTTTCTAGGTCAGCTATTCATGGATGGAATAAAGATGCATTGATCACAGTAAATATACAGACTCTAATTTTTTTAAGTATAAAGGAATTTTACAGAACCTGAGACTTTAAAATTACTGTATAAATATCTGGATTTGGGAGAATAAAAATGGAGTGTTAGGGGGAAACAAGGATTATTGGCGTATTTCAGGGTGGGGGAGACTTGATGACCGCCAACGCATCAGTTACCTGGGTGGAGTCTAACCAGACAAGAGGAAGGCCCCACCCACATGCCAGAACAGAGCTTTAGGCCGCTCTTCTGCATCCCAGCTCTCTTTGTGTGGCTCATTCCACTAATGCTGTTTTAGGGGCCTGGACTTAGTTCCTTACATGATTCTTCCTCTCTTTTCAAATAAGGAGGCTGAAGTGAAGTGTAGTTGCCAGAGTTCCACTGTCACAGATGGAAGGGGAGGTCTCTCCCGCTAAAGCAAAACTGTGCAAAAGGCTGATATCCCAGAAGGGAAAAATAACTAATCAACCCACATTTTCTTATCCATGAAATAAATGTATAAATGTATGATAACATCTACTACACAGAATCATGGACTTTTATAGGAATGCACAAGTACAGAGCACTAGGCCAGAGGTATGGATTTTCACACAGAATGGGTCTGAAACACATCTCAGGACCAAAGAACACAGCCAGTCATCTACTATTCAGGTAGAAAGAGCTGAGCTGTCAGGTGAGTGGTTGGACTCATTGCCTGCATCATGGCCTGCAGCAGGGGTTCTGTGTCCATCTGATGGGGTTAAGATGGACAGCGATTTTTACTTAGGTCAGTTTGCGATAAAATGGGTTTCCCTCAATGACACGGGATTGGAGTCATCCATTTACTTGGTCCTCTCACTCACTGGATTACAACTTTCTTAACTAGAGGTTAGCTAGCTCATCCTCATGTCTCACTGCATCCAGCACAAGTTGCAGCATGGAGTATGCCCTTGCCAATGGCAGTTGAATAAATGGATGTTTGACATTGTACATGTTATGTCCTCTCTATCTCTCAAGTTTAAGGAATTTTTTATTGTTAGGTGTTAAAGATCTCAAAGTAATCCTCTATGGCCAAACCAAGCTTTTGAAAGATAAGCACCTTGGCTGCTTCAGAATGGAGTAAACTTGGCTTCTCCACTGTGGCACACTGTTGTTTGTTCTAAGAACTGGAACTCTGGCTCTTGAAAGTCACTGCATGTTGATATGATCAGGAGATGAAAAGACAATCCTGTTGTCAAGGTCTGAGCCCAAAGTTTCCGACCTATTCTCTGGGGCATGGCGTTGTCCTTGATATGCTTAGAAGCTCCTAGACTCTAATGCACAGTCTAGATTAAGGACCAATGGACAAGAGAGCGACATGGTCCTCATTTGAAGAATAGGCTACCTCACCCAATCCATTTGCTTCTGGACACACTGACAGCAATAAATTGAACTTCCTGCTTATGACATAACACTGTTGTAGAAAGAATGTGGCTGTTACCAGTCATGGAGATATAAATTGAATTTTTGATTAGGTGCTCAAAAATATTTTTTAAACTCATCAAAGGAAGGATGGCTTCCAGCCATCATGTGTCCCTCAGCACACTCTGCACATAGTAGGAGAACATGAATGGTTTATAGAATTAAAATGAAACAAGATCAAAGAATCATGACTTCTGAAATTTTTCTCCTAGACTTCCTGTAAAATCTCTGACATTCACCTGTACATGGAGTAAGCCACGTTCACAGCCAACAGCTGCAGCATCTCTAGGACAACCTCGCAGGTGTTGCATAGATCATTTTATTTTAAAGTCATATTCTACAGCCTGGTAGTTTGTGGTTGCTGGTGGTGGTTGCAATTTGGCTACAAGACTCCTTCTAATGCCTGGCTCGTGCAAAGTCAGGGTCCACCATTCTGAGAGGATCAGGCAAGCAACCATGAAAGTTCACTGTTTTTCTCAGCATCCTAGGGCAGGCTGTCTATTCTATTGGCAAAAGGAAGATCAGAGCAACCATAAACCGTCACTAGACTAACTCCACTGTGAATGCTTTTACGTGTCCAAATGGGACATTCCACAATGATGGAAGTAAGTACATTCCCCACATCCCTACCCACATCAACAATGATAATAATCTTGCGTAGACAGGACTAGTATAAAGATAGGGCAAGCCAAGGGATCTCAGCTGGATGCTCTGCCGCCTCCAGGGTGCTTTAGGGCTTCTTTGGGGGATGCCCACACTTTGCTTACAGGGTCATTTATTCTCCCACTAGCCTCAGACACCAGCTTTATATGCAGAGAGGAGCACCTGTTTTTAAAGGCAAATGACTTTGTGATCATTAACCAATATCTAATAAAGTAAAACCTTTAAACAGGCTGAAGAGAACAGATGTTTCCATCGCTTAATGAAAAAGAATTATGCACCATCATACAACAGAAGCTGACCCCGCTCAGTCACATGCATTACAAAACAGCCCCTCATCCTCACTAGGTGTTTGGATAAGTTCCATGAGAACCATTGCTGCTTGCCCTATGTCAAATCAGGTGCACGCACAAATAAATATCACACATTCGCAGACACACATCTGCTTCTGTGTGTGCAAACACATTCACACAGCACCGGGCTGCCCGTGGGCAACGTTTGAACAAACACAGCTACCGTAAGTGACCTTCGGAAAGGAAGTAACCCATTGCTCACCTCCAAAAGCCTAGATCAATATAGGACACTCAGGCCCAGTGACGGAGTAAAAGAACCCACGTTATGAAAGTAATCACATCTAGGTTCCACCTCTTAGGAGCTGCACGAACCTGGCCACATCTTTTATCTTGAGAGTCCATTTCCTCATCTGTAATATCTAAGTGAGGTGGTTTTAATGATTAAATATACCTAAAAAATGCAATTTGCAGATTGCTGTGATGGCAAATTACTGTTTTTTGTTTGTTTGTTTGTTTGTTTGTTTTGAGACACAGTTTCACTCTGTCATCCAGGCTGGAATGCAGTGGCATGACCTTGGCTCATTGCAACCTCTGCCTCCCGGGTTCAAGCAATTCTCATACTTCAGCCTCCCGAGTAGCTGGGATTACAGGTGCGTGCCACCACACCTGGCAAATTTTTGTATTATTAGTAGAAACAGGGTTTTGCCATGTTGCCCAGGCTGGTCTCAAACTCCTGACCTCAAGTGGTCCACTTGCCTTGGCCTCCCAGAGCATGGGGATTACAGGTACAAATTACTATTTTTTAAAGCAAGTAAGCCCTAATAAAATTTTTAAAAGACCAAGAATTTTGTCCCCTTTTGTGACCCCCTACTTCCTCTGATCCCATTGCCTCTGGTCTCCCTGCACTGAGGACCTCTCATGAATCAGAACCCCAGTTCCTGATTAATCACCTGGAGATGTCCCTTCCTGGCCTTGAGAGCTCCTGCCCAGGGGTGGAGGTGCACACAGTCTGAAGCCATGTCAGAGCCTCTTATTGTCTTTTCATATGGTGTTGTGGACAGCTCAGTTGCTCCAAACTGGACACGGCTTCCAGCAGGGTCCTCCTCCCACCACACAGGCAGCTCCTCTAGTGGGTCTTGGCTCCTTCCCCCACTCAGATTTGTGTGTCTGTATTAGTCCATTCTCTCACTGCTGTAAATAACTGAGACTTGGTAATTATAAAGGAAAGAAGTTTAATTGACTCACAGTTCTGCATGGCTGGAGAGGCCTCAGGAAACTTACAATCATGGTGGAAGGCTAAGCAGAAGCAGGCACCTTCTTCACAAGGCAGCAGGAAAGAGAAGTGCTGAGCGAAGAGGGAAGAACCCCTTATAAAACCATCAGATCTTGTAAGAACTCACTCACTATCATGAAAACAGCAAAGGGGAAATCCGCCTTCCTGATCCAATCAGCTTCCTCCCTCAACACATGGGGATGACAATTCAAGATGATATTTGGATGGGGACACAGAGCCACACCATATCAGTGGCCTTCTGGCCTCAGTCCACACTGCTCATGAGGCAGTTCATTTTCCAGGAACCCCTGCCCCACCCCAGCACAGTGCTTGAGCTCTCAATGGAAACCAGGGTTAGATATATACACCTGAGATCAGGCAATTTCTCTAGGCTGCTTCCTCATCTGCCACTTCAGACAACTCCCTTCAGCTCACCTTGCTTCCCTGCCCACTGGGTCCCAGTCCTTCCAACTACTGACAGCTTAAAACAATCCACCTGACTGTCTAAGCTGGCTTCTCTGAAATGTGCTGACTTGGTCCCTTCGCTTGACTGGACACATTGTAGCTGGGAGCAAGTGTCACCCTTACTGGACCCCTGCTCCAGATAAAGAGCTTCCAAGGCCCAGCAATGCACGGAAGCCAGCTAAACAACTTACTCTTAGATAATATTACATATTATGGGGCTGTGTTCTGTTCATGTGTGTTCATGTACCTGCACACATTTGAGTGTTTGAATGAAATTAAGGCAGCCCAACTCTCTCCTAATTACTCCTCCAAAATTCTACTATTCCAGTTGGTTGTTGTCAGCATCATACACACCCTCTTTTGTTCTAATGCTCAATCCTGTGTTTTGTTTCTTATGACGGAACATCTAAGGGAATGTGGTAATATTTCTAAAACACCCAAAATGTGCCAAGAGCTTGGTCAGGTTCTTTTCAAACCTGGTATTCTGCACTGGTAATAAACACTAACATTGCTTGAACGCTTACTATGCACATTCAGTTTCAAACATTTTTACATGCACGATATTACTTAACACCACACAAACACCAGAAAATGGAAGCTTGGACAGGGCCTGTTTTGGTCAAAGCACCCAAGTCAGCCACCAGGACTGAAGTCACACCAGGACTGAAAGGCCCTAGCTTGTCTATAACATCACTTCTGGCCCCTAGTTGGCTAAAGAAGGGCACACAGGTAATTTTTGTCCCACAATTTGGATGGCCCAGGAGACCTTTTAAGTGCATATTTTCCTGGGAAGTAGCTAGCTTGACAGTGACTTCCGAAGCTCCAGAGCTAACGAAAACCACAAGCAATCCCTCCTTGCAAAGTAAGTTATGTGCTGTGTGCAGTCCCACTCTCCTGGAATCCTGGGCAGAAGCCATCTTCTTGGCCTCACTTGAGAGATAACAAATCTTGGAACCTAACCTAGATTATTGTATCTATGGACACATATTTTTAGCTAAGATATAACACTGGAAATTTGAAATGCAATATTCTATAAAGGAGTGGCGCTAACATTTTGGCCTCTCCGTACCTACTTTCCCCTCCAGGAACAGCATCCAGGAACCAATTCAGCTCCAAAACTTCCAGCCCCGCATAGTTGTCTCTCTGCAGAAATGGCATCTGATCTTAGACTAGAGGCAGAAATTGAGGCACTAAATTCTCTCTCTTTTCATCCCTTTGTCTCTCTCTGACACACACACACACACACACACTCACTCATGCATACACACTCACACACACACATTCACAAGGCCAGGCCCATTATGAAATAAAGAGAGAAGAAACCAAGACTTTATAATCCTTGAAGCCCTCTCTGGGACCCAAATGATCTACTGAACTTGAAAAAAAATAAAAGCAGCTTCCAGGGCCCTCGGCATCTCTGCAGAGCATCTGCAAACATAACATCATTTGAATCTTATGGCAATTCTGCGAGGGAACTCCTAGAGCAGTGAGGCTCTCATCTGTCAGACGAGGAAGCATGCGCAGAGAGGGTGCCAGAGTGGCTCCCTCTAGCAAAACTAGGATGACAGCCTAACCTTCCAGCCCCATGATCTTGTCTACTCAAGTACTCATAGATCAAAGTAAGACACTAACAGTGTTTGCAGTGGTAATGTAAATATAGAAACAACAGCAGGAGAAGCCTTCTTAGAAGGCATGTCAACAATAGAAATAGAAGCAAAAGAGCAAAAGTAGAATTACTGCAGAACAATAACAGAAGCAGAAATAGAAATAGGAATAAAAATAGCGTAAGAACTAGCAGCAGCATGAGGGGCAGAAACAATTAAAATAATGTGAGCGACAGTCGGAGCAGTGTGGGTAGAAGTATTTACATGCATAACTCCCAAAGAGATAGAGAAACCATTAGGAAAGTGTGCTTCACACTACCCCTTCATGAACATAGCCATTATGTTGGCTAACAGAGAATGAGTGTAAGAATAATGACAACAATTAAAAACAGTGCATTTTATTAGCATCTACTATGGACCTGGTGTTTTACAAGCATTATTCTTAAACTTCATCTTGATTCTACAACATAAGAATCATTATCCCAGCCGGGCGCGGTGGCTCATGCCTGTAATCCCAGCACTTTGGAAGGTCGAGGCAGGCAGGTCACTTGAGGTCAGGAGTTTGAGACGAGCCTGGCCAACATGATGAAACCCTGTCTCTACTAAAAATATAAAAATTAGCAGGGCGTGGTGGTGCGCACCTGTAATCCCAACTACTCAGGAGGCTGAGAGAGGAGACTCCCTTGAACCTGGGAGGCAGAGGTTGTAGGGAGTTGAGATTGCACCATTGCCCTCCAGTCTGGATGACAAGAGTGAAACTCACTCTAAAAAAAAAAAAAAAAAAAAAAAAGGATCATTATCCCATTTTCCAGATAAGTACATGGAAGCTCAGCTAATGCAATAACTCCTGGAAGCCAACTCTTCACAGGTGGGAGAGCCAGGGTTTCCATTAAGCCAGACCACACCTAAGCTTTACGCTCCAAATACCTTGAATGAACATTTACAGACAAAAATTAAAGATAGCATACGGATAAATAGAAAAACACCAGTGGTGGAATAATAATTTACCACTCTGGTTTCATAAAAAATAGAAATAGACAAAAAAATATGTCTCAATATAGAAGACGTAAGTTACATAATTACTAGGGTGAATATAATTAACGTATGTCTAATTCTTCATCATGAAAACAGAAAATGTACATATTCAGGTGTTCATGCCACAATTTAAAAAACTGACCTTTTATTAGGCCATAAGAAAAACCTCACTAAATAACCAAAGAGTAGCAATGCTATCTACAGTACTTTGAAAAATTTTCAAAAACAAAATTAGCAAGTAAAATTAATTTGAAAAGATTTTCATGAGGAAATTTAAGGCTCTTCCATTAACACCACTTTGGTCAAAGAGTAAATCAAAGTCTCAATACTTACATGCAAAACATTAAGTGATTAGCAAGTATAAATGGCAATAGGTTTTTTTATTCAACTCAATAAATTAGAAAGCTAAAAAAATAAAATTAAGGAAAGCAGAACAAAATAATTAACAAAGATAAAGGCAGAAATTAATTGATAAGGAACAAAAAACTGTAGGACTAAATAAATCCAAGGGTTGCTTTTAGAATATTATATAACAGCAATAGCAAAAATGATGAACTATTAAGATTATCTAACAATAAAGAAGTAACCACTGAAGTAAGGGGAAAGGAAAAGAAAGATCAAATCATAAATTTTCCAGAATTTAAAGATCTGGAAAAGATAAAACTGTACATTACCCAAACTGACCCTATTAAAGAGAAAATATTCCAAATAGACCAGTTAATATGGAACAGATGAAGCTCTCAGAGAACTAACATTCCTCCTGACAAAAGAGCACCAAGCCCTGTATGTTTAACAGATTTCTAACAAATCTTTGAGAAACAGATTACTTGAATATTAAATGTTTCTGTGAACAGGAGACATAAAAGGAGGAGGAGGAGGAGACAGGAGGAAGAGGGAGAAGGGAGAAGGGGAGGAAAAGTTCCAAATGCTTTTGTAAAGCTAGCAACACATAAAACTGAAACCCAATGAAGAGGCAAGAAGAAGAAATCTGTGGGTCACCTGCACTTTTAAATAATTATATTAAATTTCTTGATATATATTAGCAAATACAATCCAATCCCATCCAAAGACAACCACCATAGGCAGGTGGAGTTCCTCCCAGAAATGCAAGGTGATTTGATATTAGAAAACCTACCAATACAATTTACCATTTGAGTGGACACAAAGGTAAATCTGTGTAATCCTTCTGTAAGAGCAGGAAAACTCTTTGATAAAATCACAGATCTATTCTTGATTTAAAACTCTTACTGCAATAGAGATGGACAAGAGTGTACATTTTTTTTTCTATTCACAAACTTTTAATTTTAGACCTTTCTTAGACTGGAAAAAAAGATCTCCCAGAGGAAAATCTCACCTACTTGCTGGGCAGTGCAGGCAATAGTGACAGTCAGCCACCATGCTGCTCTTCATCCAAGGTATACATGTGACATGGTGCTTAGATTTGCAGCTTTCACAAATATATTAACCTTTTGTTTAATAAGGCATAAGCAGGTGAAAGATTTGAAATTGTTAATAGGAAAATGGTTATAATTATTATGGAGATGAAAGAAGAGGTAACTTAAAATGAAATTGGGAGAAAATAGGCAACATTTTGCATGCAGATAGGATAAATCTCTCAAAATCATCAGGCATGATTCTGGAGGACAAAGAATGAATAACCCATATGTGAAAAATACATAAGCAATGGATAATAATCAGGCAGAGATGAAGAAAAGTTAGTAGTCCCATTTTTAAATGTACTAGCCTGCTGTGATTTCAGAAGAAAGCTAGGAATGTTTCCAGAATTCAAAGGCCACAGATGATTTCATGGGCCTAGTACCCTTTTAAGTTCAGTATGACTGAGGTATAAAGTGGGCAAGAATTCACCTACTGTATTAGTCCGATTTCACGCTACTATAAAGAAATACCCCAAACTGCGTAATTTATAAACAAAGGAGGTTTAATTGACTCACAGTTCTGCATGGCTGGGGAGGCCTCAGGAAACTTACAGTCATGGTGGAAGGCAAAGGGGAAGCAAGAACGTTTCTCACATGGTGGCAGGAGAGAGAAGAGTGAGTGAAGGAGGAACTTGCCAAACACTTATAAACAATCAGATCCCCTGAGAACTCACTCACTATCATGAGAACAGCATAGGGGAAACCACCCCCATGATCCAATCACCTCCCACCAGGTTCCTCCCTCAGCACCTGGGGATTACAATTCAAGAGGAGATTTGGGTGGGGACAAAAAGCCTAACCATATCACCTATATGGTAGCTAGTAAAAACCTCACAGCAATGCTCATCGAGGAAATAGATTTTCAAGGTAAGTAAAATGGTCCTATATGGAAAATAAAGCCCAAGGGCATATATTTTATGTATATTCTTTTTAAAGCTTTAAAATGAAATCATCTTCCTATTTGGTGGAAATATATCTAGGGAATACAAACTTAATAAATAAATGGGCTTACATTTTATCAAACCGCAGGGCTCTATATTAGCAACTTTAGAGAAGAAAGTAAGTCTTGTTCAGCTCTGACTCTCTTACCCTGTTTCTTGCCCAGTGCTTCACATAGCAGCAGGTTACAGAAGAGTTCTGTGAACCGTCCGAAGAATTAAGTCACCCACTTATTAACAGCTGCATCTACAGAGCTCTCTATGGTTGCAGAATACTTTTTCCATCGCTATCTCCATCTGGCCTACAGGAGAGCCTTGTGAGAGGGCATAGAAAGGTGACAGTCCTGCTTTAATAATAAGAAACGTGGACAAAGGCATGAAGTGAATCACCCAAGACCACCCGGCTGGTTAATGGCACAGACCCAGAAGCAAAACCTAAGGTCTTCTCACTTTTTCCTTCCAATTTCCAGTTGACTACAAGACTGCACACTGCCCCTTGATCCCAACCTAGTGGCTGGGCCAAGCCCCTCAGCGTGAGAATGGTCTGGAATCACTCATGTTGCTGGGCCAGAAATTTTTTACTTGTGATAAGACTTTGCTTTGCAGTGCAAAAGTCTCACCCTTAAGATAAATAACCAAATATCTCTGACACCTTTTACTGAATAGCATCTGGCATTTGATAAGTGCCAGATTAAGTGTCTTTGCTGAAGTGTATGCGACCTGTACATGTAACAAAATTGCACCTGTACTCCACAGATGTAAATTTTTAAGAAATTAATGGAAAAAATAAAAAATGAGTTCTCTCAACACAAAGAAATGATAAATGTTGGAGACGATGGATAAGCTAATTAACCTTGTCTGATCCCTACACATTATATGTATTGAAACATCACTATGTATCCTGTGAATATTTACAATTATTTATCCATTAAAAAATAAAATTAGAATAAAAAGAGAAACAAAACAAAGACTAAAAAATAGAGGTCTTCTTGTTATCCAAGTGTGGATTGGCGATCAGGTTAGATATTAAGACAGTATACTAATCATAAGAAATACTAAGCCCAACTTTGTTTTTCAATTAATGGCATCCTTAATGAATTTGTGTTATTATCCATATTTTATGGGTGTGGAGCACATAACTTGAGCAAGAAACTCCACCTGAACCTACAGGTCAGCGAGGTAGAAGTTGCCCAAGGTCTCATAGGCATTAAATGTCAAAGGCAATGAGAACAGAAATCCTAGCTCAAATAGCCCATCCAAGGATTAAATGGTATAAATTACTAAAAACACTTTTCTAGGAGAAATTTCGATACTTGCTTTATTTTTCTCTTATTCTCATCATCCTGGAGGATAGGGCAAAGATAAAAACGTTCCTGGTGAGGCCCTTGAGAATCAGTGTGGCTGAGTGGCACGCCTGGGCTGCATGCAGATGACTGGCAGAACAGGGGCCAGAACCACCTGCTAGGAGGATGTGCCTTTGGGGGCTCCTTCTCTTTCTACTATGAAGAAAGGAGTCTATAAGGAGAAATTGTCTGAGTTAAAGCAAATCTCCTGTCCTTAAGAACAAATGCAGACTCTTGAGTCCTGCATTTAAGGACTCCCAAGATGAAGGCTGAAGCTGATGTGATGGGGGCCTCTTGAATCGGGTGAGTCCATCTGGGATGTAGGAAGAAATAGACCAGAGTGCATGGGATGGGGAGCTAGGGGGTGCTTCTCCACACCCCAGGGCAGCCTGTGGCCCCTCCCACTGGCTGTGATGCCTGCTGGGCCCAGGGCAGGACAAGTGGCTCCAGAGCTCTGGTGGAGGACGGTGGGGCACATAAGGCCAGCTGGGCTGGCTGTAGCCACGTGGTCTTTCTGAAACTGCACACCTGCTTTCTCTGTCTAAGCTGCCCTGTCTAATTCTGGTTAATCTCACGGTGGAGAGAGGGAGGGAGAAAATCACAAGTTGAAGAAGGCTGAGTAGGCATAGGGTGGAAGAGCTCAAGGCAGACACAAAAATCCATCACTCACACGCAAAACAAAAAGACCCAAACCAAAACAAACAACAAACAAAATGGTAACAAAAGACAGCAAAGCACGCGCACCTAGAAACTGGTTAAACGCGGTGCTCGCGCGCCACCTGCTGACCGAATCGTGGCGCTGCATGCTGGCCGTCCCTTCCTGCCCCTTAGCCTCGGCGTCCTGCGCACTTCAGCATCCCCAACCAATCTGGCGGCACTCAGGATCCTCCAAGTCCAATCCAGTTGCCAGAAAGTCTTTCTAAATCATAGAAATTTAAATTTCACTCCCAATTTTAAATCTGCCAGTGGTCTCCATTTCATATAGGGGCCAGTTCAAATTCCTTAAGCATGGCTCACAAGGACATCAAACTGTTAGGTCAGTAGCTGGTCAGGCAGAGCAGGACAGAGAGGGCCCCCACCCCACCATGAGGGGCGGGCGACCATCAGGTGGTGGTCAGGCGGTTGGTTAGCTGTCTCTCTAAAATAATAATTGTTTGCAGCCGGCGCCAGGGAACGGCATCTCCCAATAGATAGAAACACCTGAAGCCCGCAGCTTTCAGATAGATCTCCTCCGGCGTGAGGTGAGTGGGCTCAACACATGCGCACTAAGAGGCAAAATGGCAGAGTGTGAGTGGCATATGACCTCCTAGGGACATTCGGCTGGTAAGGGAAGAACGCCTCAAGGGAGCATGGGTACGACTCCAGTAAACACACTGCGCATGCGCCCCTCCCAAGCGCCAGCAGCCCACCATGCATGCGTGCAGTCCACCCCAAGGGGAGAATCAGGGGAGAAGGGACGCAAGACCCCGGAGGCATGCCAACATATAAAACCCCAAGTCAAAGGGTCAAACCCTGCACTAGTCCTTCAAGTCTCCTGCTTGGCCCTCTTCCAAGTGTACTTTCCTTCTTTTCATTCCTGCTCTAAAGCTTTTTAAGAAACCTCCACTCCTGCTCAGAAACTTGCCTCAGTCTCTCCCTTGCCTAATGCTCCTCAGATGAGTTCTTTCTTCCGAGGAGGCAAGGAATGAGGTTGCTGCAGACTGGTCCGGAGTTGCTGCTGCTAACATACTTTGGTGCCCTGTGACTCAGAGACCTTCCGCTGCTAACAAAACCTGGCCCCAGTCTGTGCCTCCTAAATGGCTTACCCCAGGGTCCTTTTGCTAAACCACCATGCCTCTCTCTAGGGTCGGTTCAAAGCCACCTCCCTCCTTCTCCTTGGAGGAAAGCTTGTCCTCCCCGGCCTTTTCCAGCCCTGTGCCCCATTCTGGGGACTCCATGCCTAGTACCTGGCCCCTTTCCTGCCTCATCATCCTGCTAATCTCTGAGATCCTACAGGGAAGTATCTTATTTATTCCTCAGAACAGGGAACACAGTGCCTGAAACATCAGAAGCTTCCCATCCAATGTCTCAATATTTGCTAAGTAAATGCTGAGGCTTTTACCAGCTAAAAATTCAAAGGTTTTCAATCGTTGGATGTCTTTCACGGGAAAAAGTGATGGTGAAGAGCCAGGATCTGCCGCTCACTTAAAATTCACCACGTGGGCCGGGCACGGTGGCTCACGCCTGTAATCCCGGCACTTTGGGAGGCTGAGATGGGTGGATCACTTGAGGTCAGGCGGTCAAGACATGCCTGGCAAACATGGTGAAACCCTGTCTCTACTAAAAATACAAAAATTAGCTGGGCATGGTGGCACATGCCTGTGATCCCAGCTACTCAGGTGGCTGAGGCGGGAGAATCACTTGGACTCAGGAGGCGGAGGTTGCAGTGAGACAAGATCGTGCCACTGCACTCCAGCCTGGGTGACAGAGCAACACTTTGTCTCAAAAAAAAAAAAATTACCACTTGGACTTAGGAGACGCTTCCTCCTGAGCCCTGTGTATGAGGTGACCAGCTGCCCCCAGATATTCTACTGCCCCGTCTGGGGAATCTACTGACCGGCACAGAAGAGGCACCAAACACCTGCTCATACCCGGGAAGGATAAGGCAGCATGAAGCGAAGTTCTATTTGACAGGCCCTGCCACCCCCAGGACAGCCTTAATAGTGTGTGTCCCTGAGCAATGTTTCCCCCCCAGCCTCCTCTCCCTGCAGCAGGGCCCTGCCCTCCCTCCTCACAGGGTTTCTTTGCTCATTGAGCTTGTCTCCTCTTTGCCCCACCCAAATGCACTCATCTCCATCCATGAAACTAAATGCTTTCACATGGAAAAATTCAGATAGGTCTCAAAGTATAAACTAATCTTCCCAGAGCTATGTTGCCAACCCAGGTGTCTCCCCTGAAGCCTAGAATCTGAGTCAACTGGTCACTTTTCCACTTGGATATTCTGCAGCACCTTGAACTCCCTGGGGCAAACCTACACTTGCCAGTTTCCTGCTCCCTTAAAATACGCTCCATCTTCTGAGTCCTGCACACCAAGTGGAGGCCCCACCATCGTCCAGGTGCCCAGGACAGAAATGTGGGATTCATCATCAGTTAGTCACTATGTCCCACTGATTCTGCCTTCTAAGTGTATCCTGAAAGAACACACTTCCTTCCGTCACACAACCCCCTACTCAGGCCACTGGTATCTGCTCTGGATTATTGCTCAGCATCTATGTTAGTGTCACCGGCAGCGAATCCGTATCTTACGGGTCTGCAGCAACCTCAATTCTTGCCTCCTCAGAAGAAAGAATTCAACTGAGGGGCATAAGGCAGAAGGAGAGAACAAGGCAAGTTTTAGAGCAGGAGTGAAAGTTGATTAAAAAGCTTTAGAGCAGGAACACAAGGAAGGAAAGTACACTTGGAAGAGGCCCAAGCAGGTAACTTGAAGGACAAGTGCAGGGTTTGACCTTTTGACTTGGGCTTGTATATGTTGGCATGCTTCCGGGGTCTTGTGTCCCTTCTCCCGATTCATCCCTTGGGGCGGGCTGTCTGCACGCACAGTGGCCTGCCAGCAGTTGGGAGTGGAGCGTGTGCTATGTGTTTCCTGGAGCTGTATGCATGCTTATTTGAGGCATTCTTTCCTTACCAGACTAGCATTCCTACAGGAAGGTCATACAACAGTTAAACTCCATCACTTTGCCTCTTAATGCACATGCTTGAGCTCACTCGCCCACTTCCTGAGATCTTATTGGGAAGCTGCTGATCACCAGTTTTAGGTGTTTTCTTTTTATTTGGAGACGGCCTTTCCCTGGTGCCAGCTGTGACCAATTATTACTTTAGCGAGACACTTTACAACCGCCTGACCGTCACCTGACCGTCACCAGACACTCCTGGTGTGTGGGTGGGGAGCCCTCCCCTGCCCTGCTCATGCCTGACTAGCTACCTACTGTAACATTAGGACACGGCAGATGCAGTGATCAGAACCCTCAAGCCGCTGAGGTGAGCTTGTTGGACCCCCGTTCCAGAGACAGTGAGAGTTCCAAGCTCTCCCCCACATTTCCCTCCTGCAAATTTCTCTCAGCTGTGGTGGTCCTTCTTTTTCAGATTCACCTTGCGTTTCCCTCCATGCCACTCCAGGCCCTTCACCAGGCTGTGCTGCTGAGCATGTATGCACACACACACACACACGCACACACATACACGGACACACACGCAGGCACACACATGCACACATACACGTAACAACTAGGAAATGGGCACATCGAGGAACACGTCCCCACCGTCGCCTCCTCTCTCCCCTGCTTTCCTGTTTCTGGCTCAGGCCAGTGATTCCTCTCTAGGCCTCCTGGGGTGGGGGTGAAGGAACCAGTCTCAGTACCCAGTTTAAGTGCGCTCAACAAAGAAAAATTATTCCGAAAATCTAATAATGCTCCACAGAGGAGCCTGCCAGGTTTTATCCAGTTCCAAGAAAACAATGAGCATTAACATAAAATACAATTTCCTTGAACAGACACTCTGAATTGCCCACCGTGGGTTCCTATCCATTGTCCACATGCCTGCAGGTGCATAGAAGTTTGTGGAACATTTTACAAGATACTGGCCTCACTCTGCTGCTGCAAGGAGCATCTGCAGGAGCCCATTAGCCTTGGGTGATGCTCCCAGAGCCCATGACACTGTCCTCCCAAGGCTGTCCTCCCAGTCCAAGAAGGATGCCTGCACTCCGTCCTGCTCACTCCTGTCCATTCCTGACCTGACGTGAGACAGAGAACAGAAGGATAAATACAGAGAAGGTTATAAGGACTTCCAGGATCCACACACTATTTGGAATCCATTTCAGAAGTGCAGAACCTGAGATATACATGAAATACTCCTTTCAGCTCAATTAGCTCTACTCTCTCTTTAAAAATGTTTGCTAATGGGGTAGATCCAAAGTATTCACACCACGCAAAAAAGAAAGAAAAGAAAAGGAAGAGAGAGAAAGAGAGAATGAGGGAGGGGAAGGAAGGAAGGAAGGAAGGGGTACCTGTGAGGCTATGGATATGTAAATTAGCTTTTGGTGGTCATTTCACAATATATACAAATATCAAGTTGTACACTTTTAATACATGCAAATGTTATTGGTCAATTATACTTCAATGAAGCTGAAAAAATAAAATGAATTCATATTTAATTGTTGCAAATTTGAAATTTATAGACAGTATGAGAGAAAATACTTCTTATCATCAATGCTATCAGGCAAATACTGTTCCCATTTTATTACATAGATATCCAATATTTTTATATGATGAATATCACATATTTATTACAAAATAAAAAATAAAGGACATATTTTCTTTAAATGTTTCCCCATATCATTACAGTTGTCCATTTTACTTATGAATAATTTTAAAATAAATAAAATTAAAACTGCCCATGTTTTCACCATCTAGACAATGTAACTTTTAATACTTCAGTATATTTTATTCTTTTTCCTTTTTGAGACAGGGTCTCACCCTGTTGCCCATGTTGGAGTGCAGTGGCACAATCTTGGCTCACTGCAGCCTCAACCTCCTGGGCTCAAGCAATCCTCCCACCTCAGCCTCCCAAGTAGCTGGGACCACAGGTGTGTGCCACCACACCTGGATAATTTTTGTACTCTTTTGTAGATACTGAGTTTTACCATGTTGCCCAGGCTGGTCTCAAACTCCTGGGCTCAAGCGATACTCCTGCCTCAGCCTCCCAAAGTGATAACAGGCATGAGCCACCATGCCCAGCCAATATATTTCATTCTTAATATAGTTTGGTTGAAAATAAAACTACATACTATATTTCAAAAATATGCAAGTCAGGATAAAAAAATCAATGTTAGGCATGAACATCATAAGTAAATGGCATGCCTATTCTTGGGGCTGAAACTATGCTTTGAGAGTAGCTTTGCAAACCACAGACACAAAATTTTGCCTTGAAAAATCTCTACCCACAGCTTTTTAAAATCTAAAAGCTGTGAGTGTAGCATCAGTAGGTTGTCAGGACAAAAAGATTTACAATATTTATTAATATACCTGCTGCTTCCTTTGAAAGTAAGCATCTCTAAGCTGAGTATTAATTATAAGGGAAGAGTCTTTCTATTTGGAAGAAAGATCCCAGAAGAGGATCATCTTTCTCACTGGACTGGCCACCATCCCTGTGGACAGAACTCAGGGGTAAGGACAGGAAGAGGGCAGTAGAGTGGGAAGATGGTGGGGAAGCCTCCTGCATCCTCCTCCAGGGTATCCACATGGGTAGGGTGGGGACGAGGATAGCACCTATGGCCTGAGACTGCCCTGAGCATGGACCTGGCAAATAAGCATTTGATAAACACACATCATTGTCATCATTATTTTGTGTTATCACAGAACCAGAAAGGACAAAAGTAACTGGGAAGGGCTGGTGAAGGTTCTCGGGGAGCCCAGGCTGGAGGTGACCTGTGGCCAGCTCCAGGCAGGTGGGGACCCTCCGAAGCAGGTCAGCCCTGAGTAAAACCCCAGCATTTGTCCCCGCAGTACATCGGCCAGCAGTGTGAAGTAATGCTGTCTTTTCTCTTGGGTGGCATCTGCAAAAACTCCCCCCTCTTTGTTAAGGACTGTCCTGAATGCTCCTACTCTCTCCTCGGAAGTTTCCAGCCTCAAAAAGCCATAGAGTCGGGCCTGGAAGCATCTTCCAGCCCTGCTCACGGAAGGTCCACCTTCCTCCTCCTCCAGGGCCTTTGACCCTGCCTGCCTCGCAGACTGGGCCAGGCCAGGCTGACATGGAGTCTGTCCTTGTGAAGCCTGCACCGCACCTTGCCTGGAGCAAAGTCAGCAGACTCCTGTGTGGGACTCAGAGGACTGGGGCCTCATTTATGGTAGGACCACAGGCTATTTAACCCTTCTGAGCCTGCATCTTCTCATTTATAAAATGAGAATAGTGGCCATTGCTACATGACAGAGCAGTTGGGAGCACTAAATAAAATACAGGCTCCCGACACCCAGCCTGGCCTCTGACCCAGGTATGCACTTCCCTCCTTCCTCTTTCACCCTCGGCCCCCAAGAGACCAGCCCAGAGGAGCAGATGCCTGGTCCAAGGGAATGGGGGTCTTCCCTGCATCATCCCCAGGCAGAGCTCAGGGTCCAGCCCAGAGGGAGGCCAAGAGGAAGGAAGCCCCAAGCTCCTTTGTGTCCGCCCCAAGCTCCTTTGTGTCCGCCCCACCTGCCCTTGGGGAAGTGCCCTGCAGACCCTCAGAGACAGAGAGGGCTCCTGCCTCTTTCCAGCATCATCCTAAAACACCCTGCAATATTTCTCTTACCAGGTCAGGGAAAGGGCCACAAGTCTGCGGGCTCGCTTTTCGTCTCTTCATGGTAGCAGTAAAACCAAGAGCACACTTTGACTCTCCAATACCTTGAGTTACACAAGCCCAGGGATGGACAGGAGTGAAATCCCCCCTTATTTGGCGCACCCCTGCCCTCTCATTTCTCCCTCACTTTCATCACCCAGGGGCCTCGGCATACTCCAATGCTCCAGGTGACATTTGCATTCAGATCTTTAGAAAGTTGTAAGTGCCAAGTCTCCTGACTTTCTCGCCAGCATCACTTAGAAGTTGCCGTGCTCTTTCTCTCTCTAGATTAGAAAGTTTTTTGAGGACAACTTTTTAAAAGTCTGGTAGAGGTTTTTAAAAAAATGAGGGATTTACAATTGGATTCAGAAACTGGAAAAACGTCCTGGCTCAAAGGATCCCATTGACCCCCTGGGGGGCAGGAGACAACATTGATCCTCCACCTTCCAGGCAGAACTGTGGGCGACGCAGCCTGGTTCCAGGGGCCTTCGCCTCTGGCCCAGGATCCAGCCTCCAAAGTCCAGGGGCCGTGAGCCCTGCCCTGCTCCGGAGCCCTGCCCCAGGCCTTTCCTCAGAAGCCGCCCAGCCTGCGGGGACTGCGGGGACTGCGGGGCCCTCATCAAGACAGCAGCCCAGCGGCCCCTCTGCATCCTGGGGCTGCAGGGGGCAGGAGCCAGCCCCACGTCAGGAGGTTGCTGAGCCCAAAGGAGAGACACCAGGTCCTCCTCCACGCCCGGAGGGCCCACGAGCAACTAGAAATCCTGGGTAGAGGGCGGCAGGGCTCGGACTCCAGGAGCCAGAGACAGCTGGGGGCGGGGCTCCCTGCAGGGGCACAGGTGTGCCTGGGTTGCCGGCACGGGGCACAGGCCAGCGACGGCCCCTGTCAGAGAGCGGAGGGCTCCAATGCAGCCAGCGCACACTCAGCTGTCAGAAGTCAGCGATCCGGTTAACTTTAACCCATTGCACTTCCTAGTGGTAGCTAAATATACTGAATATCATCTTTACAAAGATTTCGTGTGCACACTGATCTCTTTTTCTACCTTTATGTTCATAGTGAAAAGCGCCTGCAACTGGGCTAACACCGCGCGCACACACACACATGCACACATGCACACACGCGCGCACACACACATGCACACACCTCACTACCACAATCTAAAAACAGAAGCAACTGGCCAGAAACCTCCCGGTTCCTTCCACCTGAGTATGGGCTCCACCGCAGGCCCTTCTCACAGATGTGAGGCTGTTTCTCCAAGGAGGCAGCTCGTAACGCGGCTCCTGCCACAGCTCTCTGGAGGGTGCGTGCCAGCAATCCCTGGCCCTGCCAGAGGCCCTCACCTCCTGCCTCTGTTCCTCCATAGCAGGAAAGCAAGGAGGGCCGCAGATGGGCAGCTCTGACCGGCACCTCGGCTCCAGCGGGAGCCGCTGTGGGGAGCAGAGGCTTGAGCTGGATGCTCCCCGACTCTGTTCCTCCTGCTGTCAATTTCATCCCTGGAGAGGGCGCCTCGGGGTTTCGGCTACAGGAAAAAGACAGGAGCAAGTAGAACTGGGCGTTTGGATATTTCTGAGCCTATCTTGAGGGCAAGAACCCTGGGTGTGCCCGATTAAAAACTAATGCTAATCTACATCAATAGAAGGTTAATACTTTGAAACATTACTTGGGCAGCTTTTTACCCCAAACTTTAAAATGGGGCACCTACGTATACCAGATCCCGGTAAAACAAGCAATTTCCAAGTCTGTGCCAGTGGGAAGTGCCACATGTTCTGCCTGCAAAGGATATTCCAAAGCCAATTGATCCATGAGAGGGTCTGATGAATCACACAGAAAGAAAAACGCATAACTTCATTAACCCATCATTTTCCAAATATATCTGACCATAAGTTTTCTCCTATGTCCCCGTCTCATTTTATCTGGTGGAAGCCAAGGGCAATCTCTGCAGAATGCCTAGTATCCCATCATCAGATACTGCTGCCCCCGGAACTCAGTTTAAGACAGTTGGTTCCCAGGAAAAGGCCACACTGCCCCATGCTAGGACCAAGGCGGTCATCCTCCAGCTCCTTCCTCCATCACACTGCCCCTCGTTCCTCTAAAAAGTGCATTAGGCTTCAGTCAAACTAACCAACTTGAAGTGTTCATGAATATTTTTAAACTTCTAAGTCTGCTAATATCTTTCTAACTGGCTTGTCCTCTTCAAATGCCACACGCCTGAATCGTATCCACGCTTCCTAGGCTTAGTTCCTACCTCCTTTCAGTGTAACCCACCCAAACCTCCAGCCGTGGTACTCACTGCTTCCTTCTCTGTTACAGGCTCTCCTTGGGAGCCCGTAGCATCCTTGCTAGGCTCTGTCCTCCTTCCAAGAAACATGTGTGGCCTATTCGGAGAATCCCTGTAAGATACTATATAAGATGACTATCTGAAAGACACATAGTCATTAGATTACCTAGGATCAAATCAAAAGAAAAACATCTTAAAGGCAGCTAAAGGGAAGGGGCAGGTCACTTACAAAGGGAACCTTATCAGGTTAACAGCAGAACTTTTGGCAGAAACCTTGCAAACCAGAAGAGACTGGGGGCCAATTTTTAGCATCTTTAAAGAAAATAAATTTCAACCGAGAATTTCATATCTTGCAAAACTAAGTTTTATAAGAAAAGTGAAAATAAAATAATTTTCAAACAAGCAAATACTAAGGGAATTCATTACCACTAAACCTGCCTTACAAGAGGTCCTAAAAGTAGTTCTAAACATGGAAATGAAAGAATGATACCTGCCACCACAAAAACACACTTAAGTACATATCCTATTGACACTATAAAGCAACTATACAACTAATTGTACACAACAACCAGCTAACAACACAATTACAAGATCAATTCCTCACTTATCAATATTGACCTTGAATGTAAATAAATGGGCTAAACATCCCACTTAAAAGGCACAGAGTGGCAAGTTGAACCAAGAAGCAAGACTCAATTGTCTACTGTCTTCAAGAGACCCATTACATGAGTAACAACACCCATAGGCTCAAATTAAAGGGATGGAGAAATATCTATCAGGCAAATGCAAAACAATGATCGGGGGTGCTCTTCTCATATCAGACAAAACAGATTTTTAAACCAACACTGATCAAATAGGGCAAAGAAGGACATTATATAATGTTGTTCAATTCAACATGAAGACCTACCTATCCTAAATATATGCACACCAAACATTGGAGCACCCAGATTCATAAAACGAAGTATTAGAAATCTATAAAGAGATTTAGATAACCACATAATAGTAGTGGGAAACTTTAACACCCCACCGATGGTGTTAGACAGTTCATTGAGGCAGAAATCTAGCAAAGACGTTCTCATCTTAAACTCAACATTTGACCAATCAGACCTAGTAGACATCTAGAGAATGCTCCACCAAAGTATAATAGAATATGCATTCTTCTCATCTGCACATGGCATATACTTTAAGATTAACCACATATGGAGCCATAAAGCAAGTCATGACAAATTCAGAAAAATTAATATCATACCAACCACACTCTCAGACAGACCATAGTACAAGATAAATAGAAATCAATACAAAGGTGATCTCTCAAAGCCAAACAATTACATGGAAGTTACACAACCTACTCTAGAATGGCTTTTGGATAAAGAATAAAATTAAGACCGAAACAAAAAATTATTTGAAACTAATGAAAACAAAGACACAACATATCAGATTCTTTGGGAAATAGATAAAGCAGTGTCAAGAGGAAAGTTTATTGCACTAAATGCCTATATCTAAAAAAATGCCTATATCTAAAAGTTAGAAAGATCTCTAACAACCTAACATTACACCTAGAGGAAATATAAAAACAAGAGCAAACCAACCCCAAGTCTAGCAGCAAAAAATAAATAACCGAAATCAGAGCTAATCTGAAATAAATTGAGATGCAAACATTAACACAAAAGATCCATGAAACCAAAGTTTGTTTTTTGAATGAATAAACAAGAGTAACAGACCACTAGCTAGATTAACAAAGAAAAAATTGATAAAATCAAAATAAATGCAATCAGAAATTACAAAAGTGACATTAGAACCAACCCCACAGAAATACAAAAAACCTTCAGAGACTTTTATGAACACTTCTATGCACACAAACTAGAAAAACTAGAAGAAATGGATAAATTCCTGGAAACACACAGCTTACTAGGATTGAACCAGGAAGAAACTGAAATCCTGATACCAATAACAGGTTTCAAAATTGAATTAGTAATAAAAAGGCTACCAACTAAAAGAAAGCCCAGGACTACAAGCATTCACAGCCAAATTTTAACAGATATACAAAGAAAAGTTAGTACCAATTCTACTGAAATTATTCCAAAAACACTGAGGAGAAGGGACTTCTCCTTAACTTATTCTACAAAGCCAGTATCATTCTGACACAAAAACCTAGCAGAGATACAACAATAACAAAAAAAAAATCTTCAGGCCAATATCCCTGATGAATATAGACACAAAAATCCTCAACAAAATACTAGCAATCTGAAGCTAGCAGCACATCTAAAAGTTAATTCATAACAATGAAGTAGGCTTCATTACTGGGATTCAAGATTGGTTCAACATATGCAAATCAATAAATATGATTCAACACATAAACAGAATTTTTTTAAAAAATCATAATCTTAAGAGAGGTAGAAAAGGCTTTCAATAAAATTCAACATCCTTTCATAATAAAAAAAAACTGTCAAAAAATTAGACATTGAGGGAACATACCTTAAAATAATAAGAGCCATATATGACAAACCCACAGGCAACTTCTACTGAATTAGCAAAAGCTGGAAGCATTCCCCTGGAGAACTGGAACAAGACTAGGATTCCCACTCTCACCATTCCTATTCAACTAGTACTGGATGTCCTAGCCAGAACAATCAGGCAAGAGGAAGGAATAAAAGGCATCCAAATAGGAAGAGAGGAGGCAAAATTATCATTCTTCACAAATGATGGTTCTATACCTAGAAAACCCCACAGGCTCTGGCAAAAGGCTCCTAAAACTGATAAAACACTTCAGTAAATTTTCAGGATACAAAATCAATGCAGAAAAATTAATAATATTTCTATACACTAATAATATCCGAGCTAAGAGCCAAATCAAGAATGCAACCCCATTTACAATAGCCAAAGAATAGCCAAGAATGAAACACCTAGGAATACAGCTAATCAAGATAGCTGTAATGAGAATTAAAATACACTGCTGAAAGAAATCAGAAAGGTAGCTACAATGAGAATTAAAATACACTGCTAAAAGAAATCAGAGATGACACAAATAAATGGAAAAATATTTCATGTTAATGGATATGAAGAATTAATATTAATATGGCCATACTGCCCAAAGCAAGTTACAGATTCAATGTTACCAAATTACCAATGTCATTTTTCATAGAATTAGAAAAAAACTATCCTAAAATTCCTATGCAACAACAACAAAAAAGCCCAAGTTGCCAAAACAATCCTAAGCAAAAAGAGAAAAGCCAGAGGCACCTCACTACCTGACTTAAGACTATACTACAAGGCTATGGTAACCAAAAGAGTATGATGCTGGTTAAAAAAAAAAAAAAAGGAAAAACAAACAGACACATAGACCAACAAAACAGGATAGAGAACCTAGAAATAAAGCTGCATACCTGCAACCACTTGATCTTCGACAAAGTCGACAATAACAAGCAATGGGGAAAAGACTTCCAATTCAGTAAATGGTGTTAGGATAACTGGCTAGTAGTTATTGCAGAAGATTGAAACTGGATCCCTATCTTTCACCATATACAAAAGTCAACTCAAGATTAAATAAGTATTTAAATAGAAGACCTAAAATTATAAAAATGCTAGAAGAGAAACTAGGAAATACCATTATTGGCATTGACCTTGGAAAGTCTGATAACTGTGTGTCTTAGGGATGGTTGTCTTGTATCTTGCAGGGGTTCTCTGCATTTCTTGAGTTTGCATGTTGATCTCTCCACCAAGACTGGGGAATTTTTCATGGCCTATAGCCTCAAATATGTTTTTCAAGTTGCTTACTATCTTTTCTTCTCTCTCAGAAATGCCAGTGAGTCATAGGTTTGGTCTCTTTAAATAATCCCATATTTCTCAGAAGTTCTGTTTATTTTTTTTAATTTTTTTTTTATTTTTGTCTGGGTTGACTTGAAAGACTGGACTTTGAGCTCTGAAATTCTTTCTTCAGTTTGCTCTATTATGTTGTTAAGACTTCCAATTTTATTTTGAAATTTCTGTAGTGATTTTTTCAATTCCAGAAGTTCAGCTTGGTTCTTTCTTAAAATGGCTATGTCATCTTTCAACTCTTGGATTACTTTACTGGGGTCCTTGGATTGGTTTTAACTTTCTCTTGAATCTCATTGAGCTTCCTTGTCATCCAGATTCTAAATTCTATGTCTGTCATTTTGGACATCTAAGTCTGGTTAGGATCCATTGCTGGGGAGCTAGTTCGATCCTTTGGAAGTAAGGAGACACTCTGACTTACTGAATTGCAAGGGTTCCTGCACTGGTTCCTCCTCAACTGAGAGGGCTGGTGTTTCTTTATCCTTTTGAAGTTGCTGTCATTTGGAAGGGTGTGTTGTTTTTATAGACAGTGCTGTATATTACGTATAGTCACTTGGTTTCATTTCTGGGTGCTTTCAGAGGACCAAGGCTCTGTATGGGTTCCTTAGTTGAGGCTAGTTTCCTGCATTGGTTTTCACCAGCAATGCGTGCTGGAGGAATTTATTTTTGTTTCGTGGTGTAATTCAGGCTGCGACACACTAGATGGCACTAGGCTCTTAGCACCTGTTTTGTATTTCAGTGCTTTCACAGCAGTGCTCTGAGGAGCGGGAAATGGAGGAGGTGGTGAGAGATGAACTCCCCTTACCAAGTTCATTCACAAGCCTTGGAGGAGGCCCCTCTAATCACTGGCACTGCACCCACATTTCCTTAGCCCCAGCGCAGGCCCTTGCGGGTTGCACTGTCCACTCCCTTAGGTGTTGCCCAAGCCAATAGTTAGGTGACCAGGAGACCCACAACTCCCAGGGACCTGCTGGTCCTCTGTGCTCGGTGGAGTCAGAGTGGGTTGTGGGGAATGTCTATGGGTGCAGGCACCAACTTTTTCTTTTTCATAGTCCCCTTTGAACAATGACATCTACCTTTTATGAATAAAGTTTTATTGGAACGCAGACCCTCCTATTTGTTTATATATTGTCCATGACTCTTCCCTCTACAGAAGAGCTGCATATTTGCAACAGAAACTATATGGTCTGTAAAGCCTAAAATATTTACTGTCTAGCCCTTTACAGAAAAAGTCTGCCCAACTCTATTCTAGAGCATCATACCTTCCTTAACAACTCTCAGCAGATTTATATTAGTCAGCTCAGGATACCATAACAAAATACTGCAAACTGGGTTTCTTAAACAGCATGAATTTATTTTCTCACAGTTCTGACGGCTGAAAGTCCAAGATCAGGGTGCCAACAGCATGGACATCTGGTAAGGCACCTTTTCACTGTGTCCTCTTATGGCCATGACTCTGTGGATGTGCATGGAGAGACACCTCCTTGGTGTCTCCTCCTCTTCTTTCAGAGACATCGACCTATCCGATTAGGACCCCACCCTATGACCTCACTTCACCTTACTTACCTCTTTAGGTTAATATCTCCAAATACAATCACATTGAAAAATGCAACTTCATCATATGAATTGGGCAGGAGGGGTGGACACAATTCTGTCTGTAACTAGAGTTTGCCACTTTGATATTTATTGTACCAATTTGCACAACAAATTTGAGAGTAGCCTTATTTCAGAAGATTGACAGATCTTTGAAGACTATAACTAAATATCTCATCCACTTCAAATAAATACACATATGTGAATAAAATATAATTTCGGCATATAAAATTTAAGTTTTTAGTTGTCACTTTAAAGCCACAGCATAAACAAGTCTGAAGCCAAGATTCCCTCATGCCCTCATTCTATCAATCTCCATTACACTAAGTAGTAACTGTTCTCATTTCTATCACCATAGACTAATTTTATCTGTTCTATAACTTTATGTGAATCAAGCTTGTCCAACCAGTGGCCCGTAGGCCTCATGTGGCCCAGGATGGCTTTAAATGTGGCCCAACACAAATTCACAAACTTTCTTAAAACATGATGAGATTTTTAAATGATTTTTTTAGCTCATCAGCTATTGTTAGTGTTAGAGTATTTTATGTGTGGCCCAAGACAATTCTTCTTCCAATCCGGCCCAAGGAAGCCAAAAGACTGGACACCCCGATCTAAATGAAATCATGCAATACATACACTCTATTGCCTAGCTTTTTACAAACAAAAATACTTTTGAAATTTATCCATCTTGTTGTATATAGCAATGATTCATCCTTTTTTTGGAAAATATATTTCAATTTTTATATTGAATTTTTGTAATCATTGTCATTTTGACAAATATTTGGATTGTCAAAAAACTCTGAGACAGCTCTTGGCTGTTGGGAATAAAATTATTATGAATAGTCTTATTCAGTCTTTTTGTAAAAATATGTTTGTATGCATCTTGAGTAAATACCTAGGAGTGAAAATCTTAGGTCCTAAGATAGGTTTATGTGTAACTTTATGAGAAAACGGAACAACTTTCCAAGTAGGCTGTGTCATTTTACATTCCTAATACCAAGGTATGTAAGTTCAAGTTATTCCATATCCTCAGAAACATTATTCCATATCCTCAAAAACAGCCTGAGAAACAACCTCAGAAACAGCACTAAAGTGACATTTAGTGCTGTCAGGGTTTTTAAGGTTAATCTTTCTAGTGAACGTTTAATAATATTCCATTGTGGTTTTAATTTGCATTTTCTGGATGATTCATAACACAAACATATTTTCTTATATTTATTGGCTAATCATATATTTCCTTTCGTGATGTGGCTATAGAAAGAAGTCTTGTATCCACTTTTTAAATTGGGTTCGTTTCATTTCATTATTGACTCCCAGGAGTTCTTTATATATTTCAGATCAAAGCCTTTTGTCAGATACTATATGGCGAATGTTTTTTCCCACTCTATGGCTTGCTTTTTAATTTTCTTAATGGCATCCTGTCTTGGGTTTTAGGTTTCGTTATGACAAATCCAATTTATCAATCTTGTTCTCTTATGGCTGTTTTTGTGTCTTCTCAAAAATGAGTCCCTATTTACCTCAAGGTTACAAATATATTCTTCTATGTTTTCTTCTAGTAGCTTTTAAGTTAAATCTATGCTCTATCACGAACTAACTCTATTAGGATGTGAAGTAGTATCTAGGTTCAGATTTTCCCGTGTACTTACCCAGTTACAGATCTATTTGTTGAGAACACTTTTCTGGGCTCTTTTGTTGAAAGCTTATTTATCCTACATATATGGGCCTACTTCGGGCCTCTGTATTCTGCTCTTTTGATCTATTTGTGCAAGGATTGAATTTTTTTTCTATAAAGGGCCAATGTGAGTAATCATGTTAGGTCTTGCAGTCCATAATGATCTGTGATTCAAATATTTAACTATGTTCTTATAGTGGGAAAGCAGTCATAGAAAACAGATAAACAAATGAGCATGGCTGTGTTCCAGTAAAACTTTCTTCGTGGACACAAATTTAACTTTCACATAATTTTTGAGTGCCATAAAATACGATTATTATTTTGGTTTTGTCAAACTTTTAAAAATATAAAACATATTCTTATCTCTGTAGAATATCAGGCAGTATGATACCAAGTAACGGCTTTATTTTGCCCACAGCAGTATTTTGCCAATCCTTGTTTTCAACATCCTTATTCCAAAACCATAATGTCTTCATTACTTTAGTTGTATAGGTGATCTTGAAACCAGTAGCGCAAGTCCTTCAACTTTGCTTTTTTCAAGATGGTTTTAGCTAGTCTATTACTTTTAATAGCAAAAACTGCAATTACTTTTGCATCAACCTAATAGATTATTTGCATTTTCATATAAACTTCAGAATCAACTTCTCAATGTCTACAAAAATGTCTGATGGGACTTTGGGAGTTCATTTAATCTACAGGACAATTTGGAGAGAAGTGATGTCGTAACACCATTGAGTCCTTCAATTCATGAACACTGCATTTGTCCTATTTATTTACTTAGCAATGGATTGAGATTTTCAAAGTAAAAATCTTACCCATATTTAGTTAAATATATTCCTAAGTATCTTGCATTTTTGATGAAATTAAAATGGACTCTTTAAAACTAATTTTTCAAATATTTGTTGCTAGTCCTCAATAAATTTTTTATATATTGACTTGTATTCTACACATAGTTAAATTCATTTAGTACTTAATAGTTTTGTGTGGATCTATTAGAATTTTCGAATTTTCTATATAAGTAAACATGTCATCCACAAAAATGCCAGATTTACATTCACCTATCCAAGTCTTCATGTCTTTTATTTCTCTTTTCTGCCAATTATCCTAATTTGGATTTCCAGTACTATGGAGGATAGAAATAGAAAGAGTGGATAATCTTGTCTTGTTCTCAATGTTACAGAAAAAGCAGTCAGTAGCTCATTGTTATTTTTTATAGACATCCCTTAACAAACTGCCATGGTTTTCTTCTATTCATGGTTTAGTGAAAGTTCTTACACAAAACGAAGTTAACTTTTGTCAAAGATTTTCTTCAATACCTACTGAGATGATTATATGGTTTTTATTTTTTATTCTGTTACTATGGTGAATTATATTTCTTGTATATTTCTGGATTTGAATTACTAAATTTAATAAAATTTTTTGCATCTGTATTTATACAATATTACTTTATTGTAATTTTCCAAGTTTGGGTATCAGGGTTATGGTAGTCATAAAATAAAGTGAGTAGTTGTCACTTCATTTACTTTGAGTGACTTTGTTAGATTTTTTAAAAAACATTCTTTAAATATTTGATGAAGTTTACCAGTGAAACCATCTGGGCCTAGAGATTTTGTTTTGTTTTGTTTGTTATGGAAGATTTGAAGTATAAATTCAGTTTCTTTAGGAAATATGGAGCTCTTAGAGTTTTCTATTCTTTGTCATGTATGATTACTTGTGTTTTTCAAGGAATTTTGCTATTTAATCTAGGTTATCAAATGCACTCATAATTCTTCTCACTTTTTAATGTCTAGGATATTTGTAGGAACATTACAAAATCTGTGTCATTCTTGATATTGGAAAGGCCAAATCTTTTTAATATTTCAAATATGTAAAGATCCCTCTGCTTTGTAGAGATAAACTGGAATGGCATTCAAGGCTTTCTGCTCATCCTGGTGCCCATCACATGCTACCTCCTTTAAAGTCACGTTCCCTGAACCACATCTATTCAGGAAGGGATGGATGGTGCTTCTTTGACTTTCCACAGCTTCTAAGAGATCTGACAGTTCCTACCATGTTATATTAGTAGTAGTAGTTCATACCTTTCTTTTATATTGAATGAAAACTTTCTTGCTAACTGTAACTTCAGAACCTGCTCTGGCTATAAAGCCTTAATTAGTAAGAAAGGGAGGCAGGTAGGCAGACAGGCAGGCAGGCAGGAAGTCAAAGGTGTTCGAGGGTAACTGTAATAGTTCACATTGCCCTCTATATAAGACAAACTTGCAGGGCTTTTTCAGCTTAAAAGCAATGCTGGGAAAAACACAGTAGTTCCAGAACAATGCTCAATTAAGGGTGGTTTTCATAGTGATAGGAATGGATTGTTAATAAAACATTTAAATTTTTTTGCTTAATATTTTATAACATCGGAATCACACGTATGATCAAGCCATCGGGATGTGCAAGCATTTTGGGGCAAGGAACTTTGTTTTCTTTGCCTACATTTAGGTGGATATGAGGAGAATGGACCTGCTTCCATGAATGGAATGCCTTTGTGACTTGCAAAGGCCTCCTTAGTCCCACGGGTTGACAACCATGTTTAAGCAGTGGGGTGGTAGCCCTTCCACCTGTGTTGGTAATAGTGGAATTATCTTACCTGTCATCATCTGAATTTATTCTTAGAGGTGAGACAGAAAAGAATCCACCCTGGTAGACAGTTCAACATCATACAGAGCCCCAGGGACCAGAGTTAATTTATCCTAGGCTGCTTACCAAAAACATAGAGCAGGGGAAAGTCCTAGAACCAGTGTCATCACTATTCTGGAGATAAGAGTTCAAGACAAAAAAGGAGAGATTTGTTGTAAAGTATAAGAAGAGCATGAACAGAGATCTAGACATGAAAGTAAAAATTAAGTAAAGAGCCCACTGATAACACTCTAGATCCCCCAAAGAAATCAGGGAATGTTATGGTGAGATTCTTTCAGCACCCAGGGAGGGGAGGAGAGTAGGGAAGAGGCAAATACAGAGATACACTCCATATTCTCCACCTACTCTCAGCCCTGGCCTGAGTTGGCTTCTTCCCTCCTGCAGGTATCAAGTCCTGAGACTTCAGATTTTGGAGTGAGACAAATCCAGCCACCTCTTCCTAACAATGTCATCTTGTGCAATTTTTCTTACAGTTTCTGACACGGTTTCTCATCTCTCATTTTCAAGATGAAGCCCACTGCTCAGAGTTGAAGAAAGGATCTGAAATATCAAAGAGAAATTGCTTCGCACAATAGGTGCCACCTAGAAGGTCTTCAGTAGAGAGTTGCTCCTAGTTTTTACTACAATGGGCCGTTCTAGTATTTGCTGGAGAGTACAGAGAGCAGGTGGGGGTGCCCGCCGTCCTGTTACAGCAGAGCACTTTTAGCCCTTTCACAGGAGAGTCATTGGGAAACAGGACTGCAAGAGCGAGAAAATTCCAAGTATGTGTCATCGCTCTGTTGCCTCGTGCAGCTGTTTCCGTAGGGATACAATGGTGTTGTGTTGTTAAGGAAACTTGCTGTCAAGCAGCAACGCAAATAAAGCATTTAGTTTTATTAAGTCATATTACAATAATTATGGAAAATAATGGGCCCCAGATGTAATTTATTCAGTGGGGAAGGACAACCCCCTAGCTGTCCAATGGCTCCTGGAGCCAGAGAGATGGCACCCAGCATGCTGCAGTCTAGCCTCTCCCACTGACCACCTGAGCCTGCTGAAGCTGGCTTATATAAGGCTTTGGAAAGAGAAAGGGCTTTGGTGACTCTCTGGAAATCAGGAAAAACTGTTCCAAGATGTGTGTTAGAGAAGGTCAGGATCTCGTGTTTAATAAGCAGTTTTAGGCCTGACTTCTCTAAGGACAGTGTGTATGGGCCTGTTTTCCCCCAGTACATAGGGTCAGAGTCCTGCCAGCAATAGCCAAAACATGGTAGAATCAGTCAAGAGATCTAACAAAAGTGCTCTTGGAGGAAGAACTTCAGAGAAAGAAGCAAATTTTATGCTGAGAAATCATGATTCCACACTCTGGAGTGAGAACTCTAGATAGTTTACTCTGTGGTCACTTACTCGTATTTCTACATAGATGGAAGGTCTCGGCCCTGGAGTTCTGGTCTACCTTTCTGCTCCTTTTTCTCCAAGGAACAGGTGGGGGTTCCTCATAAGTGCCAGGTCATTTCCCAATTAATTTACAAAGTACATTTGTTGGAAAATTGTCTCTGCCTGTAATCACCTTCATTCTTTTGTCTGATCAGTAAATACTTTATCTTTCACGATTCAGTTTAAACATTGGCTCCTCTGGGAAAATTCTGTCCCTCCACCACCATTATACTTACCATAAGAAGCTTATTCTATTATAACTTCTTATTCACAGGGTGATGAAACCATTCAGCATTAGTTTGCATGTCTCTTTATCATTACTATCCTATTGCGTTCTAAGCATTTGCTCACCCATCTTTCTCTGTCTTCTAGACCAGCTTCCGCAGGAATGAACCCAGAAAACAGTCTACAACTATATTTCCAGCACAGGGGCTGGCACACACTGAGTGCTGAACTGAACTGAACAGATGCTGTAAGCAAGAAAGAGTCAAATTTTGCAAGATTTTACTGAGGAGGAAGGCACTACCTCAAAGCCAGGTATTGTATATGAGTTATTCTGCTGTCATAAACCATGACTGGCACTAGCTACAGGCACCCCTGCAGGATGGGCTTCCCCACAGCATGTCCCACAGGACATCCATGGCCAATGAACTGTTGCTAATTCACAATAACTCCTGAGATGTATGTGTTAGGATGGGTGATGCTACAGACCCCCCTGCCTCCCTGCATGAACTGTATACAGGGTTGTATGCACCCACTGGTGTGCCAAGTGGTTCAGAAACTGACTTATGAACTAACTGGGAGTTATTCTTCTGATAATTGCTTACCTTGTGCTACTTTAAATTTTCTCTAATAATATTCAGGAGGACTTAGTATAACCACACTAATGGGGTTTCAAAAGGTTTTGTTTCATCTCCACAGTCTAGCTGAAATAGCATCCTATTGATTGGCAATATGTACCAGGAATCTTTAAAGTGTTTTTGGTCCCCTTTGAACCATCTATTCGCTTTCCGTGAAACTCCTAAGGTAGCAATCAGGCTAGCAAAAAATATAGTGTGGCAACAGAATCATTTATAATCCAAAAATGG
This sequence comes from Homo sapiens, assembly GCF_000001405.40. Classification (NCBI taxonomy): domain Eukaryota; kingdom Metazoa; phylum Chordata; class Mammalia; order Primates; family Hominidae; genus Homo; species Homo sapiens. The sequence goes on along the minus strand of NC_000002.12, from coordinate 7,076,330 downwards.
GAAAACAACCAAGCTATATTTACAAATAATTTCTAGTAAAGTAAGAAATTGCAGTATCATTTTAGTACAAAATAGAAATCAATTATATTGACAATGAATTTCTTATACAGTAACACATATTTAATATTAGAAAAAAACTGTCAACCACACAGGCCATCTTCCCCTCAGCAAGCCCTAGGGAAAGGGCTTGGAGTTTTAAGCATGGACATCCAGGAAACTGCTCCATGTGCATACAGAAACACAGGGAGGCTCAATGCAGCATTGATTTTGCAATTAAGAAAAATTAGAAACAAATGTTCATCAAAACAGCATGATGCAATAATTATAGTTATTCACAACATACACAATAAGGAGCAGAGATTTTTCAAACTTTTTTGACCACAAAGTACAGTAAGAAACACATTTTACAGGGTGAACCAGTAATGGCAGATTACGCTTTCCAAGGAGGCCTCAACAATATGACCTGTTTCACATGTCCCCCCTTCCCCTTAGACTTGAGCAACCTTTGCAACTGGCTTGGTCAGTAGCATATAGTGGAAGTGATGCCATGTGTCTTTCAAGGCTGAATGTCTTAATCCATTTTCTGTTGCCATATAGAACACCTGAGACTGGGTAATTTATAAAAAATAGAGGTAATTTTACTCACAGTTCTGGAGGCTGAAAAGTCCAAGATCAGGTGGCTGCATCTGGTGAGAACCTTTCTGCTTTGTCATGACACGGCAGGAGGCATCAAATCACTAAAAAAGCAAATGTGCTATCTAAGGTCTTTCTTCCTCTTCTTATAAAGCCACCAGTTGCATCATGAGGGCCCTGATGACCTTATCTATTTCTAATTGCCTCTTTAAAACCCCACTTCCAAACACCATCAACATATAAATTTAGAGATTTAGAGATTAAGTTTCCAACACACGAAATTTTGGGAGAGATGTTCAATCCATAGCACTGTGTCATAAAAATGCTAACACTTTAGCCTTATTCACCTGGAGCCCATCATGCTGGGAGGAAGCTCAAACTGGCCCATGAGAAGAGAACACTGTGTGGGGGGGGGGATGTTCCAGCTGATAGCCCAGCTGAGGCCCCAGCTGCCATTAATCATGAGATAGAAATAAAGATGCCTCCTGATGATTCTGGTGGGAGAGTGGGGTAGAAGAGGAAAGATGTCTTCCCAACATTTTATTATTCCCATCTGGGGCTGCAGATGTCATGGAGCAGAGGTGAGCCATCCACCATCCACACTGTGCCTTGCCCAACTTCTAATCTGTAGAATCCATGGGTATAAAAAAAGTTTTGGGAAGGTTAGTAGCAATTGTACCTGGAATGCAAGTATTTGCAACAGAAATAAAACTTTTACTAATAATTCTTACACTTAAAAATTTTCAAGTCATGCTATAGAAAAAAATTGAGAACCTCCTCTTCCATGTCATTCTTTGATCACTCAATCCCATCTCGTTCAAATAAATTCTAAAGATACAGGGATTCCTTCCTTCCCCCCCTCCTTCTTTCTTCCCTTCTCTCCTTCCTTTCTTCCATCCTTTTTTCCTTCCTTCCTTCCTTTTTTTCTTCCTTTCTCTTCTTCCACCTAGAAATACTCATTGTTCACCTCCTATGTTTCAGGTACTCTGCTCAGTGTGGGGACTCTAGGAGTGACATAGACACAGATGTTTCTTCCCCACAAAGCTTATAACCCAGATGAAAGGACAGACATATGAGTTTTAACTAACTTAATTCTTTATACAATAAAGAGGAGTACTAAGTGCATAGATCTTTTAAGGGCCCAGGAAAATATTTAAGACAACTACAACAAATTATTGACAACACAAAATTTTTAAAAGCTGTAAGTACAATTGAATGTTTTTTCAAATATCTACAAAAATAACATGTGTCAACTAGAAATCCATAACTTAATTTGCATGATTGTATATTAAGATTACATTTGGTATGGGCTATGGTTGCACTTACGTACGCTTGCTAGGGTGTAGGGTGGAGTTATATATAGCAGGTGTGTCAATAGGCTGGAAGGTGGGTAAATGGGTGGGTGGGTAGGCAGGCCCAGAACGAGCACAGTTTTTATCATGCCCTGGTGGTAAGTGTTATGAGAGGAAAGCTCTGGTGCCTGGAAATCCACTGACTTTTGTTTATGTGACACAAGCTGCCAAATTCCTGAAAACCAGGAACATACAACAGAGTCATTGTGATTTAATGTGTTTCATGTGTCCTCTGTGCAAGGCATTGATATGGGCTCTGGAGAGTATTAGGCAGAATCACTCCTGCCCTCTGGAACTTGCAGTCTTATCTTGAGGATAGGGCAAGGGCTCTGTTCTAAAGTAACAGGATAGTCAAGTAAGGGGGATGATAAACGAACACACGCTGCTCTGTGAGAGTTAAAGGATGTGAGAACAAGAGAACTGGGGAATATGCTCAAAAAAGAGCTGATATTTGAAGTGGGCCTCCCCTATGCCCTTGCAGGCTGCACAGACCAGATGGAGGGCCTGGGTTGAAGAGCTAGCAGAATATTCTGAATTCACAGTGGTGTGACCCTACAAGGACCAATTTATATCTTCACCTCATGTATGGATTAAATAAGATGTAAGGATTAAATAAGTTCACACATGGGATGTGCTTAGAACAGCGTCTGGCATAGCGTACGTGCTTAACAACAGCTTGTTATAATCTTTACTTTTCACTGAAATAACAACGGTTATTTAACACAGTCAATGGCCAGGCATCGGGTTCCTCCACTTGCATAGGCTAAGATTGCCAGACATGAAGACACCTCATTATCTCCAGGGGTGACTTTGAGTTAACTTAAAAAATGATTCATTCCTTATTACCCATTCCTTAGGACTTTCTACTGCCCTCTTTCAGAAAATTATCATATATGTGTAAATCTATGATAAATATGAATATGAATCACATGTTCTGACCTCATGTTGGCCTTCATACAAATATGAACATCACATCATTTCTGCCCTCCAGAGCCAATACTCAATTCCGGGGAGTGATAGACACATTTGTAATCCTGCATCAGAAAGTACAAAGCGGAGTGGTTTCCCAACAGCCAAACGTGGGGTGAGGAGGAGACTGAGAAAGGCTTCCCACAGGGGCTACTGCATGAGCTGGGTCTTGAAGGAGGAGTAGACCTTCCCAGGGATGGAGACAGGGTGGATCCCTAGGAAAGGAAACAAGCCAGGTAAGGGCCTGAGTGGCGACAGGGTTCTTTGGGGAACTCAAAGTTGTCCGGTACGGCCAGGGTAGATGGGGTGGATCATAGACAGGTGAGGCTGGAGAAGTGGTGTAGAGTTCCAAGGAGTCTCATGGTATGTATGGGACAGAGTGAAGTTCAAGGACAGGAAGGACAGGAAGCCATGAGGAGTGTAAGGCTGCAGATTCCAGATCAGATGCTAGTTCATTCTGGCCCATGACCCTGGCTTCAGCTCAGCCCATTTGAGGTAAACACTTGGATTCCAGTCAAGGAAATGCCTTTCTGGTCTTTCTGATTTTCTAGATTTTCTAGAATGTCTTCAAAATCCTGATCAATGAGCACATGTCCCAAAGTTGGTTCATGCATTCATTCACTCATTCCACAAATATCTATTGTTTGCTTTGTACCTGACACCACTAAGCTCTAAGACTCAGTGATGGAGACGTTGCCATTGCCTTCAAACAGACACTAACTGGGGCGAGACAGGTAAATAAATCAGTAATATTCTGTGGCAGGATAAGTGAGAAAATAAAACAATATGCTCTGAAAAATGGAATGGGGTAGGAAGAGGAGAGACAGATGGCAGAAAAATTGAAGGAGGCCTTTTATAGAAGTGCATCCATTTCCTGAGGTTCCTGTGGGATTCTACAAGCCTGACAGGCAGTTCTTGATCAAGCTCTGGCTTCTCTTTGCTTAACAGTTCTTCCCTCCATTCATCTGTAAGCAGCAAAGAGAAACCAGGCCATACCTTCCACACTTTGCTTTGAAATTTCCTCTGTTAAACATCTGAGTCCATTGTTTACAAGTTCTACTTTCCACACACAGAAGGATGTGATTGAGCTAACCCTTCTGCCATTCTATAGCAAAAATCATCTGTGCCCTCACTAGTAGCACCTGTAGCTTCCAAAGTCTACCAACACTCTGCTCAAGGCAATCTGGGCTTTGTCTAGCATGTGGCTAAACATTTACCCAGCCTCTGCTCATTGCCCAATGCCAAAGCTACTTCCCCATTTTTAGGCATTTGTTACAGCAGCATCGAGCTACTATCATCCTACTTCCTACTGTCACTGAGCAGAATGACATGACAAAAAAGTCAGTAGGAACTGGCTTAGGCAACGTGGGGGATTGCCTAGGCAAATCCAAAATCCTTAGGGTGGGCTGGAGCCTGTCGAGTAGGAGCAGACACTGGAGTTCCAGGAGGAATTTCTTCCTTAGGAGAACTTCCCCTCTTTCTTCTTTTAAGGCCTTCAAGTGAAGTGGACCAAGCCTACCCAGAATATCAAAGATGGTCTTCTTCATTTAAAGCAAACTGGTGGTAAATGTTAAATCACATCTACAAAATAGCTACAGAGCAACACCTAGATGACTGTTTTGTTGAGTGACTGGAGACCCTAGCCTCGCCACATTGACATACAACACTATCACCAGAAGGGAATCCATTCAGCATCCCAAACCTTAAGAAGCACAGTGTAGGGAGGAGATTTATCTTGTAATTAGTAAATGCCAGGCCTCCTTCTTATACTTTACCCACAATGGTATTTACCTGTAATCATCACACAAATGTGATCACATAGGTGCTGCAATGAAACTGGAATTGAGAAATTGAGCCAAATGTAAATAACTCAGGCCAAGTCACACGGCTGGGAAGTAGTGAGGCTGTGATGTGAAATTACACTGTCTGACTACAATGTTTTTGCCCTAAGACCTTGTCCAAAGAAGGAGCGTGCTGCTGGCCCATGCTTTGTCCCTGACCATCAAGCACATAAGGAACTCTGCAGTGCCTCCCATGCTAGGGAAATCCAAGCCACTGCCCATTGCGTTTCTGCCTAACCACACATCTGCAGCTGGCTCTGTGTCAGTTTCCCAGGGCTTCTGTAAAAAAGTCACAGCAAAGGCCAGGCACGGTGGCTCATGCCTGTAATCCCTGCACTTTGGGAGGCCGAGGAGGGTGGAGCACATGAGGTCAGGAGTTCGAGGCCAGCCTGGCCAACATGGTGAAACTCTGTCTCTACTAAAAATACAAAAAATTAGCCTGGCATGGTGGCACGCTCCTGTAATCCCAGCTACTTGGGAGGCTGAGGCAGGAGAATCGCTTGAACCTGGGAGATGGAGGTTGTAGTGATCTGAGATCATGCCACTGCACTCCAACTTGGGTGACAGAGTGAGACTCCATCTCAAAAAAAAAAAAAAAAAAAACTCAGCAAAGCAATCTCAAAACAATAGAAATGTATTGGCACACAGTTCTGGAGGCTGGAAGTCCAGGGTCAGGGTGTTCCTCAGGGCAGCACTCCTGAAACTGCTCAGAATCTTTCTTGGCTTCTCCCTAGCTTCTGGTGGTTGTTGGCAATCGCGGAACTTTTTTGGCTTGTGGCACATGACTTCAATTGTTACCTCCTCCATCGTATGGCGTGCTCTCAGTGCATCTCTGTTTTTACATAGCACTTGCCTCTGGGTGTATGTGTCCAGATCTCCCTAATGTTATAAAGACAGCGGTCATTGGATTAATGGCCTTTCTAATCCAGTATAACCTCATCCTAACTTGATTATATCTGCAAACACTCTCTATTTCCAAATAAGGTTACATTCACATGTACTGGGAGGGGGGACTTCAACATAACTTTTGGAGGGAAACAATTTAATCCCCAACAGGCTCATACTAGTAGTAGAAAGCTAGCCTCTTCAAAGCAGTCACAGTGTTTTCCTTTGACCTCATGCTGTTCTTTATACAAAAAGCTCCATTTCTCAGACTGGGCAACATGGCAAAACCCCTTCTCTACAAAAAATACAAAAATTGGCTGGGTGTGGTGGCACAAGCCTGTAGTCACAGCTACTCGGGAGGCTGAGATGGGAGGATTACCTGGGTCCAGAGAGGTCAAACCTACAGTAAGCTGTGATAGCACCACTGTACTATAGACTGGGTAACAGAGTCAAACCCTGTCTCAAAAAGATTAAAAAATAAAGAGAGAGAGAGAAGAAAAGCTCCATTTTACTAATTCTGCTGAATGTGGCCTTTGGAGTTTTATTTTTCTAGAAGTCTCCTACAGTCTCAAAGTTCAGTCTGGTTAATATTGGGACATCCCTGATAGTTGGAAGACACTGTGAACCTTCTCATCCATGTGCCACATTTAGATTGAGAGATAATTGTGTCTTCGTGTTAGCACTTCCATGCACGCAAAAAGACAGCTCAAAACCTTGAAAAGTTCAAGCAGGAGAGCTGTTGACAACACATTGAAAGTTAAGCTGTTCCTTGTCATTATAAACAAACTTTTTAACTATTTCACCAAGTTAATCTCTAGGGTGTTAAGATACTTCTAGTTAGAACTTGTGTCTTTACCACCTTATTGAGGGCTTTTTACACAAGCTTCTCTAATATAGGCCTGAGCCTGAGTTCTCATCTCCCTGAACTCAAATTACCTGTGCTCAACTCTCCAAAATTTGGGAGGGAATAAAACATAAGTGATTACCTTGTGTTTATTTACAAATGGATAAGATTCATTAAAAAGTGTTGTATTTTAAGCTGCCCGAATAAGAACAAAAGAGGCAGAGAGAAGATGAAAGAGAAGGAGTGGGAAAGATGGGAATATGAATGAGAGGGAGCAAGTGATACAGAAATCAACAACAACAAAGAGACAGGGGATGGAAAGACAGAATGTGAAGGAAATGAAGGTATTGAAGCCACTCAGAAGGGAAAATAGGCAATGCTGGAATGATGTTATGAGAAAAATAATGCCTGGCAGAAAAACTTCCAACCAGATAGCCCTCTGGTGCTCAAGCTTGTTCTCAAAATAGGATTAATTTGTTGCTAAAAATTAAGAGAGAAATCTGTTGGCCACACAGATGAAACAGCCAGTCCCAGCCAGCACTGGAGGCTGTGGCACGGTCCTCCTGGTCATGCAGGAGACAGTGGGAGGCAATGGGAGGGTGGCCAGAGCCTCTACATTTGATGTGCTGAGTTAGCCTCCCACACAGCTATCCCCAACTCAACACCTACCAGGTGCATCTGGACAAGCCCCATGTGAAATCACAGGCTTTGGAGGCTGACTGTGCTGATTGGCTTCCTTGCTGGGCTACTATTGACTTAGGGCAAGTTACTTTCTCAGTTTCCAGGTTCCTCAGCTGTGAAACACAGACAAAAGCTACCTTTCAGGATTGCTGTGAAGATAAGGCACTGTAATAATCTGTGAAAACACACTCACCTCGGAGGCTGGAACCCAGGAGGTGCCAGGCAGCCTCTACTTAGGTGTGTGTGTGGTGACTTCAGCATATGGGACAATGATACTCAGGTCTATGCAAGCCCCTTGGGTCCTAGACTCGTAATGGCCATCTCCACATTATCTGTGACTTTGCTTTGATGGCATCCTCCAAGATCATTCTCTCTTAGAACTTGAAATCTCAGTCCCCGTCTCTATCTGCCATCTCTCATTGTTCTACTTCTGTTTCCTCACTCATACCCAGCTGCTTCCGTTATGCTCAGCAAAACCCCCAGCCCTTGGGCTGGCATCTTCAGCCTGGCTTTTGTCTGACTCGGATTCGCCAGTGCAGTCTGACATTTTGAAATGCTCTTCCTCTCCTCTGATGTCCTCAACCTGGATGAACATATCAATGCTCAAAATCACTGCTATCACCCTCTCTTTCTGCTTCTTCTGCTTATTGTTTCTGTTAGCAGCACCATCCTCTCGGCCAGAGGGATCTGAAGCTCAACCCACTCTTGATTCTTCTTTCTTCTATAATGCCCAAAAGCCAATCATTAGATCCTACCACCATTTTCACTATAAAGTTTCACGGTGCCACTACCCAAATGAATTACTCTGTATTAATCTTATCTTTAAAATGTGTTATAAACAACCCACCTCTTACAGATGACACTCAGATTCAGTATTATGGAGAATGCATTTCTCTAAGATGGCATCACCCTGTTAAAGAAAACCTTACTCACTGATACTTGTTAAAGCACAGAAAAGCTTACTCAATGATACTTGTGTAAATCACATCACAATAGAGGGACCACTGCAAAGGGATTTTGCAACAGGGAAGAGAGATTGAGCCCAACTCGGAGCACAGCACTGGTAAGTGGGAATTTATATCCAAGGAGCAGGGTGGGGACCACTAGATAGAAAATTACTAAGAGGAGATATCGGGGTGAGGGTGCAGGGATTCTGGCTACAGAAATCTAACAGGATTCTTGCTGAAAACAGGCCAGGTGATCAGACATCACCTGGGGATGATGGACAATGAGAAACTTGGTCATATATTGAAAATACTGAGTCAGATATCAAGGGTGGGGGAGTTCTTGATAAACTGACTTAGCAGCGTTCTTAGCCCAAAATGGACTTTACAAGGAAGTACACAGGTAGACATAGGAGAAGCTTCAGGTGACTGGCTACAGTTTGGCCAAGCAAGGAGTTTTTGTTAGTCCTTCCTCTTGTTCAAGGAAAGGAGAGACATTCTTCTTTCTTTTGAACGCTGTAACTCCATTTTCTCATGTGGTCACCTTTTGTTCACTAAGAACCCACTGAGTCACCTGTTGGGACTTGATAGTTCCAACATACTGGATGGTGCAAGCAGTCAGGCATTTAATGAGGGGATTTTTTTAATAGTCGGAAACTCAGTTTCTGAGCCCAGAGGGCAGCCAATCAAAAAGATTTCTAAACACTGAGCTTGAAGCCTCTTCAAGTGGTGTGGGAGCAGGCAGTGGCAAGTTGATAGACCTTCCTGGTTTTCAGTTTTAACACCACGAAGGTTGTCTACCCCTGAGCTATTGTGGTGATCTCTCTGATGTCTGTATCAAGTCCTCCAGCTTCAGCTTTTGGGGCTCCAGGAAAGGAGCAGTTTTAATTTTAATGACTCCAAGTCAGAAGGGTTGGAGAAAATTGGAAATATTAGTCTGGAGTGTGGTTGCCAGATTTTGGAGGAAGCTTGGAGAATTCAGGATCCAGTCCAGTGTGTAGACAAATCAGAAAACCACAAAAACAATGAGCAAGGCTAAAATTCAATAAGAGGTGTGCTATAGTTTTCTTCTGAAACATAATTTCTCTCTCTCCATTTACCCCCATTCCTACCAAAAATAAGCAAAGACTGATTTGCTTGCAAAATAAGTTTAGTCTCATTAACTTGGCCTGATTATTTATATAAACGCAGCAAAAATAATGATTGACCACCTAGGCTCTTTTTGAGTTTGCTTTCCTGGAACTTTTAGGGGAATCTCAGACTAAACAGTTAAAAGCCTTTTAAAACTAGAAAGCGAAGCCAAGGACTTGCTCTCAGGCTGTTTCTGAAATACTTAGGGATTTGAGTGAATATCCCTTTTATAGGTCTCCAAAATATCCTGGGGTTCCTAGGCCTGCCAGGAAGTGACACTCTTTATTCACCCGGAAGAAAACTATGTAAGTGAACCAAGTATGCAACACAACATGGCGATAATTTTTTTCCAAGAGGCTTTATTGACTCCATAAAGTCAACCTTAGTTTCTTAAAGTCGTCATATCTGAAGATACAACATTCCAGTTAAGGCCTTCATAATATATCCAGTGTTTTCAATTGTGTACTGTTACAAGGAAAACATATTCTTACTGCACATATGCAAATAACTACATTATCATAAAATAAAAATGTTTACTAATAGTTTTCTAATTCCAGAGGGATCGGGTAGGAGGCAAAAGTAATTATTTCTTCTTTATTCACAAAGAAATACATTACCAAATTGTTCTAAGCTATAGATAGCTTAAGATAAAAGAGAAAAACTTGACCGGGCATGGTGGCTGACGCCTGTAATCCCAGCACTTTGGGAGGCTGAGGTGGGCAGATCACGAGGTCAGGAGATCAAGACCATCCTGGCTAACACGGTGAAACCCCGTCTCTGCTAAAAATACAAAAAATTAGCTGGGCGTGATAGTGGGCGCCTGTAGTCCCAGCTACTCGGGAGGCTGAGGCAGGAGAATGGCGTAAACCCAGGAGGCGGAGCTTGTAGTGAGCCGAGATCCGGCCACTGAACTCCAGCCTGGGCAACAGAGTGAGACTCCGTCTCAAAAAGAAAAAAAGAAAAAAAAAAAAGAGAGAAAAACTTTTCTTAAATTTGGAAAACAAAACATTAAAGAACCAGCAATGTTTCAAACAAAAAGTCACTAAAATATTGTCCTCATCAGTTCATTCAGTCCCGTGTAATTCTTGTTATTCTTGAGCTTGGGATAGAACTTTCATGAAGCCATCGGTTTCTTTGTTAGAGTTCTGCAAATTCTTACCCAGTCCGCTGGTGTGATCTTAAAGTTTTCAGCAGAAGCCTGTATTTTTAAAGTAACTTTCGTAGTCTTTTCCATGAATATCTTTGAAGAAGAAGCAAGTTTGGACTGTAGCTGATTTCAAATGCTTTCAGAGAAGAACCAAAGTAAAATAATAACTGTCCATAAATAACAAAAGACTTAAAATGGCCATATGGCCATGCTTAAAAATATGAAGAGAGTTCATTATGATAATTATGCAATTGCCAAAGATATTTGGCTATTTCTGTGACATGCATTTTCATATAATTTTAATGGAAAAGACCAAATTCTAGTTCCACACTAGTGTACAATTAATACTAAACCTAATTTTAGTAAAACTTTATAAAAGAATCTATCCAATCTCAGCCAGTTTTGGCAGCAAAAGATAATATTTCTTTTCCAGCATCCTTTTTCCACAAAAGTTTGGCCAAGGAAAGAATCTTTGTCAACCCCATCCCACTTTTGAGGAACCTGCCTCTCTAAAATCTCCCTATCCGCCATGGTCAATATGGAAGCAGTCATTTTATAATAGCTCCAGGCCCTGACTTCAGTTGATGGGGCCAGAGGAAGGCATTTGATAGTTTGTTCCAGGAATCAGAGTTTTTCTCCAGGAATTTGGATTTGGAACCAAGAGATTCCAGTGTTGATCTAAATCCTTTTTGGACAAAAGAAATATAAACTAAAGAACAGTTTTAAGAAGAATAATTGTACCTACATCATCAGAATGTTTTAAGAATTACATAAGTCAACACGTGGAAAATGCTCAGAGTGGTACCTAGCACATAGCAGACAACCTATAAACATTAGCTAGAATTATCACTGCACTATTATTGTAGGCTCACTTTATCACAGAGCTGTCTCAGAATGTAGATTGTCACAGAAAGTTTTATTTATCTATGATGGCCAGAAAAGATCTACTACTGCCCCGAGTTCTCAGGGCTTGGTGATTTAATCTGATGCAAGTGACTTGAAGGGGTTCTGCCTACCTGGCCACCTCCAGGTCTGTCTTCAGGGCTGCTTAGAACTTTCTGGGATCCATGTGAATATTCCTTTCATCCTCAATTACAATTTATAGAAAGCTGAGATCTGTTTATTCATGTGTCAAGGCGAAGCTCAAATACCACCTTTTATCCTTCCCTACCTCTGGACAACTTCAGTCTCCCCTTTTCCCATCCTCCTGAAAGTCTATCAAAGTCATTACCAGAATCTTCCTTAATCTACAGCCTGTGTTGGTCCGTGCTCATTGTTCATTTCCCTCCATGACTGAAACCACAGAACTCTTCCCTTTACTTCAGTGAGGTTCTGAAAGCCTTGAGACAGAAACTCCTTAACTTTCCTTTGGCACTGCCTACTAGTTCACCTGTCCCTCCTTGGGTTAGCCTCCCCGTGGAGTCACAATAGAAGAGTTCTCCTCTTCCTGAAGCCCCCTCACTCCAAGATATCCCCTGCTTATTCTTGGTTCCTTATTATCAGCATTTAAATGCTCTTAAATCTCTTTCACCTTATTTTTTTAAAAATAAGTTTTCCTCTTTGGTAGTGCTTTTTCTCCATTTCATCATTCAAACATCTTCAAAGCATGTTTGGCAAATCCTGCCTCCTAGACTCTTGTTTTCTCCTTTCTCATCTGCTATGATTTTAATGTGTCTTCCAAAAGTTCATGCACAGGAAACCTAATCCACAATGCAATGCAACAGTGTTGAGATGTGGGGCCTAATTAGAGGTGCTTAGGTTATGAGGGCAAAACCCTCATAAACTAATTAATATTGTTATTGTGGAAGCAGGTTAGTTATCACAAGCCTGGTTTGTTTATAAAGCCAGTCCAGCCCCTGTGGTGTCTCTCTGTCTCATGTACTCACATTTCACTTCTGCCTTCCACTTTCCACCATGGGTACCCTCAACAGATGCTGGTGCCACGCTCTTGGACTTCCCAGCCCCCGGAACCATAAGCTAAATAAACTTTTCTTAATAAATTATCCACTATGTGGTATTCTATTATAGCAACAGAAAATGGACTAAGGCATATTTTATGAAGCATAATTTGTCAACACCACTAACGATCTCCTTATTGCCACTGGTAGTGGGTACTTTCAGAAAGATCTTGAATTATCTGGAGCATTAGACGTTAGAACATTTCTTCCTTTTTGCAACGTTTTGCTCTCTACTCCCATTTTTTCCCTCCACTGCTTGGGCCACTTCTGAGTGTACCTTCTGTGGCTGCTCTTTTTTTGCCCATCCTTTAATGTTGGTCAGCTGCCTTGAGCCTCTTCTCCTTTGGTATAACTCTCTCTCTCAAACACCCCTTTGACTCCCATATCCTTATTTCTGTTCATCTTTAGCACAACGGCTCTAAAATTAAGGTCCCACCCTAATTACTTTCCTAAGCTTTGTTCTCTTATATTTACCTGATCTTTGGACATTTCCACTGAGTTCCAAGTGTGCAAATCAAGCTCGACCTGTCTGTAAACTAAACCCATAATCACTCCCATCTAACTCTTCCTCCTGTATCAACCATCCCCTGGAAGCTGTGAACATTCATCCAGGGTCTGGAGACAAAATCCAGAGAGCTGCTTATTTCTCCCCGTAAACTCCAAATCTCTACACAAAAGCAACTTCCAAAGTCTATTCTGTAAGCATCTCTTAAATATGTCCTCTTTTCTTCAAACAAACTGCCAGGACTGTGGTTAGGAGCCTTTTCTTCAAACAAACTGCCAAGGCTGTGTTAGGAGCTTCATAATTTCTTACCTGGATTACCACCACATCTAGGTTTTGCCCTCTAATCCAGTGTTAGCATTCAGACTAGGTGTCCTCCTCCCCAGCTGCAATGTTGATCATGCCTCTCACCTGCCTAAAGCTTAGCCTCTGGATAACTGTCAAACATTTTTTTTCCTCAGTACTCAGGTCAAAAATATTTCTAATAAATTTTTATTGTTTTGTCTTCTTACTGTATGTTTTGTTCCAGCAAAAGAAGAGTTTCTAGAGAAAGGAGAGGATTGATGGGTTCACTGGTGCTCACTGGAAACTATCAAATTTGTAATGTGAGCATCCCAACATGCAGAGGAACCAGAAGTTCAATATTTGAGCTGATTAAGGATCAATCAGCCAGTTCCCTGGGCAGGGGAGAGACTCTGCTTCCACATTATCAGGGACTCAGAGAAGCTGGATAAACGTCTCTGCTTTCTTTCCTCTGGTCCATCCTGCTCCAGTATCAGTGGTGAGCAAACTTTATCTGGCTCTCTTCCTTCACTGTCTATTATCAATTTATTTTACCTTGGGGCTGTAATGTCCCTGCTACTATAATGCAATGTCTTTTGTGACCTTTCTCTATTGATATTGAAGGCCCTCTTTCTATTTCTTTCTTTTTTTTTTTTTTTTTTTTAGCACCCAGCACTATTTCTCAAAACACATCTGTACTTGATTACATGACCTCCGTTATTCATAACCTTTGCAATGGGTCTTTGCAGGAACTCCCAGCTAGAGGAAGAATGTACTTCATTTTTAACTCTGTACCAGTCTTGAGATTTCCTTTGGCAAAAAGCAAAAACAAAAACACGACCACCACCAACACAAAACTCAGCAGAATTAAGATGTAAGTTTCAAGCCCAGACCTCAAGAGACCATGCATTTTTCTGCTCTTTCTCGTACCTCTGCTCAGGCTGCACTGAAGACAATTCCTGCCAAACCTAATTAGAAACTGCATGAAACAGAGCCAAATTAGTCCAATTGTTCCAGCCAAAGCTCAAGACACAGTGAGCGCCCAGCCTCAATCAGCAGAACCAGGTTCCCAGCCCACCCCGAGCTGGTCACAGGTGGCTGAGTTATCTCTGCTGAGATTAGAACTGCCCAGGTCACCACTCAACTCAGGGACAATAACAAATGCTCAGTGTTTTAAGCAACTGGATTTTGGAATGATGAGTTACTTATCAATAACAAACTCACACATCATCTCTTACCTCTTTTCTGTGTATCAGAGTAAAATGGGAAAAATGCTCTCATATATTATTTACAATACATACAATATATTATAGGTAATGTCTATCATATAATATATCTAAAGAACATAATAAGCACTCAACAAAGTATTCATCCCTCCTTATATTATCCTCTAAAAACTATTTCTCATTCTTGTGTTGAGTAATTTAAAAAGCAATGCCATCGTTACCAAAGTAAATGTAAGATGTAGTTCTAGGCCTCAGCATTCAGCCTAAATCATAGGCCCTAAAGAGTGGTGTGCAATTCTGACAGCAGAAGACTTGCCTAAGCCCTATTTTTAAGCTGGCTGCTTGTGATGGAAACATGGCCCGTAGAAATGTGTGCAGATAGACACGGGAAATAAGCAAATCTTTGAGAAAGCCTTAGCTGAGATTATTTTGCTCATCTTGGAATTAAAAAAAACATCATCACCCTTGCCATGTGACTTGGCTCCTCCATTTTCCCTCAGAATATGATTAATTGCTCTCTAAATAATAAAAGTCTTCCAGGAACAATAGAAAATATCTACTATGGAACATTCATAAATATTCAGCTGAAGCCTGGTGGGAATGCTAGGCTCCCATGAGAGCTCTGTGCTGACATTGGAAGTCAGAAACCAACTCGGAGACATAAAACTGTGCAGTAAAAATATTTACACAAATGAGTTTGGGGTGAGTTGTCAGAGTGCCATGTTCCTCTTTTGCCTGGACGTCGGGAATTAATTTGGACCTGATGGTGAAGCTCAGGTCTGAAATCATAGCAGCTTTTTTATATCCATGGACAGCTCACATAAATGTCAGGGGTGAGCAGAGTAGAAACACTTGGGCCACTACCATAGTAGAGCCCAGGGCATCAAAATGTTGCTTTATTTCCCTTTGATTCCATAGGTTCCATCCAGCCTTCTAGAAATCATTTGGTGCCACCTACTAGAAACTAGGAAAAACAAACTATTAGACTCAGGTCCCATCTCCTCTCAAGGAAACTACATGCCAAAAAGGAATACATAGGTATTTGCAATTCAACACAAGTGCCGGCATGCTGATCTGACCACATGCTACTAGAGCATAAGAAAAACAAAAGACTGCAGGGGTTGCAGGGGCGATGGGGTCAGGTGGATGACTGCACAGGAAAGGCTCTATGTAAGATGGGGCATCTGAGTGGGTCTCAGAAGAGGTTATAAATTCTTGCAGGTGAGAAGAGAGTAAGGGAATGCTACGCATCTCTGGTGTGGTCTGGGAAACCAAGGGTGACAACGATGTGGTTAGGGACAACGAGCTGGGAACATCAGCCCTAAATCTGGAATGGAAATTTGGGGATCCAGAAAGATGCAGTGATCTTTCTCTCCATTTCATTTTTGGTTTATTCTGGCTGAAGTTTTGCCAGGGGGAAAGGTTATAAAGGGCATTGGAATGTTAGTCTGTCTGAATCCTTCAGGATTTGAAGGTAACAAAAGCAAGAACCAGCCCTGCAGGTCATCGTGTGCCTGAAGAAAATGACAGATGGCCACACAGAGGCAACAGACAGCTTGGAACAGCACATGTGCTCTCTTTCCTGCCCCTCTCAGCTCTGGAAATATTTCTGGGAACGCAGAATGCCAGCCTAATCCATCTGGAAACCTTAGATTAGGAAGAAAAAAAAAAACAAAACAGGATCATGTCTTATTTCAACTTTCAAATGTTTTGAGGAAAGTGCCAAGAGAAGGGGCAGAAAGAAGAGAAACAAAGAAGAGAAGTGAGAGGAGGAGATGAAGAAGAAAGAGGAGACACAATTAGTTGAACTATGTTTAGCAGTAGATTCACTCTAGAAGATTCATTCTGATGGCTGAAACTTCCAGAACATGGATAACGTTTCAAGACACTGACATGATGGGGAATATTAATTTGAATGTGCTATTTTCCTATGATAGCATTTTAAGACTGTAAGTATAAACAGCTACACAAACAAGCCCTTATGTGGGTTCAGATGTCCACAACAACATAACTTTATTTTTCTACCTGCAGCGCCACTTTTACTCAAGAGAAGAAAATTAAATTTTAAGTAATTCATATTAAGCAAGCAAATCAAGGATTTTCAGCTGGTTTAGTGATTCTCTCTCACCCTTTCTCCTCTGAGTTGGTGTAAGTTCTCCAGCACCAAAGCACTGAGAAGGAAAGTGCTGGGTTCTCAGTGCTCAGCATCTGTCATCATTAGAGTTTATTGAGATTTCTCCTTAACTGCTGGACTCTGGTTGCTGGCACCTGGACCTTCTGGTGTGGCTTGAGCTATCTGCCTCCAGCTGGTCCCCAAGGTTCTCTCTATACTGGTCACTCTGCATCTTCATCAAAAGTCTCTTCTAAAACATGAAAGCTGACACTTGACTCTTTTGTTTCTCTCTGTATGTTTGATGTAATAACCCTACCAGACAACATGAGCATAGATGCCCTTGCTGCCTGACTCAGGAAGTGGGTGGGAGGGGAACACGGGGCATGGCACAGAACAGGACGTACTGAAAGCTGAAGCCTTTGGTTAATCCTTTACAGTATTATTCTGATACATCCAAAGTAGCATTTATTTTTTTTTGAGGCGGAGTCTCGCTCTGTCACCCAGGCTGGAGTGCAGTGGCATGATCTCAGCTCACTGAAGCTCCACCTCCCAGGTTCATGCCATACTCCTGCCTCAGCCTCCCAAGTAGCTGGGACTACAGGCACCCGCCACCATGCCTGGCTAATTTTTTGTATTTTTAGTAGAGATGGGGTTACACTGTGTTAGCCAGGATGGTCTCGATCTCTTGACCTCATGATCTGCCCGCCTCAGCCTCCCAAAGTGCTGGGATTACAGGTGTGAGCCACGGTGCCCAGCCCATCCACAGTATTTTTTTAAACAGGTTTTTCACCTCACCCTCTCTCAATCCATGTCAAAAAGCTCCCACTCCAAGTTCTTTAAATGCCCCTCTAGATAGACCCGCTATACATACATCCAGGTAACTACCATGACCTGCATACATACAGGTGATGCAGGAGAAGGGGAGCATATCACAGCATACAGGTATACGGTCGGCAAAATGCAAAATGTGGGGTGCTCTGTAGAAAAAAAAACTGTTTAACAAAAACATTGCAAGGACAAAAATAGGAGAAGAAACCTATAGAGTCAAAGAGATTTATATATGTCTACCAACTGCAATATATTCACCTTTATTGGATTCTGATGAAAACCAACCAATATAAAAATCTCTGACATAATAGAGGAGATTTAGACACTAACCAGAGACATGTGATATAAAAAATTGTTAACTCTTTTAGATGGGATATTATTAGAGCTATGTTTAATAAAAAGTTTTTATCCTTTAGAAACACCTAGAGAAATATTTAGAAATTAATCATAGATATCTGATATTTGCCTTAGAATATAAGGACTAGAAAATGAATGGATATAGATGGAGAGTTGATGGCCACAATTTGATGATAGTTATGATGTTCAATTTGTAGAAGTTTTCTATACTATTCTAGATATTTCTATGTTTAAACAATTTTTTTTCCAGAATAAGAAGCTAAAAACATTCTGATAATTACTTTTTTTTTTTTTTTTTTCAGTTCCCCCATACACTTCCTGTGGTTTCACAACCGACTGCCATAGCTCATGTTACCCTCGTGGCTTGGGGCACCCTTTTCTCGATCATTACTTTCCTTCTCTTTCTTCATTTCTGATCTAATTCCTACTTTTTGTTCATGTCTCAGCTCTTGGAGCTGTCCCTAGGTCCTCAGAGTGAGCTCTGTGTTACCCTGGCAGCTATCTCAGGTATCATATTGACTTATCTGTTGCCTGGCACACTGTCAGTACTTACATTAAAAAGAAGATAGTTATCTTTGCCTCTTTCATGTTGTGAGGATTAAATGACATTAAGCACCTGGCACATGTCAGAAGTGCTATATTCATTAACTTCTTCACTTCTACTCCATCGTTTAAACCTGAACATCCCTTCAACACCTAGTTCCAGTTCCTCTTCCTCCAGGAAGCTTCTCAAAATACTACTGCCTCTTTGCTGACTACATTGTGTCCACTAATAAATCTCTGCTTAACATTTGATCCCTGGGCAGATTTCTATGAGAAAATATACCAAGATTTTTTTCAATTTTTATCTATTCACTCCAAGCAATTATGATGATGGTATGGCTATCTAAAATGTATTCAATTTGATGCACAGCAACTAGAATTTGATAATTCCAGGATTGTTAGGCATTGTAAGATCTTAACTCCAATCTCCACATGATGAATGGAACCTCTCTCCTGCATGAAAGGTGAATAGTAGCTTCCTCATCTATTATTCTTATACCATCCAAGAGAGCCATCAGATGGGAGTTACTTTAATATTTGGCAAACTAAAAAAACTTGAGAATCAGAGAAGGGAGTGCATTTCCAAGTGCATCTAGCTAGCAAATGAATTGAGGATGACATCCCAGGTCTCCTGACTGTCTAACATCTTACTGCCTCTGCTACACCCTTGCCAAGGGACTCCCCAATTTCCTCCAGATTAGAAAGTCCTTCCTCATTAAGCTGTCCCTAAACCTTGCATCTGGCATGGAACACAGAGCGCTCACTCAGGAGGTATTTATTGAGCCTCTAAGAGGTACCAGGTGCTGCAATAGAGCTGGGCTAGACTTTACTTAGAAAAACAGGTTAATCATCAATAACTTAGGATCTATTGTAAATAAGTACAATGCAATTCATTGTTTCAATCTGTTGTATAGGGTATATAGAAAGGTCTGTATGGCACAGAGACAGAGCATGACAGCTTTAAACCTCTAATTTTCCACTACTAAAGCTGTATAATAGTCCCCATAAGCATCCCTTCTCACCTCCTGTTGATGTATGGGCAGTTTCTCTGATAAACACCAGACTGGCAGGACCCCCTGGGGGTGAGATCCAGCAGACCCTGGCAAGGAACGTCAGGGTCCTCAGCAGATGGAGGCTCCAAAGAACTAAGAGCCCCAAGGTGAGGGGCTGAAATGCTGTTCCAGGCAGACAGACTGCCGGGGAGTTTTTGGTGCACATATTTAATATTGTCCTCACTGCAATGGAAGCAGGCGCATGAGATACACAAACAAGGAAGCCACAAGGAGATGCCTCCAAAGTAGGTATTGAGGCAAGAGAAGAGAAGGCCACAACTGGGGGGGAGACCATGGAATTTGAATCAAGTGTGGGCCCCAAGGACTGAACAAAATGTGTAGTGGGGATTCCCTAACACAGGGGAGGGAACACTTGAGGGCAGCAGCAGGAAATGCCATTGGGAGGATATTGAAAACCCGAAAAGTGGAATGGGGCCAGTGCTGCAGGAACCATAACTGGAATGACCTAGAAGAGAGTTAAGAGCCAAGATACCCTCAGATTGAGAATGGTGGGTGGGCTGAGGAGGGATGGTTGGTGTGTGGCTGAAGTACTCAAGATAAATCAGTGCATTGACATATGAATTTGGGGGGATGGAGGAATGACACAATTCAGTCTATAACAGTCATAAGTGGCAGAGGAGAGACATGTCCCAAGATAAGGAGGGAGGTTCACAGTTGCCTGAGAAATTGATGGTAGCATGGGAGAAGTTAGGTTGTAAGGGAAGCACAGAGGGCACATCTTACCATGGGTGTGGGATGACAGGAAGCAAGTTCAGTCTGGCATAGAGAGACCTTCGAAGGAGACCAACAGTGAGCATGTCAGAAAGGGTATAGTAAGATCAGAACGGCCACCATGAGGCTTTCCTCCACCTGGCTAGTGCATTTTATAGGCTTCCCAATTTGTAAGAGAACCAAGACCACAGAGAAATAAAGTCATTAACTCTAATGCTAAAATCAGTTTTATGGGTGAGAAATTCCCAGCAAACCACTGGGCTAGGGCTGGGGAAGGAAATAAAGCCTTTACCTAGTCTTCTGACTAGTTACTGGGCAGAGCAGAGGCTCCATAAGGACCCTCACTAGACGTCAGTAGGTTACAGAGTGTGCATGCTCGCCCAGCATCTGGGTAGGAAGGTCTAAACAATGAGAGGAAGCAAGTGACAAGGTAAGTCACTTGCTCTGAGGAAAGTCCTAGAGACCTGCACAGGACAGTGCTAGTTTTGCTCCGTGGATGCTTTTTGTGAACTCCATTCTCCACTGGTAAGAAAAAACCTGGGATTTTCAGTTTAATTCCTGAGAATCAACTTAGAATCATAGGCATGAATGAAATTTGGAACTGTGAATGTTTGGTCTGGGAAAGTGCAGACTTAATAAATGGTACCTGCTGGGGTTTCAGACTCACCTGTGCAGTAGCCTACACAGGAGTGGGTAATGGCTTTGCTTAGACTCTCCTGGCCATGCAAATGGTAAGATATAAACATGCTGGGGAGGTATTTAGGGGTAAAATTGAAAACTTAGTGAAAGATTAGATGTGTGAGTGCTAAAGAGGTCAGTGTCAAGAATGGTTTTGAGAAGGAACAGTGGAGAGGATGGCGGTGTCAGTACTAAGTTATGGAGCTGCAGGGAAGGAGTAGGCTAAAGGTGGTATAATGGTTTCAAACATTAATTTGGGAGCAGGTGTAATTTTAAGAACTTTTGAGACCAAATCAAGATGCAATACTGAGCATGAACCATTCAGTGTGTGAAACTGCAGCTCAGAGAAACAGTTTCAGCTGGGTAGGTTGGGGGCATTGCCTGGAAAAGAAAGCTTACTGAGAAGAGCTACAAGGCTCAGGATTGAATAATTCCATCATTTGCAAAGCTTAGAAGAGAAGAGAAGGCACAAAGCAGGCTGAGAAAAAAATTGCCAGAAAGGTGGGAAGGAAACTGGGAGAGTGAGAGCTACAGGACAGTAAAGGAAGGGAGAGCATTTCAAAGAGGAGGTGCCAGCCTGTCAATGCTGATGAGAAGCCATCAGGAAGAGTAAAGCAACTGCAGGGCATGGTGGCAGAGAAGTCACTAGTGGCTTCAGCAGGAGAGGTTTGGGTGGAACAGTGGTGTAGGAGCTAGGGACAGTGGTTAAAAATCAAATGAGGGGAGCAAGAAACCAATGTGTGTCACTTAGGAAAATTGGTACAGAAGCAAAGTGTCTTAGTCTGCTTGTACGGCTATAACAAAATACCTTAGACTGGGTAATTGATAAGAACAGAAATTTATTTCTGGAGGCTGGGAAGTCCAAGATCAAGGCACTGGCAGGTGTGGTTCTGGTGAGGACAGCTCTCTGCCTCCAAGATGGTGCCCCTTGCTGTGGTCCTCTCATGGTGGAAAAGACGGAAGGCAAAAAGGGCTAGCTACTTCCCTTGAGCCCTTCATACTATCACAGTGAGTCTTATGTCCCAACATATAAATTTGGGGGAAACACATACATTCAGACCGTGGCACAAAGCTTTAGGTACTAGCACCTATGAGGGATTTGGCAACAGATTGGATTTGCCCAATATTTCTCAGACTTTAACTTGCATGACAGAAAAATCCTAGGGTAGCTCTTGTGTCCCATACCCTATATAATTCCCTTACCTGAGTGTGGGCAAGACTTGCAACTTCTCACCAAGGCAAAGATGTCACTCCTATGATTATATATCTCTGTGTATATGTACATATGTATGTATATGTATGTGTGTGCATGTATGATATGAATGTTATGTCCAGGGTAGTGGGTGATGGCTGAAAGAACACTTGCGGGGCCGTAGGCAGGCGAAATGTTGTTTTATTCAGCGGCTGTCTCTCATTAACAGCTCTCTCACACTGTTCTCTCATCAGCTGCTTTCTCACACTGTCTGCCTTGTCTCAGCTGCTTGAGCTGGCCACTCCCACAAGCAACTGCGCAGCTGGCTCTCCCCTGCCTTCAGGGTTAGCAGCAGCCGGCTCTCCCCTGCCTTCAGGGTCAGCAGCTTAGCTGATTCTCTCTGGCCACAAGCACAAGCCATGCCATGCCATGCTGAGCTGTGCACTGGCTCCTGTCTGTCTACAAGATGGACAAGCTCTGCTTCTCTCTCTGGGCACCAGTGCCTGCACAACAGCCATGTCAAGCCATGCCCAAGAGCACCTGTATGGCATCGGCAGGGCAGTTATATCTTTCTCAAATGACAGTGGCTCCCAGCCAAGTATGAGCTTACACAAACAGGTTATATAACAAGTGGAGGTGTGCACCTGTGCACCAATCCTGCTGAGTCTGGCAGGTCTGGGTATCTGCTCAGCCTAATTCTTAACCAAAGCATATCCATGTACCTTACAAATGTATACATATACACAAAAACAAATAGTCCTTTACCTTGCTATCATACACTAGAAATAAATTTTCTTTGCTGATTTGATGAATAAGCATCCATGTTAAGGAAACCCACATGGCATGGAACTGTAGGCAGTCTCCAACACTCAAGGGTGGCCTCCAGATGACAACAAAAAATTGAGATCACAGTCACACAGAATGAAATAAATTCTGCCAACAAATGGAAAGAACTTGAAAACCGATAATTCCCCCATTGAGCCTCCAGATGAAAACACAGCCCAGCTGACATCTTTTTAGCCTTGTGAGACCCTGAGTAGAGAACTCAGACCCATGGAAACTGGGAGATAAACATATTTAAAGGTACTACATTTTTTCTAATTTGTTATACAGTAATAAACAACTAATATAATGTGCATCCTGGTCACCTGGGGATCTTCTGAAAATCCAGGTTCTGACTCGGTCTGAGGTGGGGCTGAGAGTCTACATTTACGACTAATTCTCAGGCAATGCTCATGCTTCTGGTCTAAAACCACATTTTTAGAAACGGTAGATAGATGCCTATTGCGATTCCTTCCAACTCTTATATTATATACCAGCCAGAGAAGAAAATAACATGGGAATCAAATAAAATAATTTATCACCAGTTGCAAATATCTAAACTGACTTTCACAATTTCACTAAGAACTGAAAAATTATGTTGTAGAAGTTTAAACACATATGGAAGTATTTCACAGAAGTCATTTTCAAGAGATACTTAATGCAGTGCAGGAGAAAGAAGACAAATGATGAAATAAATATTGTAAAGCGAAATAAAGGAAACTTCCCAGCTTTGCCTAAATATTACATATGCAAATGGTGTGTGTGTGTGTGTGTGTGTGTTGGAAAGGGGGGCTCCTGTGCAGGAATCCTTCTGTTTCATATACAAGCTGAGCATTTCCAGAGAACAGGAAGGTCCTCGGTAAACGAGTGATTCCCCCCCACCCCATGTTACAACAGAAACCTAAAACATGCTCTCAGCATGGGGGTCACAGCCAGAGTCTTCCCTTCTGAAACACAGGACTGGGGACAGACTGCAAGAGTCCCTGGGGAGCCTGGGTGGATGCATGCATGGGTGAGGCTCAGAACACATTTTCTAAACCACATTGAGCTTCTCTCTTAAAATAATGACCCCTCGCTGCCTCTACAGAGCCCTGTTTCAGAAGAGGCACTAGCCAACACAATGATTCAGTGGAGAGAACCATCCTTGGAGGCCACAGGACAGCTCATATTCTGGCTTCATGGGTCACTAATTTTCATTGTGAGCAGGTGAACTTAACTGAGACTTAGGTTTTCTGATCTATAAAATGGGCACAAAATAATATTTATTTGTAGCACTTTTGTGAGGACTAGAAAATGAAAAGTGCCGGGGCTCCTCATGTTAGATGCTAGGCAGTGAGCTCCCAGGTGGAGTGAAGCACCACAGAAGAAAGGAAAAAGGTTTCTCATCATCTCAGCCTTTTCTCATGTTTGCCACGGCCAGCGTTTTGTTTTTTTTCTGGTTCAGAATCAAGGTGAGGTGATGCCAAGGTATAAACCACCTGCTTTCTGAGTGACACCACGGACTGTTAACTTATGAGTTCCTCTCTCCAGGGCACAGCTACAGAGGCAATAGGGCATTTTGGAGGTATTTATGTTACTTCCAATTAGGCATTCTAATTAAGATGGACTAAGGGAGGAGTAATATGAGTGAGAATTGGGCATACCTGGGTGAGGGTGTCCTTGGGTTATTCTGAATACTGGGGGATTCATTGATACTCTTGGAAGTCAGCACTAAGCTCAGGAAGATCCCATGAGGTTGAAGCAGCCAGACCAGACCGGAGTGGAGCAGCCAGGGCAGAACATCTTCATCTGGGAGCCACACTCTTGGATTCAA
Organism: Homo sapiens; assembly: GCF_000001405.40. Taxonomy (NCBI): domain Eukaryota; kingdom Metazoa; phylum Chordata; class Mammalia; order Primates; family Hominidae; genus Homo; species Homo sapiens. The sequence continues at coordinate 7,051,805 of NC_000002.12, read as the reverse complement.
GCGATTCTCCTGCCTCAGCCTCCCAAGTAGCTGGGATTACAGGCACCCACCGCCATGCCCAGCTAATTTTTGTATCTTTAGTAGAGATGACATTTCACCATGTTGGCCAGGCTGGTCTCAAACTCCTGATCTCAGGTCATCCACCCGCCTTGGCCTCCCAAAGTGCTGGGATTACAGGCGTGAGCCACTGTGCCTGCCCTCAACTGTCTTTTTACTGATACTTGTTACTTTCCACTCCACAGGCTGGGCATAGACCCCCATCTCCTCTTCGCTGCTCCTTTTGGCGGCTTCCTAACCTCATGTCCTGGCCCTCATCCTCTGCATCCAAGCTCCCCTACATGCAGCTACCGTGGCGTAGGCAAATCCCATATCTTATTGTGTCAGCACCAACCTTAACCTGAAATCCTCCAGCCTGGCTTAAACCTTAAAAAGTGCATCCCCTCTGTCCCTTACCGCTCTACCCCGTCCACCTGCTCCACCTCCAATCCCCTCACCCTACTGGAGCTCAGCTCTGCACTGAAGGTTTGCCAAGCTCTCTTGGGGCGTCTGCGGCTTTACTTGCATGGGTGTGTTTGTGTGGTGGCATTCCCTCCCAATCTGTGCTCTGAGCAACCCCCTGCTCTCTCCATCCCCGACCCCAATTCCGTCTCCTCCAGAAATTTGCTCTGACTTCTCCTGCAGGGGGTGGAGCTCCTCTCTGCTACCACCTGTGGAGTGTGATCATCACCTTCCGGCCTGCCGCACTAGACTGTGATGTCTCCGTGCATTTGCATTGGTCTGTGTGGTGTGGTACCAAGGCACTGATGAAGAAAAGGGAGGATCTAAACTTCAGTCCAAGCCCTGCCAGGAACTAGCTTCAAGACTGCACCCGAGGCATTCTGCCTCACTGAGCTTCTCCTTGTTTATAAATATAGACGGGGTCTGAGTGGTCCTGACAGCACTGGGATTCCAGCACTTCCTCCCTTGGGAGCTCCCGTTCCCTTCGACATTCCCCTCCAATGCTGGTATACAGAGTCCTAAGTCTTCCCCATGGAGGCCAGTGAGGGAGCCAAGAATCTGCTTGTCTTTCAAAAGACTGTTGCTCTCCATTCCCTTAAAGGTATATGAGAGAATTTATGCTACTGAAATATAGGCAACGGTGAAGAATTTGGATTTAACGACACAGGAAGCAGAAGGCTCTCAATGGTTTTCAACAGAAGCATCACAAGATGGAAACAGAGAATGCCCCAGGAACAGAATGGTGAGAAGGGAGGAGGCTGGGAGCAGAAGATACTTTAGGAGGCCCCAGGTGTGTCCACGAGAGACTGAAGAGGACCTGCATTAGTCTGTTCTCACTCTGCTAATAAAGACATACCCAAGGCTGAGGCATTTATAAGGAAAAAAGGTTTAACTGACTCACAGTTCCACATGGCTGGGGAGGACCCACAATCATGGCAGAAGGTGAAGGAGGAGCAAAGTCATGTCTTACTTGGCGGCAGGCAAGAGAGCTTGCGTAGGGGAACTCCCATTTATAAAACCATAAGATCTCCTGAGACTTATTCACTACCACGAGAACAATATGGGGAAACCACCACCATGGTTCAATTATCTCCACCTGGCGCCACCCTGGACGTGTGGGGATTGTTATAATTCAAAGTGAGATTTGGGTGGGGACACAGCCAAACCATATCAGGACCCGAACTGAGGACAGGGAACCAGGTCCTACTCACTCGTGAATTCATCTCCTGGGAAAGGCAAACAGTTCTTCCTTCAAAGTCATGACCAGCTTCCAACGTGCAACCAAATGAAACTTGGTATCGAATGCATTTTCGACTGAAAAAGCCGAGGAGATTGTGCTTTTTCTTATGACTTTCATCACACATCCTGCCCCTGGCGTTTCCAAAAGCCGTTGCATTTGGACTGCTTTCCCTCCTAAGCCTGTGTTAGCCTCGCCTTCTGAGCTTCCCACAGTACACATTTTTTGCAGGTGCATTTGCTTGTATTTGCAAGACAGAAGCTCACTTTGTTGGAACTTTCTTTCCTCGGTCCCTCTTCATCGTCTTCATCTCCTAATTGGTGTTTGTAATAACTCCCAGCTTAGTATCATCTGCAAGTTTCATTAATATGTTGATTCCTCCTTTGTCATTAATAAAAACATTAAATTATTATTTAACATTCATTGTGCACCAACAATGTATTAAGAGTTGTGCAGAAATGAGAAAAAGATCCACTCTGACTGCAACCTCATTTTCGTGTCGTTGAAAACTCAAATCGCTGAGCACAGTTGAATTTTTGTCATCTTCATCCTTTGTGGATTCCAAGAGACTCGTTTTTCAGGATTTTGTATGCCAGGTGAAATCAGCAAACAAAATCTCCAGAGGTTTTCTCTCCTGAGTGTGAATGATGTTACCTAATCAGCCATTTCTCATTCATTGCCTTACCATTGATCAATAATTTATATACAGCCAATTTCACCTCCTTCCTGGACTTAGTTATTTTGGAAGCATCATTTGCTCATTCAAGCAACATTTGTTGAGCACTGACTGTGCTCAGCCACTATACAGTGTTTCTGAAAATGCGGTACCTTCATATCTCTGTTTCTCATCCCTTACCCTCCTCTGCCTGGAAGGCCAGCCCATCCCCCAACAGCCCCCGCTGAAAACTATTCAGCCTTCAACCCTCAACTCAGAGGGATACCTTTGCACAGGGAGCCTCCCCAGGCCCTGCCTTCCCTCCAGGTGCAGCCATTCATTCCTCCTCTGTGATCCTATAGGGCCCCACAAACCCTCTCATAGGAGAGTAATTGTCTACACTGTAAATCCCACCACATCCTGAGCCCCCGGTGGGGAGGAGGGACTAGGAGGCTTTGCATCTCTATCATTCTCAGTTGCCACGGGTTTCTGCAAAGTAGGTATCCAATGAAGAGCCTGTGGCACCCAAGACAGCTGTGTTTTAGCTGCTGTCTGTGCATTCATACTTGGCTTTAGGTGAAAGTGAATCTCTTCCAGAAGGTTGAGTAGACTTCACCAGCACTTACCTCTGCAGTTTTCAATGTCATTTTGGCTCTTGGATTAATTCTGCTTCAGATTGTGGAAATCTTAATTTCCAAGGTGATCGTTTCCTATGAAGTACTTTGCTGCCAAGGAAACATAGCTTAGAAAGGTCCCCATGCTGTGGCCACCCCCTAATTCCAAGCAACGTGGCCCCTACTGCAGTCTCCCTAACACCCTTTCTGCAGGGAGGCTCCTCTGAGCACTGTTGGCCCATCCTTGACCTTCACGTGGCTTTGGGTGTCTTACTGAACCCTGCCTAGGTGTGTTCCTACTGGCTGTGGGGTTGGGCCGGGCCCCATGGTCTGCTCGTTGTTTGTTATAGGGCAAGACTCTTAATGATTCTAAGCCTTAATTTTCTTGCCTAAAGTGAAGAATTGTGATAATAATAGTTTACGTCCCAGGGTGGTTTTGATAATTAGTTTCTCCTGTGAACAACATGTTGATTCAGGAAGCGCAGTGTTTGTCCTGCGATGGGCACCATCTCCCACCTGATGCTTATCCCCTGGAAGGTCCTTGTGTATGCGATTATCTGAAGGTGGAGATGAGCCATGTTTTGCCTGTAATCTCTGAAATCATCTGAGATCGTACGGGTGTGCCTGAGAGCAGCTATTTCCCCCTCAGGATTTCCTGAGCTCATTTTTCTCATTCATCTTGCTGGCTTGAAAACAGACAGGACTGGGTTTCTTCTCCTGGGATGCGATCTTCAGATGCAGGATTTAAACTATCCCAGGAACAGAAAGGAAACCACCCCACATGGCTGAGACAAGTCTCTGTGTGCCAGTCAGGGTAAATCAGGAAGAGGCCCAGGGAAGCCATGTGTGGTGGGAGGAACACTGGGTCCCCGCAGGGCAGACTTGGGTTCCCAGCTTCACCAGCCACTTATCCTTGGTGTCACTTGTGGCAAATGGGCCTCTCCAAGCCCCAGTGATATGAAGATAAGACTCGCAGCTTTGTGAGCATGAAACACAACCCATGGAAAGCAGTGAGCAAATGCCTGGCTCAGAAGAGGTTCTCAGCTCACAATAGGGATTTCTTCCAACTACAGTTGAGGCTTTTGCTTCTGGACTGTCTACACCTCCAGTTCAAGCGTAAGGCTTTTTTGTAGCTGAACCATCCCAAGTGACTGGTTTGGCTGTGTCCCCACCAAAATCTCAACTTGAATTGTATATCTCAGAATTCCCACATGTTGTGAGAGGGACCCCGAGGAAGGTACTTGAATCACTGGTGCTGGTCTTTCCTGCGCTATTCTCGTGATAGTGAAGAAGTCTCACGAGATGTGATGGGTTTATCAGGGCTTTCTGCTTTTGCTTCTTCCTCATTTTTCTCTTGCCACTGCCATTTAAGAAGCCACCATGACTCTGAGGCCTCCCCCGCCATGTGGAACTGTAAGTCCAATTAAGCCTCTTTTTCTTCCCAGTCTCAGATGTCTTAATCAGCAGCATGAAAATGGACTAATACACTTCCCACACTACAAATACACACATTCATACACACAGTCACACACATAGACACACATGCACACTCACACATGTACTTCATACAGGCTCTTGCACACACACACCCCCAGCAACAGGAGTTTAATTCCTTTATCTGACAGGCATTCAGTAAGTCACCACTATGTGTCCAATAACAGCAGGCAAATATGAAAACCTATTTACAATGTTAATTTCTTAAACCCCTGGATAAAAGGAACATGGAGTCCAACTGTCAGAAGCTTTTGAAACGTTATTCCCTTTTGCATTTTGGGCTTTTCATAAAAGTTGTGATAAGCTGATAAATTCTGAGAAGTGAGAAGAGACTACCCCTTGTTGGATCTTTCTTGTGCAGTAAAAAACACATCACATGTACTCACGTTCTGAATGAATTCTGTTAAGTCAGTGAGAAAAAATAAGAATAAATAAAAATATATTTTAAAAAGACCCAGATAGTTGCCTAGGAGAACAAGTGAATGACTTTTGATACTGCAAATTCAGATTTTCCAATATGAAAATATTGACTCCATTTTTCTTTGCATTAACCACAGGCTGTACGCACAACCACTTCCTTGCACCCCTGGGTAGCATGAGCCATGATGTGAGCTGTTCGTTTCTCAGGTCCTACAAGGAAAACAGGAGGGAAGAGGGTCCTTCTGTGCTTGAAGCAGGAGTGCTGAGTGGGTACCCTTGTTGGGAGCCTCATCCACATTCACAGTGGAACTGCATGAGCAACTTAATATTTTATCACCAAAATGTACTCTATGTTTTACTTGTCATTTCCTCATTTATCCTCAGAAAAATCCTGTGCAAGACTTTTTATCCCAATGTTCAAACAGGAAACAGGTGCTCCCAGGCTGTCACATGCACGGGAAGTCACCCTCCTGCGATGTGGCTCCAGCCTTCCCTGGCTATAGCAGCCACTGCAGCTCTCCACCCTGCTGCTCTGGGCCCCATTCGATGTTGGCTTCATCCGAAAATGCACATCCTGGGTGACTTTAGCTAGAGAAGAGCGAGTAGCCAACACCAGGTCGTGGGCAGCAATTGCTGTTTTTAAATGGCTGAGTTGCTCACTGGTATAGACAGAGATGAGCTGAGCTGAGCTGAGTAATGGACACTGTCTTGTGGTCGAGCCACATCAGCAGTTATAATCTCTCATGTACCTCCTGCAAACAAGTCAAGTTTAGAATACCTTCTAGATAAGCACATGCTATCAAAGTCTGTGCCATTCCCACCTTCTATGCCCTGTAATTTGGGTTCCTCTAAGAGTTGATAAGACTCTTTGCTGGCAAATTTCTTTTTCAATTTTTAGAAACAAATATATGTACCTAGGTAGACACAGAAATATGGATTTATTTTGCTTAACCATCATTGTTTTTTGGCAGTGTTTTCTGGGGGGCAATTCCTACATTCCAGGCCCGCTTCAAGAATTGATGTGCAACCCAGCGTAGGGAAGAACTGCTTCTGGACTGCACCTGAGGCAGCACCACCGGCAACGGAGCCCCGCCACCTGCTGTACCCGTCCACCTTCTCTGGTTGACCTCCCTGGGGCCAGACAGCCCACTCAGAGTCCGTGCTCCCTCCTATGGAGGTGAGTTGTGTTTCCCACAAAAAGTGTTGAAGCCTAACCCCCAGAACCTGTGAACTTGACCTTATTTGTAAATAGGGTCTTTGCAGATGATCGAGTGAAGATGAGGTCATCAGGGTAGGCTCTAATCCAATATGACTTTGCCCTTAGATGAAGGAGCTGTGTCCACAGGCGTGCACACAGGGAGAACGCCGTGGGAACCTGCAGGCAGAGACTGGGGGTGCATCTACCAGCCAAGGAACACCCAGGACTGCCAGCAGTACCAGGAAGTTGCAGAGCAACACGGGCATCCTCCTTACCGCTCTCAGAAGATTCCAGCCCTGCAGATACCTGAACCTTCAGTTTCCAACCTCCAGACCTGGAAGACAGTAAAGCTCTGTTGTTGTAGCCCCTGGTGTGTGGTCCTTTGTGACAGCAGCCCTAGGACCCTAACTCACTCCTCCCACACAGCCTTTATCATGAAGGTCCAGTTCCTGAGTTCGGCACACTGTGCCCCCACCAGGTCAGACATTTGAGTAACTCTCCAACCCCGACACGCCAGTTGGACCAAACTCTGTGCGCTTGTTGAACTGGGCCCTTCCTTTGAACACACTTCTCAGTTTTGCTTGGCTAGTTCCTACTTGTCTACAAGAGCGAGCTCATACATGGCGTCCTCTGGACAGCCTTCCCTGACCTTCCGGCCTGGCCGAAGGGCTGTGCTGTGCCCGCAAAGCCTGCTGAGCGTGCGTCTACCATTGAACTTATTCCACCTTCTTATGATAATTGACTGACTTATCTGTCAACCCCTTGAGACTAAGAGCTCCTTGAGGGCAGATATATTGAGTCTTCAGTGCCCACTATGAATCACCAGTTAACAAAATCCACTCCCTTAATGTGCACCTGTAGATATAAAGAATGGATTTAAAACTTAAACACAGGACAAGGAACCAGTTGCCTATTCCAGACTTGAGCATCATATGAACGCATGAGGTATAGATTCTCCTCCAAGCTGGAGTGAGGTGAATGAAAATCAAGGTGAACCACCACATCTTCAGCTCATTATTATCTCTCCTACGAAATGAGAAGGATCCATATTTATTCCACTTTCTCCCCACCCCCAGCAGATAAAGGATGCCTCCTGATTTTCATGCTGCAACTCATAAAATGTGACAGGTCTGTAAGGAACTTGTCTTTGCGGATGGAAGCAGAGCGCCCTGAGTGGGGATGAGATGCTTCCTGATGCTGCAGTACCGGTTGGGCACCACAAGAGGGAGCCAGGAATGGCTGGACGGGTTGATACACCCAACAAACCAAGTAATTTTGGCATCTAGGAGTTGAGAACATTCCTAAAACAGAAAATCTCAGGATACAAGAGCTGTTTTCCCAGTGATATAAGATCCCTCCCCTGCCTCACCCTTTCTCCCTCCACCCCCAGTTCCCACATTGAATATTTTCAATCTTCAATAGATTAAATATTGAAGACTGAAGATAGAATATTTTCCATCTTCAGGCCAGTAGTCAGATAAGCATCTACAAAAGACGGAGCCACGCGGGGTTTACAAAAGTCACCTGTATTCCAGCCAAAATAGCTTTAAAAAGGAATCCCTGCTAAAGGGGGGGACAAACTACGTAAGACACAATACATTTAAAATATGTATTGAAATTACAAATCAAACTTTTTCCATATGATTCCAGAGTACAAAACACAACATTAAAAGGCATTCAAACAGCTCTTTTATACATCACAGTGTTAGTGGCACAAAATGTACTGACATTTCAAAAACACAAATCAAATCTGTTTTGATTTTGTTTCACCACCACTTGTCAAATACATAACGTATACATGTGCATGACTCATTCATGCATATTTTTATACAAGATTAAAATACACCCATAGTAAAGTGAGCAAAGAAGGAAAGAAAGGGCAGGCATGGGGCATGTAGCTACCCCTCACTGAAGGCTCCGGAACTGTGGAAGACAGAATTGCACAAATCAAAGGAAGGGTGGAGACCCTGGGTTTTTTAAACATCAAGACGGCATGCTCTCCTAGTTGTGAAGCATTAGCAATTAGGTTTTAACGCAGGCCCCTTTGTTCCTTTTGGTGTTTTTGGTAATACCTGTCATAATCCCTTCATTTTGTTTATTTTCATAAGGGCTTAGGTTAATTATCAGAAATAAACAAGCTTTGGTATTTTTTAAAGAGAACTTCATGAAGCTTTACACATGCAAAATGTTTTCCCTTGATGATCTCCTTGTGATTTATATATATACACAGGTGTGCTCACTAATAAATGAGAATCTGAGACACACACACAAAGCCCATCCTGGATCCTTTCAATCCCCTAATTTTTAAAGACTACCAAGAAAAAAATGTTTTTTTAATTTGTAAAATGACTTCTAACTTTTGCAATACAAATGAAAACAATAAACTCATCTTGAAGTAATTTTTGCATCTCTGATAGTCCCTCCCACAGGTCCTGTGTTCTAATCAGGAACTGGCCTGTGCCCTAAACTGGTTTTATGGAATAATATGTTGTCAAGATCATTTGTTCCCCTTTAAGAAAATAGGCCGGGTGGGGTGGCTCAGGCCTGTAATTCCAGCACTTTGGGAAGCCGAGGTGGGCAGATCACCTGAGGTCAGGAGTTTGAGAGTAGCCTGGCCAACATGGTGAAACCCCGTCTCTACTGAAAATACAAAAATTAGCTGGGTGAGGTGGTGGGTGCCTGTAATCCCAGCTACTTGGGAGGCTGAGGCAGGAGAATCGCTTGAACCCGGGAGGCAGAGCTTGCAGTGAGCCGAGATCCTGTCATTGTACTCCAGCTTGGGGGACAAAAGCGAAACTCCGTCTCAAAAAGAAAAAAAAAGAAAGAAAATGCCAGAGGTGGCAGATGTTGGTTCCTCTGTCCACAGCTACTCCTATGAGTTGAGGAGGAAGAACTAATTTGGACAGTTATTCCTGCAATCCGATGCTTTATCTCAGATCCTAAGTCAGTCTCTGCTACGTGGACATCTATGGTGACTGCATCTTTGCAAGGTGCTGACCTCCTATGAGGCTGCAAGCTCATCTGGCTGGGCTATGGACTACACAGCAGAGCCAGACTGAGAGGTCAGGCATTTCCAGCAAAACCTCCAAATGTGGTCAGTTACTCAAGGGCCTCAGAGAAGCCACAGGTCCACTGGGCTAAGGCCAGTCCTCACTGGCCACCCACCCTGGGCGGCAGTACAGCAGCCATGGTTGTCTAAGGGCCTTCGCCCCTTACTCCCCAGGATTAAAGGCCTCTTAGTGAACACATGCCATATGCTTCTGGGGCTTGCAGTGAACACCATCTGTAAGAGTGAATGCCATTTTTCAATGGAGACAAATTATGCCGCTTCACAGGAATAAGTCCGTCCACTCAACGCAGAACTCCCCAGGTTTTACTGGGGAATGATGGCAAGATCAAAGTCCAAACCCAGGGCCATCTGCCTGTGTGCTATTTCCATTTTACATCAAGCAGGGTTCATACTGTATTCCCATCAAAGATAAGTCTGGCACTCCTTACTAAAACAGAAGGAAATGCGAGTTTATGTATCTCAGAGTGATCTTGCTGGTATTTATATAGGAAATGGACAATTTTAATTTTATATCTAGATCAAAATGAGGAAACTGAGGCATGCTTCATACAAAAAGTCAGAGCCAGTAGGTGCCAATTTGACTGCCCCTGGCTGGCCCCAGAATCTCTGTGGTCCCTATCTGGGTTGAACTACGTGCTTGTGAAACACATCAGAGGTGAAGGCACAAGGATGGCTGGGGCTACAGATGTGCATGACTGGGCCAGAGACTCTTCCAACAGAACAGCCTGTCCCTCTAGAAATAAGGTCATCTGAGCTCTAGCCCTGGGGATGCAGCCTTTCCAAAGGCTCTGACTCTCATCCTAAGGACGGGGGTGCTACTGTGTGGGCTCATGCGATGGGCAGCAGCAATTTCAGGCAGGAAGGATGAGCATATGGTGGAGGCGTGTCCTGTGGGCCACTGGACACAGGGCCACAGGCCTCCCATGTGTGCTGGGCATGTTAAAGGGCAGTGGCTGGACAGCTGCATCCACATATCACAGGCTGAGGGCTCAAGCCCAGCCAATGACTCCCGCGTGGAGTTGCCACCCACCTCCAGAAAAGCTATTCTAACAGTAGACACCATCACAGCACCACAAACGACAGAGAGCCACAGCCCAGGTTCCATCCAGAAAGGGAGTCGCAGGCATGTTCTTACTGAGTTACTAAACTTGCAATTACAAGGAGAGCTTTTTGAATGTAATTTTGACACACAGGGATTTTCTAAATGGCTTCGGGTTCATAAGGAAAATCAACATGACAGGTGAAGAGTGAGGTGACGCTGTTTTTTCTAACGAATTCAATGTTAGGAAATAAGAAATAAATTTCCAACCAGGGAAAGTAAACTAGGACCTGAGACTGATACTCAAATGCAGAAGTCAAACACACACAAAGCAACATTTTAAAAATGTGCTTGTGATGGGCAAATAACTGAGATAAAAGGATTTTGTTTTACTTCTTTATAGAATGTTTAACAAGATTTTTAAAATCCCACTGTAATATAGCTACAATATTTGCCTGTTATTTTTAGAAGTTTTAAATTCAATGCAGTTTGCTTTGTAAAAGCACCTGTGGCTTTTAGAAGTAAATTCTCTTTAAAGAATACACTTTCTCCACTTTTCAAAGTCAATTGGTGGAATAATGTGTATGTGTCCTTATTAATCCCTGCATCCTGCTGCCATGGAAATGGTCACAGACAGCCCTGTAAAAGATCAAGTGGTAAAATCCCCACGTTAAAACGAAGTGAAATGGGAGGTTCTTTTCCCCAACAAGAGCAAAACGGTTAGCAACAGGACTTGGAACTGTGTAAGATATATGATTTCTCAAAATGACTAGAACATTTTAAAAATGTGAAAATCTGGCAGGCTCTTCCCTAGCCCCCAGAGTCCTCCAGCCTCTGCCAAGAGGCCCCTACATCTGCGGATCAATGAGGCTGCTTTCTTCTTACTGTCTATCTGAAGACTGAGGCCAGAGGCCAGACGGCAGCAATTCGGAGGAGAACCATTGCCGAGCAAAGCAGTGGGATTGAATACAATAAAAAGCGTTTTCTGCTACCTGGGAGAGAAGGGATGAGGCCCATGAGCTGAGCTGAATCACCAAAGAGAGAAAACAACAAAAGGCAAATCTAATGGAGATGAGATGTTCCTTTAAACACGTCAATATTATCAAGGAAATGCAACAATATAGGAAGCACACTTATAACAGTACACAGCTTACAGCGTTCAAAAAGTTACTACAGCAAGTTTCAAGAAAAACACAAAGAGTGCATAAGGCTTTCTAAATCTCCTGAAAAGTCGTTTAACTATAACTTCTTAAAATGCACATTTCAAGAAAGGCATAGGATGGTTTATATGCACCTTGTTGATTTTCACTACTCAGTTGGAAAAAAAATACCTTCTAAAAAGGATTTTACTAAATGCCATTAGTAATAAAAACAGTTGTCATAAACAGAGTGCTTCTCTCAAGCTGGAATAATCAGATTCTGTCTGAAGAGAGTGGCAGTCCTTAAAAGACTTCTCTGACAACATGGTGCCATCTAGAAGCCAAGGAGCAGAAAGTCTCTTAGGCCATCCCCAGACATGCCTAGTCTACCACAGAGAGAAAGCTGCCTGGTGCACTTCTCACAGCACCTCCCTGTCATCTGCAGAGATTGATCTGTGGGGATGTGCGCTACCCACACCTGCCTCCCCTCCCCACCACACCTGGGGCCTCAGCGAACATTGTGACATAGGTCCCTGAAATCACGGCGTCCAGCCTGACACTGTGAAGCTCAATGGGGCACATAAGGCAAGAAAGATGTTTAGTGAAGGGGGGACGGTGGGGAGGGTTGGGGGAGAGCCACACTTCCCGGAGGCAGGGATGTGTTCCAGCATCGCGCTTCCTCTAGGTGGGTAACGGGTCGTCGTCACCTTTACTGCACTTGCACTTGCAGCAAAGTACAAAGGGAGTGGCCAGGAGTAGGAAAGGTGAGGCCACCAAGAGCAGCAGCCCAAATCCTGCAAAAATGCCCACAACCTGGAAGAAAGAAACAAAGGGGTAGAGGTAAGGAGGGCTGGTCTGTAGGTTCCAGAGCTAAAGTGTAAACCACACAACCAGCTACCCATCCATCCATCCATCCATCCACCCAACCATCCATCTATCCATCCATCCATCTACCCATCTAGTCATCATCTACTCATTCATCCATTAACCATCATATATCTCTCTATCCATCCATCCACCTACCCATCCATCTATCCATCCATCCATCTACCCATCTAACCATCATCTACCCATTCATCCATTAACCATCATACATCTCTCTATCCATCCATCCACCTACCCATCCATCTATCCATCCATCCATCTACCCATCTAACCATCATCTACCCATTCATCCATTAACCATCATCCATCTCTCCATCCATCCACCTACCCATCCATCTATCCATCCATCCATCTACCCATCTAGTCATCATCTACCCATTCATCCATTAACCATCATCCATCTCTCTATCCATCCATCCACCTACCCATCCATCTATCCATCCATCCATCTACCCATCTAACCATCATCTACCCATTCATCCATTAACCATCATACATCTCTCTCTCCATCCATCCACCTACCCATCCATCTATCTACTCATCCACCCATCCATTTACCCATCCATCCAACCATCCACCCACCCATCAATACCTAGCCATCACCCACGCATCTATCCATCTAACCATCATCCATCTATCCATCCACTCTCATCCATCTATCCATCCATCCATCATCCATGCATCCATCCACCCATTCACCCACTCACCCACCCATCTCTTTATTCATCCACCTATCCACCCATCTACCCATCCATCCACCCATCCACCCATCTATCCATCTAACCATCATCCATCTGCCCATCAATTCACCAGTCTATACCCTTCCATTCATATACCCACCATCTACCCACCCACCCACTCATCTGCCCACTATATATCCATCCACCGACTATACATTCTTCCCTTCATTTTTCCCTCATTCTTCTTTTCCACCTCTTCCTTTCCCTTCCTTCTCTCTCTCCACCCTTTTCCATCTAAACACCCAAACATCCATACATCTATATATCCTATTAACTAACAAGTTTCCTCTCAGCAGCCACCCTGACCCAGACACTGCACTTGACACTGCAAATACAGAGGTGCATACATCTTGGCCCTCGAGGAACACCCTGTCTGGCAGAAAAAGACCAAGATCTAATCAACTGATAACAAGACATTCTACAGAAACTGCCATCAGGTTCCAGGGGTGCAGCCCCACACACCCCCGCCATGTGAGTGACAGACACCATTTGCTAGGGGAAAGGAGGGTTTCCAATGGCAGGTGGCTGAGATAATGGAGACAAGCAGGTTGTTACTACAGAAGAAAGACTGGAATAGTGCATTTCCGACGAGAAAACAGAAAAGACACAGGCATGGTGCATCAGAGAATGACCTGGCCCCCTGTCCTTCCTGGAGTCTAAAGCCCAATACTGACTGTTACGTATTTTGATTTTTGCTTGAAAACATGTTTATCCCTAGTTATGAGTAAAGGCCAAAAGAAATAAGCCTCAAATGCAGACATGCCATCATCTGAGTCAGGCGGCATGGCTGGTCAAAGAGGCACAGAGCCTGCTTTCCAGCCGGCCTCGCCATTCACAGAGTCCCAACCCAGGCAGGCAGCCTGCAGAAATGAGAGCGAGGACAGGGCTAGACCGCCACCTAGTGTTCAGTGTGGCCAGTAAATGCAAGCACCAGCACATGGTTCTCATTCCAACTCAGCCTTCACTTCTCCCTGGGTCTGTTTTCTCATCTATAAAATAAACAAATGAAGTAAAAGATCTTTACGGGCCATTATCAGCCCTAAAATATGAGACTCTACTAAAGCATCCCAGATGTGTGGAACAAAGTATACCTCGACTGAGATTTCTCCTGAAAATCAACACCAACACATGCACACGTACGTGCATACGTGTATAAATTAGATTGCATTTAATAAATTATGCCACATTGCATTTATACATTGGATTGTGCTAATGCTGGGAATCCATGCCTGCTGCCCAGCTGGCTACGTTCATTTGTCTGAACAACATATCAACGGTGGAACTACCCAGTGTGAATTCAGGTTGTGCTTTACTGAAATCACGTGCACGCTGATATGCAGAAGGCATAAAACATGCAGTAAGCTCTACCCTATTTGAAGGGAAATTTTGAGCAACCTCGACTACCTGGCACACAACTGTCAGTCTTGAAAGAGCCACACATTCTTTGCAGTCAAAATAATGCCAAAATCCTGGACCAAATGATCACATTCTTAGCCAATCACACACCATCTTCGCTTTTCACTCAGTCTACCTCGTCTCTAAATTTGCCTGCTGTTTGAGAAGCCGGGTTACCCAACGTATTGCCAATTGGTGACAGGCAGATGCAGGTACTGCCAGTTACGCAGCCAGCAGTAAAAAATGAGACAGGAAGCAAATATCACAAAGCAAAAAGAACCACTGTGTGTGTGTGCTGTGGATGTGTGTCAGATACTTGATCACAGAAGGCAGAGGGATGGGTAAACAGTTTCAGGCTCCAGAGAGAATCTGTACAGCACAGCTTCGTTCGTACTGGCAAACCCTAAGATTTAAAGGAACAGTTACCCCTTCCCATGAAGTTTCTTAGATGTGTGCTACTTAAAGCCAGAACACTCTTTCTGCAAACCATTCTAAGTTCCCATGCACAGCCCGGCACCTCTCATAATCAATGTCCGACCCAGGTTTATGGGACGAGCCAGTTGAAACTGACAAGGTTCTGAATGGCTGCCCCCAGAGAATTCTTGTACAAACCACATTCAAGGGCTTGGAAAACTAAGCCAAAATCTGAGATCTGGTAAGGTGAATGGAACACTATTAATTCACTGAAACTAGGTAACTGAAGGTGGCACAGACAAGTTCAGAATCACAGTATCATATTTGATCCCTGGATTATAATCCAGTCTAATTTTCTCATTTCACAGATGCAAAATCTATACCCAAAAAGCTATTCCAGAGGTCCAATATTTGTTTAAAACAGACAGAGCTTAGCATCCTGGTGTAAGTACAAGAGATAGATCGTGCCTATTTCACTGATCTCAGTGAGAAATACCCTTAGAACAGTCACTGCATGTGGCTTCCAGGACATAAGCATTTCTGGAAGGAACACCTGGTCCTTCGGCTCAGTCTCTGAAACTATCACTGTGCACCCCTCCACGGATGCATGTGAATACAGAAGATCAGTAATCAGCTGGCTTTCGTAAATACCATCCTTTGGCTAAAAATGAGCTCTTTATCAAAGATGGACTGGGGTAAAGAAAGTTTCCTTTCACTTCTCAGAAGAGAAGGAAGAGCTGGTTTTGGGTAAGATTCTCCCTTGTCAGATGCTGATGTCCTAAGGAAGTAAGGTTACTCTAGAGAAAATGAAATGCTCCTCCACACGATGGCTGATTTCTGGGATAGCGCTGGAAAAAGGCCGGCAAGCACTTCATGCAATCGTGTGCACAGCGAATGCACAGGAGGGCAGATGGACAGGGCACAGGTGCGGCTCACAGCACCCACACTCACTCCAGCAACCGCACAGTCAGTCCCACGTGAGACATCTGCCCACCGTGCGGTCTTGCATTCGCGGCCACTCTGCTGGTTTTCATGCTCATTTACTTTAACAGGAGACTCTGCTATACTGAATAAAAAATGTATCACTTGCGATGAAACAAACTGTACAATAACTTTATGCAACAAAGACAATTCTTCCTTTACAGCACTGTTTTCCGTTTGACAAGAGTGCCAGGTAAGATGCAAGTGGCATATAAAACCTCTGCTCCCGTAAAAAATAATGAAAGCAGCCTGCAATCTCAAAGAGACACGTTGGAATTCCCCCAAATCTCTTAGAATAATCTTACTGAGCTTCACATCTAAAGGAGGAAGAACTGGGGAGAAGGAACCTTTCAAAATGACCCTGAAAGTTGGGAATCACAGGACACTGAATTCAGGGCATGTTCTGAGTGCTCCTGAGGTTTGAGTGGAGCAAGCCCCTATGTGACAGAGAAATGTGTCCCCAGGGAGCCAATGAAACCTGACTTGGGCAAGAAGTTCTAACCCACAGCAGGGTCAGTGACAGAGGGTGGCCCAGCTGACCCATTTGTAGGACGGGAAAGCAATTTGGTGGGTCAAGATGAGGACTTTAGTAAACAGAGCAGAACAGAAAATGCAGGAGCACAGAGTGGGGAAGTTATGTCGATGTGGGTGTGCACAGGGATGTTTTATGGGTTACAAGGTACTACACTGGTACATGTCTCCCTGTGGGCTGCAGTCAAGTAAGATTCCAAAGACGCTGCTCAGCACGTGCTGTGGCCTGGGCTCTTTAGAGACACGTAACGGGAGAAGCAGGAGCTGGAGCAAAGCCTTAAAAATGGATGGGAGGGATATAGCTTGACAGGGAGAAGGAACAAAACAGGGCAAGAGAGAGACACAGGAGTGGAGAAGGCAGAACAGCAGGCCATCCTGAGCGGGCTCCTCTGAGGCCACAAGGCTGGCAGATTCTGCTTTGCAGAGATGAAGATGACAAGGGAGGCCAAATGTGGAGGACCAAGAGGCTCAGCAGAAGTCTTCAGGTTATGCCCCGTCTGAGCATTTTATTCTGCTGCTCTAAAACCTTCTCTGGCTCCCTAGTGCCATACAGACTTAAGTCTACAGCAAGACACCACACCCTCTCCAAGGCCAATCACGACTCTGCCCCTAACTTCCCATCAGCTGCACTCCCGAAGGCTCCCCAGCCGGCCCCAGAGTGTCCCATTCTGTGCCTCCGCTCACACTGTCCTCTCCTCCTTCAAAGCACTTTCTGCAACATCCAGTATTTAGGACTTTTATGGTCTGATTCAGGTGCCACTCATTTCATACTATTTTTCTTGAATATTCCAGCTTGTTGAATTATCAAGAAATAATTCTTGGCTTCTAATGTCTCACCCTGCCTTGCGATCTTATGAGTTTCCCACAGCCTGGCAGGTGCACGTGCCACAAAGGCACCTGGTGCTACCAGGTGTCCTTCACAGCACTGCACTTGGGAGCACGCTCAGTGCCGTAGCAGCCCGGAGGAAGGACAGGGCAGGGGAGATGCCGGAAGCCTGAAAACTAGGCAGGAGGTGGCAGAAGCGAGCTCTTTACACGGACTCATTTCCAAAAGGCAGACAGAGATGAGTCCGAGCAAAGCTGGGGCTCCTAAGGAGGGTGGGCGTCCACTCAAACGGCTGCACGCTGTCGCTTGCTACAGCTTGACACTCCTGGCTGCTCTGTTTCCCCAAACACTATCGCTCCAAGTCTCACCGCACTTTTGTGAACTTTTTTTTTTTTTTTGAGACAGAGTCTTGCTCTGTCGCCCAGGCTGGAGTGCAGTGGCACGATCTTGGATCACTGCAACTTCTGCCTTCAAAGAAAGGAAGAACTATTAGGTGTCATTAGAGAGGTGGTGTTACTCCTGTCCCTCCCTAGGAGAAACAAAAACAGTTCTTCCTGTCTTTGAATGGGGACGAACAAGCTCCAAGTCATCCACTTCCACCTTCTCCTCACCAGGAGCAGAACCAGAAAATAAAGCAGCTCTCATGGCTCCTGGGACGGGGACACAGCAACCCTTTGCTCCCTGCCCGGCCCCTGTGAAGTTCCCCACGTGTAGAAAGCCGCCGAAGGCACGAGGACCATTAGCCCTGTGGAGAGGGCTGCGAGTCAACACCCACGGCCAAACGGGTCATTCGCGATTTTGCCCGTGCACTACTTCCAAAGATAACTGTGCCCCAGGCACAGGACCAGTGCCAAAGAGGTTACAAAGATGAGCAAAACAGGTCCCTGCTCCCAAGAGCACTTTTCTGTATCCTAAGAGATAAGACCCAGATGAGCACTGGGCTATGACCAGAGTGGGGTGGGTCCACATGGGAGGGAGGGCTCTTCTTGGATGACAGTCACACACAAGAGACTTCACGGAGGAGGTCACACCTGGATTGGGCCACAGAGAAGGTTAGAATGTGGATGTGCAGAGCTGGGCAGGAACAGGAGAAGTAGAGGAAGAGAGTGATGAAGACCAAGCTGGCAGCAACGGCCAGGGCAAAGGAGAGAGGCAGGGAAAGCACGGGCGCTGCAGGCCAAAGTTCAGAGTGAGCCTGGAGGAGCAGGGAAGATGCGGCTGCCAAGACCCATGCTCAGGCTCTCCCAGGTTCCAAGACCAGTGGGCCTTTGGCAGCTCCAGGGCACGATGGCGTGAGGATATCTGACTGCCAGCCCCAGCTGAGGCCCAAGCCAGCAGCCAGATCAAGCACCAGAAGCATGGGGCACGGGCCTGCAGGGGCTCCTGCCCAGCTTCAGAGCTGCCCCGGCTGATGCCACGTGGGCCGCACATGGGCTGGCTTGGCTGAGCCCTGTTCACACCACAGATTCCAGAGCAAAATACATGTGAGGATGGTAAGCCTGAGTATGTGGGAGGCTTGGCACCCAGCAACAGCCAGCCAGAGTCCCTGTGGAAAGCACCTGCTCTCACCTGGAACTCACCTTCTCTACAGGGAAACTGCCAGAGTTGGGCAATGGTTTCCGAGTTCTCACCAAGCTCTGACTCAGTTTCTGCCAAGGTGCACACAACAGCATCCACTCACACGGTGGCTGTGCAAATGCCGGGTCCCCCGAGTCAGCACCCAGTCACCCCCTACCTACAGCCCAGGGAAAACCAAGTACAGAAGAGGAATGCAGCCTCCTGGCAGTTTCTATGCTGCGTGGGGAGGGGGGTGTAGGTGTTGTTATGGGTTGAATCCTGTCCTCACAAAACAATATATTGAAGTTCTAGCCCCCTAGTATCTCAGAATGTGACCTTCTTTGGAAACAGGGTCTCTGTAGATGCAATCAAGTTACCATGAGGTGATTAGCGTGGGCCTCGATCCCATACCACTGATGTCCTGATAGAAAGGGGGGATTTGGACAATGATGGAAGACGAGGTGGAGACGCACAGGGAAGAGGCAGCCGGAGGAAGACGGAGGATTGCAGTGACGCATCGATCTGTCCAGGAATGCCGCAGATGGCTGGCGAACCACAGAAGCTGGACAAGGCCGGAGGGACTCTCCTACAGGTTTCAGAGCAGGCAGGGCCCTGCTGACACCTCGATTTCAGAATTCTGAGCTCCAGGACTGAGCCAATACATTTCTGCTGTTCTGAGCCACCCAGTCTGCAGCGCTTTGTCACAGCAGCCAGAGCAGAGCTGCAAGGGGCGCGGATTCGAGCAGAGCTGCAAGGGGCGCGGATTCCAGCAGAGCTGCAAGGGGCGCGGATTCCAGCAGAGCTGCAAGGGGCGCGGATTCCAGCAGAGCTGCAAGGGGCGCGGATTCCAGCAGAGCTGCAAGGGGCGCGGATTCCAGCAGAGCTGCAAGGGGCGCGGATTCCAGCAGAGCTGCAAGGGGCGTGGATTCAAGCCGTGCCGGGCCACGTGCAAAGAGAACAGTCAGAGGAGCTCAAACCAACTCTCTAGACCAGAGGGCAGTACGCCATGGCCCGGGGGCCAAATCTGCCTTCATCATCTGTTCTGTTTTGTTTATCCATACAGCTTTATTGGGACATAATTCCTGTGCCACGCAATTCAGATCAAGTACACACATTCAATGGTTTCCAGTGTGTTCACAGAGTTACGCAACCATCACCACAGTCACTTCCACCTGCCTGTGTAAACAGTTTCACTGGAACACGGCCAAGGTAACTCACTGACGTACCGTTGGCAGCTTCTGTGCCGCCAGGTGGAGTTGACAGGTGCAGCAGAGGCCTACGGCCTGCGAGGCCAAGAATGCTCAGCATCTGCTCTCTGATGGGAGGCGTGTCTTATCGCCTGCTGTGGACGCCCACAGGCTCTGCCACGTGGTCGGCATTTAAGATTGTCCAGGAAGTGCAGCTGTAGGTGGACCTTTCCCTCGTCCTGGCAACTGCCTTGAGACTGAGTTTCTCCATCTTTTAGATGAGGCTGACACATGTGCCTCAGAGGCTCTCCTGAAGGAGTCACAGACTTGAGCCCTTCACGCCTCTCGAGGAGCAGGCAGGGAGCAGCAGCCAATGTGCCTCCTGCCACTAATCCCTCAGCAGCTTCCCACTCACCCAGCACAAGATCCAGGGTTGCTCTGTGGACTGCCAGGCCCTAAAAGGGTCTGTCCCTGCCATCATCTCTGACCATCTCCCCATCACGTCACCTCTAGCTGATTTATTAGGTTCTGTGTCCTTGCTGCTTTATCATCTCTGTCCCTAAACAGAACGTAGTTCCGTAGAAGGACACATCTGTCTCACGCACCACTGTATCTCCAGCTCCTACAGCAGTACCCAGCACACGGTAGGCTATAAATATGTGTTGAAAGCACAAGTTAATATTAACCAACACGAGGGTCCTTTATCAACTCCAAAGACTGCACAGGCATTAACACCTAGGGCCAGGGTCCCCAACACCTGGGCCATGGACGGGTAGCGGTCTGTAGCCTGTTAGGAACCAGGGTGCACGGCAGGAGTGAGTGGTGGGGGTGGGGGAAGCAAACGAGCAAACCTTCATCTGTATTTACAGCTGCTCCCCATTGCTCACGTTACCGCCTGAGCCCCACCTCCTGTCAGATCAGCAGCGACATTAGACTCTCGTAGGAGCACGAACCCTGTTGTGAACTGCGCATGCGAGGGATCTGGGTTGCAGCCTCCTTATATGAGAATCTAAATGCCTGATGATCTATCACAGTCTCCCATCACCCTCAGATGGGACCATCTAGTTGCAGGAAAACAAGCTCAGGGCTCCCACTGATTCTACATGATAGTGAGTTGTACAACTATTTCACTATATATTACAATGTAATCATGACATAAAGTGCACAATAAATGCAATATGCTGAATCATCCCAAATCCATCCCCCTGCCCAGTCTGTGGAAAAACTGCCTTCCACGAAGTGAGTCCCTGGTGCCAAAAAGGTTGGGGACCACTGACCTCGGAATTTTTCCACTCCTTCCTTGTTATCCATTCCTGTTACTACCTTGCTTATCTCAGGGCCTCAAGAGAAAGCTCTTTGTTAAGGGCTAGGCAAGGATTACCTAAACACGGTCAGCAGGTCATGACCAAGGCCATGAGTCCCGTGCAAGTGATCTGAAGTCTGATGCTGAAGACCCATCAGACAATGAATGTGATGCGCGTTGACATTAACTTTGGGCCAGGGCTTCCATAAGGATAAGCCTATACCAGCAAAAACCAGCAGGAAGCACATCTACTAGCTCTTTCTATCCAGGAGATCTTCGTCCTTTAGGCAAGTCTGGAAACACTAAAGATATACATACACACACACACACACACACACACACACACACACACACACACACACACAGTCTCTCTCTGAGATCAACCTTCCAGGCAAATCACCTCCTACCTGTGTCCGATGCCAGATCACAGATGCCCGGGAGTGGCCCAGCTTGTTCCGGCAGGGTCCCTTATCGTAGTGTATCAGAAGGAAATCATCCTGTGAGGGGCAGAGACAGAGACGGCATGAACGAGTGGTTCCTGCTCAGTTCGGTGAGTATCACAGCCATTGATGCATTTCTTCTCCTATGCTCATGATAAGTGGAGACATGAGGGAGGTGACACAGGGAAGGGCACGCATCCGGGAACACCTGGCCACAGCCACTGGAGGCCCAGGCCGCTCCTCCCCAGGGCCTCCCTTCATCACCTAGCAGCCCTGGACAGCACAGCCTCGGGCTCTAGAGGGAGCTTTGGACCAGACTTCAGGCCCAGCCCAAAGAAGGACCTCCCCTGCACAGTGGCTGGCTTCTGAGCTTGTGGGAAAGAAGGGATCTCATGGGGACAAAGGGCTACTGAACACGCAGGTCACTGCTGCTCCAAAGAGCTCCTGCTGGCTCCGGCTGTGTGTGACTCCACCAGAGTCCCTCTGCCCTGGCATCTTCCTGGTGCAGTGACAGGGCTATTCCTGGGATTGGATGATTTTCTTTGTTGCTGATCCATCCCCCTCCATCAGGTCGGGCTTCTCACCTAGAAAGCGCTTCCTCTCCACTCAGGCCACTTGATTTTCCTCATGATTCAAGATCCAGCCCGGGGAGCACTTTCTGTCTGCATCTTCTCAGACCATCCTGAGTGGGCAGCAGTTCTCTGCACTCCAGGAACACCTGTGGACGCCTCCCTCCAGGCGTTCTCCACCCCACCTCCATTTCCTGGAGCTGGGACCCTCACACATGTTGGTCTCTCTAAGTGTGTTCCCCAGCTCAGTGCTTGGCACCCAGATCTCAATGACTACCCACTGGCGTGAGGGGAATGGCATTTCTATACCGAGCCCTCTATGCCTCCAGGACCAGGAGGCACCGTTTTCAATCCTGATCAATGAAGGAAATGACGAGGCACATGGTGCCACGGAGGGGCAAGCCTGTTGATTCATTTAAAGGAGGCTGTAAACAGACAGCTGCTTTTTCAGAAAAGAACAAACAAACACAGGGCCCAATGCGCCTGAGGAAACAGGAAGTCACTCTTCCGAAAACCAGGAGGAGCAGGTCAGGGGTCATGGCCTTCTGTTCCTTTCAATCAACTCTGGTAAGACAGTTTGGGGGCTGCAGCCGGACTTCCTCTCCTTGTGGGGAGGACACCAGCCTTGAGTTTCCTGATTTTTGGGGTCAAGCCTCCTGGTGTCTGAATGCACAGTGAATGGAGGGCCATCAAATCCTGGCTGTTACAGGTGCAGTAGCAAGAGGCTTTGGCTGGGGGCTGGGGTCCCAGCTACCACTGTCTGCCTCGCTTCTGTGCCCAGATGCCCCATCTGTGAGAGGAAAGGGAGGAGCAGGCAAACACAAAGCCACTTCTGGCCACACCTTTCTCTTCTACAAAGCTATTTCTGTCCACTTCCATCACTGTGAGCTCTCTCCTCCTTGAACTCTTAACCAAAATTTCCTTTGCGCTGACATTAATTTACACACCACTGAGAAGAGCTCATTCTCCATTTGTATGTCTCCATTTTCCAGACTGCCTCTCACAATGTCTTGCACTGCAGGCTCTTTAAACGTTTTTGAATTTGTTTTCTGAAACGCAAACCAAATCCTGTGTACTACCCAGTTGAGAAGTGGTTACTGACCTCTGCGAGCAGACATGGACAAGCCTGGCTGCACATCCGAGCCACCTGGACAGCTTTTGGAAGCTGAAGATACTGACTCCGAGGTCTGAGGCAGGGCCCAGTCCTCAGGCTCCCTAAGTGATTCTGATCCATCCTATCCTTGGGAAGCACAGGCCTCTGCTGGGGGCCAGGCCCCTGATCTGGTACACAGGGGCCGTCGTCTGGGCCTCACCTTGTCTTTCCAGCATCTCTGGCCAGGCCACGTATGAGTTCACATCCTCTTTCATCGTGCCCAGGTCTTTGGTAGTAACCTGGCTCAGCACATTCTGTCCTCTCTGGTGAACAAACTCACTCAGCCTTCAAGTCCTCAGCTACCCACTGGCCCCCAGAGCCAGTAACCTCCTGACTCCTCCTTGGGGCCGCCAGGGACTTTACACCCTTAGCCATGCAGCCTCCTTCATAGCAATGTGTCCGGATCGTGCCTTATGGGGCTCGTCAGGGAGATGACAAGCTCCTCAAGGTCAAGAACTTCACCCTCCCACCCCGCCCCCCACCCTCATCTCACCAGACCCGCATGGGGTCCAACGGAGCGGAGTGGCTGACACACAGCCAGATTTCATGTACAAAATTAATGTTTATTTAAAAAGCACTTTTCTTATCCCCTGATAAAAGCACTCAAATATGGTTTCACAATATAGAAATGATTGACTTATGATTTTTAGTTTATTGATGATGCCCTGAGGCATAACAATCCCAGGAGCTGCAGGAACACAGATCTATTTCTGTGATAGGGAATACTTTCCTCCTATTGTTCAGAAAAGTTCCATTGAACTCCGGGGTGGGATGAAACAATGGTGCAAGCTCCGGGAAGCCGCAATCAGGGAGAGGGCTGGTGAAAGAGCCAATGCCCCAGGGCAATTCTAGCACCTTCAGCTTTAAAATGTCCACTGGAACTCTGCCTTGACACAGCCTGATCTAACACAAAGATGTGGTTTTTAGAGTTTGACAGATCAGGGACTGATGGCTGATTCCCTTCCTCACTAGTTTGAGAAAGATAAACCTCTCTGGCCTTCCTCATTCCAACTCACAGAAATACTGTGCGTTAAGGGAAGCAGGTATCCAGAGCAAACTGTATAATGCTGATCTGGAACAATTACCTCGATAAACATTAACTATCTACTGCCAAAAAATACGTAAAAGAAAGAAACTGCACATGTCCCTTTTTACAGTAAATAGCAAATGTTGGGCCAGCACTGATAGCTGAGAAGCAGTGAGGATTCAAGGGGAGATGCGCTTGGCCAGGTGCAGATGAGGAGAGGGAAGCAGGGGAGGAGAGGCAGTAAGGACCACGATGGGGAGGAGGCGGTCTGAAATATTCATAACTCCTGGATGTCTGCATGTGCCAGAAAGCACGCTTGGGGGAAACAGGAGAGAAAAGCTCCGTGGCAAGCCCTCCTCTCTCCTCTGAGTGCTCTTGGCTGGATTCAGGCCGTGCATTTATGTGCTTGTCGTAAATCACTGTTAATGTCTTTGGTAAAGGGCTCCAACAGTAGACTCCCTCTCCTTCACATCCGCTTCCTCTGGCCACAGGGTCATTTTTCTTCATGTACAAAGAAAACACAGGAAACTCTGCACGGCCATGAGGATGATGTCTCTGATGGAGGAAAAGTGCGGCCTGGTTCCTCTCCATTAGCAAGGGGCGGAACCTGCTTTAGGGTGGAGCTGGACAGGGAGGGCCTTCCTCAGGGACTAGAGCAGACAAGACACACTTCTGTGCTGGAAGGAGAAAAACAGCAGCTTCCCTCCTAGTCCCTGTCACTTGGTCCAAGCAGCCTGGGGAAACCAAACTTCTGTCAGTCCATTTCTAATGCAGCCTCCAAATGATCCGCACGGGGCTCTGTGACAAGGTGTAGGAAAACTGACTTTTCACTTTCTTCCTTCTTTATGGAAAGTTACAAAGAGTAATAAATTGCAGGCCAGATATTAGATATTATATCATAATTCAATGATCAGTTTTCAAAAAAAAAAAAAACTGGAATACAGTAAAATACAAAAATAAATAAATAAGACCTTGAAGGCCCTAAAAAACTTGGTAAGACTTCAGATGCCACTCCACAAATCCCCTTGAGGACTTGAGCTAAAGAAAATTCATCTTGCCATGCTGATTCATTAAACTTGCCTAGGAAGTAAAAATGAAGCCTCAGGATAGAAGATGGTGACATTTTACCCAGATGTTGTCAGCTGCATCACGTTCTACTATTAATTTAGTAATTTAAAGTTCATAAAGAGACAACAGGCCTTTCAAAGGAATAATTCCAAAAGAAGCAATCTAATTTTTAAAGGTAGCCTTTATATTCCAGACCGTTACCATATGTAATAGTCCATCTCAAAGAGACACTCATTTTCTTCTAGACAAATCTCTCAGCCTGTGCTTCATTCCACTTTGCCCATTGGTCTGAACCACTTCTCCTTCACCTTGGAGGCCTGAGGTGACCCATCTCAGCCATTGTGTGCCAAGCTGAACTGCTCTGAGATAGCCCCATGGTATGAATGGTTGCCCAGAAACACTCATAAGAAAGAACAGTCTCTGGACAGATGAATGCTAACATGGGAAGCATGGACTTGCTCTGACTGTCCGCCCTGCCCCACCCCCCGCTTTATTTGAATGAGACCTGAATGGCTTAATACTATTATTGGATGGACTGGATACATTCATCCTTGCTGTGCAGAACAGACATAAATATATCCCTTCATGAAACACGACTTGATTTGCTTGGACTGTCCTAGCTACAATGGTTCCAACAGATAAATAGGCCTGCTATTTAATTATAGTTTTATTTATTTATTTATTTTTATTTTTTGAGATGGAGTCTCACTCTGTTGCCGAGGCTGGAGTGCAGTGGTGCCATCTCAGCTCACTGCAACCTGCGCCTCCCAGGTTCAAGCAATTCTTGTGCCTCAGTCTCCCATGTAGCTGGGACTACAGGTGCATGCCACCATGACTGGATAATTTGTATTTTTAGTAGAGACAGGGTTTCACCATGTTGCCCAGGCTGGTCTTGAACTCCTGACCGCAGGTAATCTGACCACCTCGGCCTCCCAAAGTGCTGGGAATATAGGCGTGAGCCACCGAGGCTGGCCTAATTATAGTTCTTAAAAAAGTATGCATCAATAAATTATTCTAAAACTAAAATCATAGCTTCATCATTTTGGCAAGATGCCCACGCCCTAATATGGGCAAGGAAGGAGAATGAGAAGCTAAATAGCAGCAACCTGTGCATCAGGCCTCAAAGCTCCAGAGACGTGTGGGCCTGGGAGATTGTGCCCTCCCGTCAGGGACATGGCTCTTGCAGGCACACACGGTAGGGTGTGTTTGAGAAACACTGAAGCAGAGCATACTTAGGAGAAGGCTGCCGTATGAGACCAGAACTTCCATTCTGCCAGAGAGCAAAGGGCTTGCACGTTTTCCCGCCCTGTAGATGATGTGAGTGTCAATGAAGTCTTAAGACTGGCCCCAAGCCCAACAGCCCCCCAGCCCCCACTTCTGTCTGTCCTCACTATCCTGAACACCAGGAAGGAGTCCTGATCAGGAACCCCGGAGCCAAATCTGGTGTACCCTGATTTTGGATTTCCAGCCCCCAGAACCATGAGGAATAAATGTCTGTCATTTAACCTGCCTCATCTATGATATTATGTCACAGCAGCCCAAACTGACAATGACAGTCCCCGCTTAGACAAAACCTAAGATGCTAAAACCCCTTTAAATCCCAGGCTGGATCCTGAACCTGCATGAAGTGTTTAGACCCCAGGACTATACGAGTCACAAAGGCTTCTGTCCCCATGGCGCTCATGAGTTAATGTTTTCACAAACCCAGGAGAAACACCAAACGGTGTTGCTTCACTGTTACACAGGAGTAGGCACCAAGCTCTTTAGGAAACAGCTGGTCTATTTTTCTCATTCCAAATCTAAACCTCAAAGCTAAATGCCGCAAGGTGAAGCTGAAGGCCGTACTCACGTCCAGAGACTCCAGGCAGTACCAGCAGAAGGCGTGCTTGCAGTTCTTGCACATCATCTGCGCGCAGCCTTCGTCTCGCTCGATGTAGACTTTGCACTTGGGGCAGCGCTTGATGGGCGCGTCATCTTCTTCCATTTTGAAAGCAGCACTGTGGGAGAAACGCCGTGAGGACTCTGCACAAACGGATCCCACGGGAGACCCAGGAGCACTGGCTATGCTGGAAGCATCGGCTCCACTTCACAGACTGAGTTTTCTTGGTATTAAATGAAAAAACAAAACAAAAACCAAAAAACAAAGAAACAGAAACTCCAGAAAAAAAAAATTAACCAGAACACTGTGAATCAGCCACTTTGAGTTAGGAAAAATTTTTAAAAAATTACAGCAACATCAACACATATCTAAATTTAGAGATATATGTATACAAACAAAAGAAAATACAGCGAAAGGCTTATTATAACGGAGGTATCTGAATCATAGTGTTAAGGTCAAATATTGTATCCTTATTCACAGAGCTGTCTACTTTCCAAAGGGTTGATATAAATTTTATGTACTTTGCTGTTATAAGAAAAATAAATAAATGTTGCAAATACACACACACAAACACACACTGTTTACTTGAGATAGATCCACCTGGCTCTTCTTACAGAATTGTTTTCCTCAGAAGTTGGCTAGGTCTGCAGGGTTAGCAAGAAGGGCTTTAAGCTGAGGTCAGAGCTGGGTCTGCTACAAACCAGCTGTGGAGCAACCCTCCAAGCCCTAGTTTTCTCATCAGTGTGACCATGAGAAAAGATTCCGTGTGCCAAGAGCACAGCGCAGGGTGCAGCTTTTATGAAGTGCTTGATAAAGGGTAGCAGTAGTTCAATGTTGCTAAAGAAAGATAACACAGACATTAGGTATGACTCACCCCATGCTGTTAATTTTTAAAAGATGGGTAAGAATATTCAGAAAAGCATCTGAAGGAATAAATGATAAACTGTTAAGAGGAGTTATCACTGATTATGGGGGTCCATTTGCTATATTGTTGGAACTCACTATATCAAACAAACATCAGCAGGAGAAAATGCATCCCTCCTTCTCGGGGCAGCTTTTTCAGAATTTAACACATGTATGGGTATATATTCACGGCAGTTGAGCAAATTCTGGCTTTTTGAGTGCATTCTGGCTGAAGGATCTCTCACAAGCTTCCAGTCAATATGAGCATTAAATGTAGTTTCACTTTAGTAGGAGCTGTCTGATGATTGGCAGTGAACAATCCTCCACTTGGGGTGCACATTCCAACTGAACGTGACTGTTTGGTCCATTAGTAGAAGGCAACAGAGTAAGAAATAATGAGAGAAGCAGTATGTCCTCCTAATTAGGAGCACAGAGTCTTGAGACAGACAGATCCTAGCTGTGCGATTTATGTGTTACGTGTCTCATCTGCAAACCAGATGAATAAGGCTAATAGCATCGATCTCTACAGACGGTTGTGAGGATTACAGAGGTTGCACATGTTAACATGTTAAGCACAAAATCCAGCACATAAGTACCAGGCACTCAATAAACAGTAGTTATTATTAACAACTGTTACTGAAAGATAACACAACTGTCACTAGCTCAAATGCTTCCAATTTAAAAGCAAACTGCAGACCAACCTGGTCATGCAGAATGTGATAAAGAATGAACTAAGGTTGTTGCAAGGAGCAAACGAGATAGCATATGTGCAAATGTCTCCAGAGGGATCCAGCACAGAGCCAGCTCCGAGTAAACCTTAGGCCTGGCCTCCTTCTGAGAATGACTTTGATTTTGCAAAAAGCTGGAAGTCATGAGACACCGGATCTGGTGATCAAGGTTGGGTTTTAGGTTAGATAACATTGTTTTGGTTTGAAAGCCAGGTGTGACCTTAAAGCTAAGAAACCAATTTTCTCATGTGACTCACAAGCTGATTTTGGAAGAAACGGCAGGAACAGCGTGTACAGTGTCTCCTGGGGAGACATTTCAAAATGAAAACCGTTAAAATATGAAAGTTCTGGTGTACTGTGCTATGCATAAAATTTTGCATGGAATAGACAATGGTTTTCAAATATTTCTTAGTATCTGAATTGGATTTAAAATTATTACTAACAACATTTACTGTAAACTCAAATTATAAAAGCAGAGAGGAGTTTGGACAGTTTAATCACAATCTACACGTGGCCCAGCAGCTTGAAGAGGTGCGCAGGTGATGCTAATGAGTGAAGTGGTCAGGGGCTGGATAAAAACATGGTTGAGGAGAAGATTTAACCAAAAACAACAACAACAACAAACCCTCCAATACAAAAAATAGCTTAGTGTCTTCTCAGTTATAAATGGCAGCTGACAGGCAGCCTCAGTTCCAGGGGACAAGGAGTAGTGAGGACTGTGGGGCTTTGGCCCAGGAGGCGCCTCCAGCAAGAGCTGGGGCTCTGCTACGCTGGCTGCCAGCATGGGGAGGCAGCCTCGGAGAGGCTTAGGATTCGGATTTCCCAGAGAAGCCAGAAATTCCAGTTTTTATGTGACATCTTCTGATTTAAAAATTTCCACAAAATGAGATTTCTGAATTTTGATTTAGATCATCTTTGGACAATAATTTAAATGAGACTAGAATGTCACAGATAAAGAAAACTAAGTCATCAGGCTCCAAACACTCACCAGCCTCCATCTAAAGTTTTGAAGCCCCTAAGATGCCAAGTACACGTGAAGTATAAGTACAAGTGGTTCGTGCTTGCAGCTGCCTGCCTGATGCAGGCTGCTCAGAAAGGCCCAGGCCCTGTGTGTCAGGAGCTCATCCTGATGGCAGAATCGGCCTTGTCAACGCAAGAACTCAAATCCAATATGTCCAGGGTTGTAATCAATGCAGAGAATCTCAGGGGGAACACAGAGGGTGGAGGCCCCAACCCTGTCCTCGGAACCATGAAGCTTGACAAAGGGATGTGATCCCCACCTGAAGTGTGGCAGGAGCCCCCAGGGAAAGGAGGAGGGCAGAGCAGGGCACTCCAGACACGGGAAGAGAGGTTCGCCCGGAAGGAGACCAGGGGTGTGTGGCAGGGACCCTGAGAGGGTCGGGGGCTAGAACAGGGCACAGGGGTCACACGGAAAGGAACAGGAGCTGGGGACGGTGGAATGGGAAAAGGGGCGCACAGGGAGCAGCTGGTGAGCACACCCTGGGGAGGGTGGTGGGTAGAGTGGCAGCTCCTCTATGAGGATCCTGGACTCAACAGGAGCAGGGGCAAGTGTCCAGCAGAACCACGTGACCTTGTAGATTTTGTAGGAGAAAAAGACCTGGATATGATGAATTTCCTATGCATCAACCTACGAAATGTCAAAGTACAGAGCGTGGTGCGGCAGCATTCTCCTGGGCAAACAGCCCGACTATGGCTGCAGGGGAGGCCGCCACCAGGGAGTGTCTCCCCATCCCCCTCCAGACAGTATTTATGACCAGTGCACCCTACTCCTGTTCTTGTTTCTGTACCCCCATTTCAGATCACCTTCAACACAGTGAAGTCTTGCAGAAACTTCAGGTACTGCAGGACTTGCAACCTTTAAAAGTAACAAACCACGCATGCATTTGTCATTCCAGCCAAGCCGTGTTAAGTGTGGTTCTCACACACCTTTCTATTTCCAGGGCCTCACACAGTGCCTGGTACATAGTCAGTTCTCAAAAATAAATAGACATACAAATAATGACAGGCTTGAGTGAGGCTCAAGAGGTACAGTGTGTGTTAGGGTTGACTGAGCCACAGCCACTTACACTGTAACAGCACTTTTAGGAAGAAAGCATGCCTGCTTCTCCTGGCCCACAGCCATGCCTTTGGTGGCAGCTTGTGTACAAAGGGTACCTGGTCTCCCCGGGGAGGAAGGTGATCGGCATGGTCTCCGGGCAGCCCTGGCCAGGGTGCCAGCTGGCTTTGCAGGTGGAGCAGAATTCCATACGGCAGGCTTTGCACTGCACTGGCTGGGGGGTCTGCAGCCCCACGTCCTGGAGCTGACACACAGCTTGGCAGGTGGACGCCGGGCACCAAGTCCGACAGGGATCAAACAGCACCTCTGGTACAGTGAGACAAAATGGACAAATCAAACTTAAGCCAGAGGGTCATGTGGGCTTCAGAGGAAGGAGCCCCTCAGTGCACGGACAGGGAGGAACATGTCCAGGTAATACAGCCAGCACCACCAGCCCCAACCGAAGCACCGCCCAAGCCACCCTTCCACCTCCACCTCCGCTGTAGCTCTTCCCAACTTCTCCCTTCATGCAACAGACCTCCAGACACCCAGACATCCCTCAGGAATGCTGCTCCTGCCCCTGGAATGCCCTTGGAGCCCTGGGTCAGCCCTGCTTGCCTCTGACACTCAGCTCACAGCTCAAAGGCCTCCACATCCTGGAAAGCTTGGCCCACCTGCCTGTCGGGTTTCTCTGAGCAATGCACATGGCGCTAGCTCATCTGCCTCCCCTAGGGGACAGTTTTCTGAAGCTGGACCCCTGATGGCCCCATGTTGGGCATACAGCCAGCACCAGGAAAATGCTGCTAGAAGACCGAGAGGAAGAGGGAAGGAAGATGGCTGGATTGTTCTTCTAACCAAATGGTTCACCTGCCTAAGATGGCCTCCCCTTCTCAAATCCAAGCCACGAGTTAACTACGGAGTGAAACCAATCCTTCAAGGGCCAGATTTTCTCTCCAAATCACAGCACACATTTCTAAGAAGCCCAATTTAATGGAATTAGCCACAAAGTTTATTTCTAAAAACAAGACACTTTGACACATCTATTTCTTCACATCCTTGTCCAAAAATTGCATTTCTTTAAATTATTGGCTGCCCTTTGTAGGAAGACTGGTTGTTCATTTCATCTTCCCTCTTGTCCAGCATGATGCCGAATTCTCGATCAGTGGCCACCCCAGGGAGCAGCAAGGCTCTGCCAGAAAGCTCTCCCAGGCCAGTGCAATGTGGGCTATTTCCAAAGGCGTTCTGGTAGGCCACTGGTTTCTAAGTTTTCAGCGGGGCTCTTCTTGGGAAGTAGTCAGGACAACTGAGTTTCAGAGACGACTTGAAAGGCGATGACAAGTCCTTGCAAATGTCTGGGCCCTGTGACTGGCCGCCGGGCAGCTCCCGCTCGCCTGTGTCACACATGGGATTCCTACTCACTGGAATCCACAACATGCTGGCGCCGCACGTGGACCGGGACTTCACCTACACGCATTGCCACGGGACCAGCAGGAAGTTAATGACAAATCACCCACTGGGTGTCCTGACGGTGCACACGCATACGTATGTGTAAGGCTCTGTGTGTTTACCATGTTCCCCAAATACATGGGGAAGCCAGATTCAGCTCTCCAGAAACCATCTTGTGTAGGGTCTAGCTTTGAAATGATCTAGTCATCTAATCCAGGGGCTGGCAAACTTCCTCTGCAGAGGGTCGGATAGTCATCATCTAAGTCTGAGGACCATGTTGTTTCTGGGTTTCTGTCGCAGCTACTGGGCTTTGCTGTTGCATAAAAGCAGACACAGTGATCTGGAAATGAATGTTCTAGCAAAACTTGACAGCAGCAGGCCACCGGCGGGACTGGATTTGGCCCACTAGCCATGGCTGGCTGACCCTTGATCTCATCTGGCTGCCCTCTGCCTTTTTTTTTTTAAGCATGAATTAATCAACAGCACAAAACTGTCAGAATGTTAGGGGTGGCAGAAGATTAAGAAGAACTTGATAATAACAAGGAACGCTGGAGGTCAGGAACAGGTGCTCTACTCTAATTATCTTCATTATAATAATCTAAAATCCCCAGGATGCTCCTCATACTGAATGAATGGACAAAATTAGCTCTTCTCTTATTTGTTGATAGTTTCCACATTTGCTTTTCTAAGAATGTTCCTAGCTGTCAGGTCTGACAAAATGGCTTTTTGAGAAAACGCAGTTGTTGTCTGTGGGTCACATGTGTGGGGGCAGATGCCTGGGGCTCCCCTGAGCTGACAGTCACAGCAAAGCAAGGAGGGGGTGCACATGCCAGCCTGGGGCACTGAGCGCCACGCTGAGCAGTGAGGAGGAAACGCCAAAGGCTAAAGGCAGCTGGCCTGGGTCATGCTCCCATCCCGTCCCCGCGATGCCTCCGACAACTCTCTGCCTGCCCTCTGTGAGTGCTGTGGGGTGAGCCCAGCTTTGTCCCTGATGAGATAGGAGGCCCATGTCTGCCCAGCCCTGCGGGAGGGTGCAAGTGCTGTGTGCACTAAACAACACGCTGCGCGGGAAGAGAAATCCTCACCCGCTCTTTGCTCTCCTCCCGATATAGCTCTGAGGCTAGATCCAGAAGGGCAGCGCTGCCTGCTAGGGACCCTTCCGTCTCACTGCTGTCCCCACCTCTCCTGTGCAGTAGGAGCTTCTGACATCAGCAAGGAGCAGACATCCCAAAGCTGGGTCTCGGTCTCTTCATGCACGTGATTTGTCATGCACCACCTCCTGTCCACCCTCCTGGCTCAACAGTGGGGGATGCTATTAAGCATCCCCATCACAAAAGGCCCCCCAGGATAGCACACAGGGGAGACCTGGCTAAGGTTTCCATGGGAACGATTTAAATCTTATTAGTTTTGTCCTCATATAGCTGTGACACGGCACTGCCTGTCCTCACATGGAGAGATTCCCTATCGAAAAGGTCAGGGACAAACGGCCGCTCTGACTGCAGACTGCAAATGTCCTTCCTGTGCTGCCGGGGCATGTCACACCCTGTGAACATGGCCCCAGGCTGAGGCGTAGATGTCTATTAACATTCTGCATTATCCTCCCCAATCTACACACGTGTGTGTATGAGACATATTTTCAAACAAAGCAAATGATATGCTTTTTGGCACACTAGAGGAAACTAATGTTAACTCTTCTCTCCCAGAGGCGTATTCATGGCAGATTAATGAAGCAGGTCTCTTAAGAACTCCCTGCTTAAAAATGCATAAAACTTTTTAAAAAGGTGGCTTTCCTTTTAAAACAGTTTCCTTTCAGAAGTACATGACAGAGAACGATGCACCCAGCATCCCCTCTCATCCCTGCACTTACTACCCTGCCCGGCGGGCTGGTGCCTGGTGCAGGGCTGGGATGGTGGGTTTGATCCTGCTGTGAGATGGCAACATTTTCAGGAGTCGGCTCTAGTCAGGCCTGATTACAGGTGGATAACCCATCGTATTATTTAATCTCTCTGAGCTTTACTTTAAAAAAAAAAAACAAAGAACAAAAAAAAAAACAATACACGGTTGACATCTGACATCAGCAT
Source organism: Homo sapiens (assembly GCF_000001405.40). Lineage (NCBI taxonomy): Eukaryota > Metazoa > Chordata > Mammalia > Primates > Hominidae > Homo > Homo sapiens. Next base: position 7,017,272 of record NC_000002.12, on the reverse strand, counting down.
TCACTTGGCCAGGCACTGGGCTGGCATGGGACGAAGGCATGAGGACCCACAGTCCTGTCTCTGGGAGGGCTGAGCCTCCAGATAGAGGCAGGTGCACAGCAACGCCCTTAGCACAGCACCGCTGGGTCTCAGAGGGCCACGGGCGTCGAGTGTAGCATGAGAGAGGGGTCCACGCAGCAAGAGGCATCCACACCCCCTCGCTCAAGAATCTGTCCCTACCCAGACTCTGGAGTGAGCCAGTTGTGAGGAGGTGTTCAGAATGAAAACTCAGCTTCCTGGCCCCCTTCCCTGGCTTCCTGCTTGCCCCAGAGCTCCAGAAGGGGAAGACATTGACGCTAAAACCAAGGCTGTTATATCAGAGGAGACATTCTAAGACTAAGTGCAGACAGTGTGCGCAACATGACCTAACCATAGAACTTTCTGGTAACTCAATGTTTTCAGAAAATCATTGAACTGTCTCAGTTTTCTTCCAGGGCGTCCTCTACTTGACTAGATTTTAGAGCCATAGAGACAGTCAAAATTTGCTTTCTGATCTTGTCTCCAAACTCTTTCAAGGTGCTGGCTATAATCCATAACTATATTTTAGCTCTGACATTCTAACGTTTTATCTAGACAGGTCTTTTATAGTATGAAGTCTGAATACTTAAAAAAAAAAAAACTTTGAACATAATGTTAGTAAAATGCTTTAAAGGGAGAGGCTTGAGAGATTTTTTTTTTTTAACAGAAGCCAAGTTGGCTTCATGTTTATGCAAAAGGAAAAAAGATTTTCTGACTAAGCCAAAGTACTAAAGAAATAACAGTTAAAATTATTAGGTTGAAAAATGTACCCAGCTGCATTTTTAAATTAAATTCAATGTCATAGAAAGTTCATATTCTTGTAACGCAAACAACAGCCAGTTTCTGTCAAGATTCTCTCTGGAAAATATTCTCAGAAGAGCCTGAAAGTCTCAGAAGTCTAAATTAATCAATTTTATTGCCCTACGTACTGACTTTTGTACCAAATGGCATTATATTAAAGCTATAAACTGCCCCAAAGCAAATGATATACGACACTTTAATAAACACACTCTTGAAAACAAATGTCAATGCCATGAAAAATGCTGTTTGAGTTTTTTTTTAAGTGGGCTACATATTTTTTTCTTTTTCTTTCTTTTTTTTTTTTTTTTTTAGAGACGGGGTCTCAATATGTTGCCCAGGCTGGACTTGAACTCCTGAGTAGTTGAGACTATAGGTACATGCCACTGGGCCCAGCTATCTCTAGCATTTCTTTTAGAAAGCAAAAATATACAAACAACAGGTCTCTGCATGCAGCTAAACTGGGAGTCTCTGGATATTGTCCTCTGGTCTCCTCTGCCGTCCACTCCCCATCCGGCCATGTTTTCATGTAAGCCCACCCTCCAGGGCTGTGTCTCAGTGGTGAGACCCTGCTCAGGTCAAGAACCCGAGAATCAGTGCAGGGAGAGGGAGAGCAGATGCCAGCAATCCAAACTCAGAATCCGCCTGCAAGGTCCACACAATGATGTTCTGCATATGGAGTGTCGCCTGCACACATCTGTCACTCTGCTCTTTACCAGACAAGCCTGGGGCCCAGAATAGATATGAAAACAAAGCCAAAGAGAGTCCACAGACTCTTTACAGTTTCATTGTATGACCCCGGAGTATTTCAGAGAGCAGAGCTAAAGACCTCTCCTGGACATTCCACATGGCTTAATGCTTTGCAATATTATCCTGAGAATCATGTTCTGCTCTGTGTGCACCTGCCACACTGCTCTCCCAGAGGACCCCTGGGTCTGCATCAGGCCTGCTCCAGCCAGAAGGACTATTCAGGGCCCAGTGGAGGGCTCACGATGAAGGGTCATGGGATGTGGTCCCAAAGCACCCACTATATTTAGAAATCAGGGCAAGTCAGTTAGCCTCTCTGGGGATCCGTTTATTAGATAATGACAAATTAGCTTTGCAGAGTTGTTGTGACACTTACTGGGATAAGGGACTTGATTATTCATTCACCACCTACTATCTAGGTCTGTGTCCAGTGGTGAGTAAGCGCAGACAGGACACCTACCATCGGACTGTTGTTAGGACGGGGGTTACTGTAATTTCTGCTATGCCTACCCTCACGACTTCCCTCCATGACTCTGCATCTTTTAACTTCTGGGCCAGTCCAAGAGTTTAGCCCTCAAACTCAGCCTTAAGCTGGCTGAAATATAATACCTCAAGAGAGCCATCAACTTTAAGCCTCCCCCAGGAGCCTCAATCCTTATAAACAAATTGTGTTCCATAAATTCTTCCTGCTACCAAATAGATCACTAGACAAGGTCTTCAAACTGTGAGCTGTTCAGAGAATCCAGAATGTCAGTTTAATTTCAGAAGTTTATTTTACATCAACTTTTTAACTCCTATCAAATGCTGTATAACCATATCTACCAAAAGAACTCCCCACAAAATTATCCACATTCACACATTACAGGAATCATAACCGGCAGATATACCAGGCACCTACCTCTTTCAAATTGTAGCTTTTTATATCTTTGCATAATTTCAGCTGCAACCATGCACTCAATCTAAGGGAAAAAAAAATGCAAACAGGAATGATAACAAGCTGAGGGCTAGAATATAATGCAACGCACACCCAAACAAAACCCACGTTATTCTGACAAGTTCAGCAGTGCACGCCTGTGCACATCAAACAGCCCAGTCTGTTCAATTGCACATGCCTCGTTCTCCTGTAGGTGGCCCTGTTTAGGGCAGGCAGCATCTGGGCAGCTAATTGCGGTTTCTAATCCTTCTTTGATCAAGAGCTCAACATACTGTTTCAGGCACTGAAAGAAAAACAGAGAAGTGTCTATAAACATCTTTACCTCCTTAATGCTGAAGAAACCATGATGCATTAAAAAAAGGACCAGGCACATCATTCCATTACAGTTTAATATTTTCACTGTGTAGTCCACAGCAACCAACACATTTGAGGTTTTGAGGTTTTATTCATTCAACAACTATTTATGGGGTACCCATTCTGTGCCAGGGACTGTATGCTCAATCACAAAGCTAAGGCTATGGGTTAGATCCCGGCACAAAACCTCAGCAAACACAAGAGCCAAGAATTCTAAAAGCAAGATGAAAGGCAGCAAGGGAGGCTGGGAGGTAATATTTCTCAAATGCCTATAAGATGCAGGCACTGCATTAAATATTTTATCTCTCAGTCTTTCACTGAAGCCTTAGAGCATTTTTACAAGAAAGGTATGACTGTTCCATTTTTCATATGTGAAAACTGAGTCAGCAAAGGAGGAAGTTGCCAACTTACACAAATAGTACCCAGAGCCTCGATGTGAACCCAAGCTTGCTCAGACAAAATGCCCATGATCTCCCTGCTGAGAACCCAACTGTATTTGGCATTCCTCACTCAGGGTGCCTCACTTACCAGGCAATTACTCACTACCTACCTTACCTACTTGGGGGCACTGCTTAAAGCCTGAAGTAAGCAAAACAAGAAGAAGTGAAGGACATGAAGTAGAGTTAATATAAAAGATTCTGTGGTCTTCACTCCTGCTTTACAAAGTCTACTAGTCTTAGAAATCTAGTGTTTCCCTGAAAAGCATATTATAAACAGCAATGAGAAGAAACAATACGGCCTTTGCCAGCTAGGCTCACTACCAAGAGAAACTAGATGTAGAGCTTATATAAGAACTCAAAGAGCATAGAAAATGATGTAAAATCCTACAACGGCATCCCCAAATCAACTTTAATCACAGTCCCAGTATATTTAAAGTTCATATTAGCAACAATATATAATATTACAATACCATTATTAAAATATAATAGCAATTAATCAAGAAAAATTAATAAGCTATGTTTGCTGAGCTGACATCTCCCCGCAAAAACGTATAATCCATTTTATTACAAGAATGCATGATTATTACTAATGAATGGGTCTAAATGGAAATTCAACTGCAATTCCTTCTACCTCCATGTTTAGAACAAGCCTATTAATCTCTCTCTACCATCCTTATTTTCCTGATCTGCAATTTAGGGTGGTTTAACCTACCTCACAGTGGAGTTGTAAGAATATTAGGCAAGTGAAAAAGTATAGAAGAATACACAGAGAAGAGTATATGCTTGATATATAAAGAATAATTTGATCTAAACTGGTAATTCTCCCCATCCTAGCAAAATAGAATATTTCATTCATTGAAGACTCCAGATTGCAATTTCTTTAAAAAACAAAAATCAAGGCAATCCTCAGAAAGAGCCACTTCCCAAAGCTTTTCTCAAGAGCTGTAACTTCAAGTACAAATTACAATGTTGGTGGCTCCACACTGAACCCTGTGTTCCAGCCTGTGTTCTTTTGATCTGCCTGGGCTCTGATGATTGCAGTGGCCCTAAACTTAGGTTTTCACAGATCATCTACATTTTACCAACCTATGGTTTATGAAGACATTTCCCAGAGTAGTGAGTATGGACGACCCCAGGCTTGGAGTTCTACGTGAGACTCCAGATGGCAGAATTTTCAGAGATAAATTCATTAAAACCAATGCAAAGACTTCTTTCAGAACAAGGGAGAGGCAGATGATGAGCAAGAGAGGAGTCACACCCAGCCTCCAGCAGGGCTGCAGCCTGGTTCTGGGAACCATCCGCAGACGTGTTAAGTGGCAGTGGCGCTGCGGACTACTAGAGTGGTGAACCATTGTAACAATGAGCAGAACAGTTGGCAGATCAGTGGAACTTTCTGTTTATGATTGGGTGCCACATGACAAGGGAGAAAGATTGTAGGCTTCAGAGCCAGACAGGCTCAACCAATCCTTGTCCCTCAAGTCAGAGTTTGAGCAACAGCTCCCTTGACAATAAAACCAGAATGCCCATCTCCCTGCACTTGACAATAAAACCAGAAGGCCCATCTCCCTGCACTTGACAATAAAACCAGAAGGCCCATCTTCCTGCGCTGTTGTGACAGTAATCTATGAAAGCACCTGGCATAATTCCTGGTAGACAGCACCAGCTAAGTAAATAGTGGCTGTTGTCTCTTTTTTGTCTACTTACGTGATTTGTCTCTTACAGTTATAGGTATTTAAAAATCCCAAAACCTTAGCAACAAGATCATTATTTTACTTTCTATTATGAAGTTTGTCTAAATGGGGTCTCTGGAGGATACTGGAGTGCGTTAAACCAATATACGATGCTGAAGACTCTCAGGATATTGTGCGGATCAGTATATAATGATAAAACATGACGCATCCTAAGAAGCAAAATACAACAATTAAAAGTGGCATGAAGCGTACACCCATATGCAACAAGTAGTGAGTCATGTCTGGGTTTCAAAGCTACCCAAGAGTGAACATCATGTGTCATCAGGATGCAGCTATCTGTACAATCTGCAAAAGGATTATGTTCTGGGAATATCAATTTGTTCACTACATAAAGAGAGATGACGTTCCAAGCGCCTGACCTTGCATCCATCAAAAACAAGCCCAGCTTTCTTCCAGATATAAAGTGGGTCATGACTCACAAGCTATGGTTTTCATTCTAATTGCAAAAAGATGTCTTGAAATGAGCACAAAAATAGGTAAACAGAGAAACTTCTGTAAAATACACAGCCTAAAAGCAGATACTGACACATTTTCCTACTACTGCACTCATTATAGATAGCAGTAGACAAATGCTTTCTAAGTCCTAGATTCTACGTGAATTGCATTACCTATGTTAGCTCAGTAAACATGCACAAAAGTCATATGGCGTGTTACCATGCTCACATGACAGATGAGAAAACCAAGGCTCAGAGACATCAACAACAGCTCAATAGAAGCACTAGGGCTCAAACCCACATGTGGCTGATTCCAAGGCTGGTGAGGTTTTATGTTTGTCTGTTGTACATTTTTTGTATACTTACTCCTCAATTGAAAACTTTTACATGAGCCAGTTTAGAGATATAACATACAACATGAGGACTAACTTTAATACAATTGTATCATATCAGGGATTGTTAGTAAGTGAGTAGACTTTAGGTGCCCATCACCGTAAAAAGCAACTATGTGAGATGATGAATACGCTGAGCTGCTTCACTATATGACCATTTTATTATCTATATGTATCCCATAATACTATGTTATAAACCTCAAATATATACAATAAAATTTATTGTTTTTAAAAGAACACTTTCAAAATCAATCATTCAATACATATTTTCTGTTTACCTCATAAACTTTTTCTGTAGAACAAGGAATTGTATGTACTTTAAAGGGGCATAGTGTCAGTCAACCCCGAGAACCTCTCCTTTGTATGTTCATGTTCATGCTGCTGCAAATGCAATGATCCATTTGCAATGCTGCAAATGCTATTGAGACCCGCACAGCCCAGTGTAGGGGAAAGAGGCATGCACAGATCATCATCACAATGCACTGTGCTCCGTGCTCTCATGGGGCCACTTCAAGGGGGCAGGGAGGCTCTAATGGGCCACTACAGGGGTAGAGAGGAGGGGTCCCACCTGGGTGGGATCAGGGAAGGCTTCCCAGAGATGAAAAGTTGGCCAGAGGGTCAAAGGCATTGCAGGAAAAAAGGCATCAGCCACACAGAGGGAAGAAAGGGGGGTAAGCCACAGAATGTTCCAGGAATTTCATTTTCCACTTTGGTTTCCAACTCTTTGAAACCTGATGACGAGACAGCACTGCTGATTTGCTAATATACCTCCGGTGCGTCAGAAGTTTCCTGCCAAGGAGAAGTGGCCACAGAGAAATATCTGCCTCGCCTAAAACTACAGCGAGTCTGATTTTTGTCTGCTTTTTCACACGAAGGCCTGCTGGCTACTGATGATCCTAAAAGCAGGAGAAAATGCCCAGAAACTGTGCTCAAAGGTGCTTATCTGGGATCCACGATTTATTAACACAAACATTACACGCAGGCAGGTCCAAATTGAAGCAGCAAAAGCCCCATGAACAGTGGTTGGGAGCAAAGACCCTGGAATCACACACAAGGCTGCCTTGAAATTGTAGCTCACCCACTTAGCAGACATGTGGCTCTAGCATGGACCTTTCTCTCCCAGTGCCTCCACTTCCTAATACTGTGGGATAAGCTTGGCAGATAGAGGGACAATCACTCCACAGCTCCAGTACCCCGGAGACAGCGGTGCTCCGGAATATTGCTTACACGCTCCGCAAGGGTTTCTCTCAGCCTTTCTAGAGCCATCAATAATCCATGGTCTGTTTATGTTTCTCCTCTAGTAGATGGTGAATTCTTTGAAAACAAGAACTATTAATTATTTATCTTTCTATTCCCCATACCTAACAGAGTGCTGGCAAATAGCAAGGGATGAATCAAAGCCTTGCAGATAGAGGGTGAATGGAAGGACACAAAGATGAGTAGAACACACACAGAGTAGCCAGACACCTGGCAACAGGCATTCCTCTGAGCCCCAGCAGGAGGGCTGGAGCCCTGAGACAGAGGTGTGCTAGCTACACACCACCACCGCAGGGCCATACAAGCCGGGTCCTCAGCACAGGCTGGAGGGCTGTGGTTAAGGAGGCTGGAGGCACGACCTCCTGCACAGCCTTCCCTTCTGAGGACAGCCTCATGGGAATCCCCCTGGCAACTCTCACTGGATGGCCCTGGGAACCTGCAGCAAACTGCCCAGCAAGCTGCACAGTACATGTTCTGGCAAGGATCACTTTCCTCAAGGATGTAGGACTGTGACTTCACTCACAAGCTGAAGAGTTCAAATTATAAAGTTTGTTTTTATAAGGTTCTTGAAAAAAAAAAAGCCCCAGACTTTATGCGTAAAATAAACGCTCCCATCTATATGAGTTCTTGCTTCTGTCGAGCCTTTAGACCCGCCGCCTCCTGTGCTCTCACCACAGCCTTGGGTGGTGTGCAGGAGGCAGGCAGGCTCACAGTCAGCTGCTTCAGGTCATGATCGGCGTGCTGCTCCCCTGCATTACCTTTTTCCTAAGCTATCTAAGACTAAGTCCCTTCAGCTACAGAACAAGATGATCCTGCTTTGCAGGTGGCATCCTTGCTGGAAGGGTGGATTTTGCCCTATATAAAGTAAGGCCCCGGCAAATACTAGTTCTTCTTACCCCTTCAGTATCCTCCACCTACTTAACCTCATTCTACCTATGCACAATTTCCATCATCAGAGTCTTCCAGCCCGCATGCTGTGTATGGGTCTCCTGTCACCCATGTGGAGGGTGAGTGCACACCTCATCTCCTGCAGTGTAGATAAGGCCAGGGGTAATGCCTCTGTGGCCCTATGCGGCCCTCACACGGTGGCTGGTGACTGTAGATGCTCAGTGAAGATGTGGACGGAATGATTTTGTGTTAAACACTCTCTTTCAAGAACTCCAGGTGGGAAGTTAGCAGTAGCAAGCCTGTCACTTATCTGGGATTCTCAAGTCCATTCAGCAGCTAGCACTGAGCACCTGCTTTTGTGGGGTGGCATGCAGGGACCTGGGGTGGAGGCCAGGAGGATGCCCAGAGCCCCGGCTCCCTGGCCATTCAGAGGTCTCAGGAGCAAGGCACGACAGCAGGACTGGATGCGGAGGCTGTTTATTCCATCTCCTTATACGAGGAAGAGACCGCCCCTTCCAGTGTTGAGTTTGTCCAAGACAAACAGCAGTCAGGAGAAAGGGAAGCAGGCTCCACCAGAAGGGGTGTGCTCAGGAACAGCATCTGGCCCGGGGGGACAGGGAAGCATGGGGTGCAGTAGGCCAGGAGGCAGCAGCAGTGCTGAGTGGAGCGGCAGGGCTCACTCCTGCAGGCAGTGGAGAGTGCACCGTGTCGGGAGGGGGCCTGTGTCATCCACGGCTGCTTTATAAGAACCCACTCGGGGCAGGAAGGCCAGTGTGACCGGTCAGGCCTGCGGTTCTTAATCAGGGCACTGTGTCAGCAGAGCTTCAGGGAAGTGTTTGTGAGGGGACAGCTGGAGGGTAAGGGACTGGGCACAACCTGCAGCCGGGCCTGCAGCTACACTGCGGTCTACAAAAGCCACCAGAAGCTGGACGTTCCCGAGGAGGCCTGCACATGTGACCACGCACCCGCTGCCAAAAAGGAGGAAGGCCGCTCTTTGTTCTCACAGTTGCCTGTCCTGAGGTCTGGGCGGCAGCCAAAGAGGCAGTGATAGGCTCTGAAGACTGAGCCCGGGAAGCCAGAGACAGGGTGAGATGGGGGTGACAGCCAGGAAGATCTGGCTCTCTAGGGACGCCACTGGGCTTTTCCTCCCCCTCGCCAACCACAAGGGGAAGACACTGACGTGGAGACTGTGCTTTCCACTATACCACAGGGACTAGTGAACTGTCCAGCTGCCTTCCCCTCACCTCTGGAGGCAGTGCTGGGCTGGTGGAGAGGGAAGACTTCTGAGAGAATGCATGTTCCTTCCTTAGCAAGGAGCTCGCTCCTGCAGCCTCAGCTTCCAAACAAGCTGCAAGAGAAGCGGTGGTGTGGGCAGCGCGGCCCGTTTGTTCTATCTGTTCAATATGAAAACCCGGATTCACAGAGGAGCAAAAATGCATATTTCACCCAGCCACGGCTTCATCACGAAGACCTCCCAGGGGAACGGAACAGAGGCAGTGTGGTAGCAGGGTGTGCACACAGACAGCACCAACATCAGAGGCAGGAACAGGCAGGGACTCGGCCTGTCACTTCAACAAATATATATGCACTCCACACCAAGGCTGTGACATTGGGTGAAAGGCATATTGTGGCTTGGCAAGTGTACTATGTTGAGGGTGGTTAAAAGCTGAGGCAGGATGATCCCTGGGTCAGACTCTTAATGGAGGTGAAATGAGTGTGTCTGTGAAATCGAGTGTGTGCGAATTTAAGACCTGGACAGAAGGGGACACATGCACAGACGCGCTTGAGAGGCTGAGTGTGAGACAATGTGAGTAGGCGTGCAAATACTCAGAATGTCTAACAGCAGAGGGTTAAGTTGTAATCGTGTGACACTTTCTTAATTCAGCCTCTGTTGGGAAGATCTGAATTTTCCAGACAACTGAAGATCATTCTATCCCATCATGAAACCAAAAGTTTTATTTGTTTGCTCTTTACCCATTGTATAAGAAAGGGCTGGGGAGACTGATAGGGATCCTGCTGACATTGGGGCAGGGTTGAGGACGCTACCTGCTGTCGGTCCTAGACAGGCCTCCTGGAAGAAAGCACTGAGGAGGGTTTTGGGGTGAAGAGTCAAGTCCACAAAATGGGGAGAGGAAGTAGATCCCAAGGATCCTTGCCAGGTGGGAAGGGGCAGGGTTCTGAGGGGGTGGGAAGGCACTCTCTGACCTTAACTAGGGCAGGGTGTGCAAAGGCTTCCAGAGTGGCCCTTCATCCCTTGGCTCACTTTCTGAGCAAAGCCACTATCAGGAATCGGCATTTTCTCATGGACCCTTAATAGACATCAAATTTCTAGTGCAGAGACAGCCTACTTCAAGGTATAGGCCCATGCTTGTCACCAGGACCTGTGTTTTGGGAAGGGACACCTACCTCCTCAATGTCAGAGGGTGGAAGAAGGTAAGGAGCCCCACTTAAATAGACTGAGTGTCTATTTCAGAGAATACTGTTGGAATGGCAGGCCATGGACAGGGAAGGGAGGATGGGAGGCTTTGGGGAGGTGGCCATGGAGAGAGGACAGTGGCTGCCAGCCTGGTCCCAGAGGTCCCAGTGAGGGAGGGAGGCAGTGAAGGGGCTCGGGGTTGGGGTACCAGGACCCACCTGTGAAGACCAGCAAGGGTTGGGGTAGCGGGGCCACAACTCTCCTCTGAGGCCAGTACGGGCATCGGAGGCAGGAGTCACAGGGCCCTTACCCTCTCCTGCCCTGACATTGAGGAGGCAGGTGTCCCTTCCCAAAACACAGGTCCTGGTGACACACCTGTCAGTGTCCCAGGAGCATTTTGCAGCACAGGCTGAGATCTTCTGGCCTGCCACTTATCCTGTGTCATCAGGTTACAAACTGTCATTTCTTGTTAACTGTGTAGAGAATTGTTCATCCTCCGCATTTTAGTTTTTCATACTCTTGATTAGGAAAAATACACATCAAGTTAGAAAAAGTTATAACTACAGCATCCCTGGGCTCTGAGTGAAGTCCTCTGCCAAGATTAATGTGCAGGAACTCCGACAACTCCAGACCCTCGTCAAGCTGTTCTGCTTCATGGAGGTTCTGGGCTACATTCTGGGTAACAGAGATTGTTGGGATCCGGGCTTTAGACTGGGACAGAGCATAGCTGTCATGATTTCAGGGGCAACACGAGGAAAAAATGCTTTTCATTAAAGGAATGATGCCACCGAGAAAAACACTTTGAATGTGTGTGTAAATTAGGGTATGTGCAATTCTCTAACAGCACTTCAGTTCATCAATACCACAAGTTAAAAAAAAAAAAAAAAGAGTGGCAGATATGCAAGGAGCAGGTGCACCCAAGTCAGGCTTTCCAGCAAGCACCTCACTCCAGGGCAGGCCCCTTCATGTCTCTGAGCTGCAGCGTCCTCTCATGAGATGGAGAATCCTGCCTATTTCACAGGTTTTTATGAGAAGTGAGATGAAGCAATAAGCTAAAGTTTTAGAAGGACTCTAAGAGCCATGGATAAAAATGAAGACAACTCTGGTTGTAGCCTGTGAGTTGTCAGCAGGGAATCTGAGGGGTACGGGTGCTGGTCTTAAGACAAAGGAGGTCAGGAAGCTGTTCTGTGTTCTGGGAACACGGAACAGACTTGCAGAGGCAGCTCTTTACTTTGCAGGCATCTTGGCAGCTGGAAACTGCCAGCTTGGCAGTTGGAAGCTTCGCTCTTTGCAACAGCCCTGGAACTCATCCTTTGCACCCTAAAGTCATCCCACCCTCCAAGTCAGCCTTCTCCCCATCGAAAAACCAAGACTAAAAGGAGGCCCTCTGCTTAGGAGAGGCAACTCTGATGGCTGGATTCACGCATCTCTGAACCTCTCAGACCCCAGAAGAGAGGCCTGGGAAGCCCACCGATGGTCCTCGGAACCCCAGGAGCCAGCCTGCAGAGCAGACATGATCAGACAGCCTCCTAGTGCCTAAACTCCATACTGAAAGAGCAAGCTTGGCTTCAACCATTCTGCATATACTAGGCTTTCATGTAGACTTTCATTTGAACAGAGGGACCTTCAGCTGAAGAACACTTTGAAAACTATTTCCCACCATTCACTCTTACCAGGGCAGGCCAATATCACAGTGTAAGATATTTAGTTTCTTCTTAATCTGACGACGCTATGATTTCTTAGATACATCTCACAGAAAATGCAGAGATAAAACCATAGCAGCAGCAGTTATAATTGTAAAAATAAGACTAGAAAGAGAACCACCTCACTCTTACCTGCCTTAAGCCACTTGGAACTCAAGTATGTAATGTGTGAGCATCAACATTTTTTTTGGAGGGCCATTATGTGCCAACATTTATGAAAAAGCAGAACATAAGAAAACCCCTTCTCTTCAAAAGCTCCTTTAGAGGAAGTTATAGATCAGGGAACACAACCGCCACACAGTATGTGAAATGCTATTGTAAGTTTAAGCTCCAGATGTTTGAAGAGCTGAGAAACGTCGAAGTCCTGTAGTTTAGGATGGCTCAGTATGGGAAATTGAGAAAGGGGGAGGAGCATCCGCAATGGAGCTAGGAAGCTGGGGAAAAAGGCAGAAAAAGGCAAAAGAAAAGGCAGGGACCAGATGATGTCAGGCATTTTCACTCAGGAAGGCGCTTCCTGTACAGGATAAGTTTCAAATCAAGAATGCAGTCGCAGGTTTGCCCTCTTGGAAGGGACACCCTGAACTTCTTTCAGGAAATTCCTCTGCCCATCTTGGCCATCTGATCTGGTGGACTGGATCCTAGAGTCGGGCCAGACTCTAAGCCAGTTACTAGATCCCATCTTAAGGACCCAGAAGTAGGATCAGATAGGGTGGTGCAGCCAATAGAGCTGGAAGGTTATTTGCTGGGGAAGGAAGTCTCTGTTTTATCTACAGGAGTTACTGAAAGAGACCTTCTCTTTCCCCACTTATGGACAGGGGAGTAAGTGACATCTGCAGCCACCACCATTTTGCTACCACAGTGAGGAGACCCTGGATGGAGATGAAAGCAAAAGAGGCCTCTGCCTGGTTTGAGCTGCATAGAGTTGTGGGGTCCACACAGGCCGCAGGAAGAATCTGAGTGCACACGCAAAGGCAGTGGCAGTGGGACAGCAAGTGACAAAGTCCATGTAACTCACAGTTCAGAGACCAAAGAGTCCCACCTTTCTTTCAGAGATGAGAAAGCAAGAGGAGAGAGGGAAGTTAAAGGACTTGCCCAAGGTTCCCCATTCATTAGTTTGGGAGCTAATCTGAGAACCAGCGACACTCATGGTTTTCCAGTTGATTGCCTGCTCTACCATAACTTGTGGTCCCCACACAATAGCCAAACAATGGCTACTAATGGAAACAAAGCGTGCAGAAAAGTGGGGATCATAAGAAAATGCATGCCCCCTTTAGATCCCAACCTTGATAACCCAAGGAAGGCCCAGAGTGGCCACATGGCAGGTGGCAAAGCATGCTGCCCTCTCGCAGGCTTTGCTCACATACAGCTAGTCTGGAGCCCTCTAGTCCTTGCCAGTTACAGTCATGAGTTGTCCAAGAAGAGAATACATTCTGAACAATGTATCCTTAGAGGATTCTGTCACTGTGCAAACATTATAGAATGTAGTAACATATACCTAGGTGGCATAGCCTACTACACACCTAGGCTAGCTGGCACAGCCTATTGCTCTGGGCTACAAACCTGTACAGGGTGCTGTGCCACTGTACTGAATACCGTAGGCAATTACAAGTATTTTCGCATATTAACGACAATACTAAGTATTTGCACATCTAAATTTCTAAACATAGAAGAGGTTTAAAATATGCTATAAAAGATGTAAAAAATCATATACTTATACAGGGCGCTTACCATGAATAGAGCTCACAGGACTGGGAGCTACTCCGGGTGAGTGAGTGGTGAGTGAATGTGAAGGCCCAGCCATTACTGCTGCTACAGACTTTATAAACACTCTATACTTCAGCTACACTCAATTCAGATAAAAACTCCATTCTTCAATAAGTTAACCTTAGCTTCCTGTAACTTTTTTACTTTGTAAACTTTTTCATTTTCTCAACTTTTTTATTCTCATAACATTTAGCCTAAAATACGAACACAGCTGTACAAATATATATATGTGTATATATACGTACAAATATATACATAGTACAAATACATGTGTGTGTATATATGTATTTAATATCCTTATTCTGTAAGCTTTACTCTATTTGTAAATTTTTTTATTTTTTTTAAACTTTTTTTGTTAAAAACTAAGACACAAACACATTAGCCTAGACCTACACAGGGTCAGGATCATCCATGTCACTGGCTTCCACCTCCACATCTTCTCCCACTAGAAGTTCTTCAGGGGCAGTAACACCATGGAGCTGTCATCTCATATGAGATTAACAACAATGCCTTCTTCTGATGCCTCCTAAAGGACCTGCCTCAGGCTGTTCCACACCTCTCTTATTTTTTCATAAGTAGTAGTACACTCTAAAATAACGATAAAAAAGTACAGAATAGTAAATACTAGGCAGAATGCATTTTTCAGCTCCTGTAATCTTATGGGATCACCATTATATATATGGTCTATCATTAGCAAAACATGGTGATGAGGCGCATGACTGTATGTCTCTGCTGAGCTTTAGACTAGTAGAAACCTTAGCAAAGTCCTCTCAATCTGGACCCATCATGCCCCAACACCCTCTTTCCTTCGCTGGTCCCACCATGGTGGCTCTATCCGTTCATGCTTTCTCAAGGAAATAGTTCAAATGCCCCTGAAGCCTTCCTGAGTACTTCTGGCAGAATTCACTGTTCTCTCTGTGCTGTAACCCACTATCCACACTGCAAATCTAGCCCTTCAAGCCCCAAATGATCGCAGCCCACACCTGCATCTAATGCTGAGCAAGGGATCAGAGGGGGCAGGGATTATGTCTTACCTACGTACCCAGGGCATCTGGCACAAGCCAGGTGTTCAAAAATGTTTGAAAAATTAAATAAATATCCGCTATGTGCACAAAAAAGCACCCACTATGTGCAGTACACATAATGCAAAGGGACATAAAGACGTGCAAAGGAAGACCATGCCCCAAATCAGCTTAATTTCTAGGTGAGGAAATGCCACTTATTTCCTAATATGTTACACAATCAGAAGCTTAGGGTTTACACGTAGCTTTTCTGCAGCATACCAGGTCAATGATCTTGCAAATATATAGGAAAAAAAGGAAATAATATCGTATTACTTATCACCAGGCATGCTACTGCTCAATACTTTATACCCATTGCCCCATTTAATTTGTTCATGAGGTTGATCATATTTTAGAGATGAATAAACTAAGGCTCAGAGAAGTTAGGATGCTTGCTAAAAATCACACAGTTAGCAGGTAGCAGAGGCAGAACAGAGATCTGAACCTATATCCCACAGCAATGTTCAGCCACGCAACTCAACCAACCATCTAGTTCTGACTTTTTATTTAAACCACTAAGAGTCACTTTTATTATAGTTATGCATTGCACGGGAAAGATTCTGTCTATTAAATGTTACGTTTTTGTTTTGTTTTGTTTCTGAGACAGGGTCTTGCTCTGCTGCCCAGGCTGGAGTGCAGTGGTGTAATCATGGCTCACTGCGGCCTCGACCTCCTGGGCTCAAGCAGTCTTCCTGCTTCAGCTTCCTGAGTAGCTGGGGCCACAGGTGTCTGTCACCACGCCCAGCTAATTTTTTTATTTTTTGTAGAGACAAGGTCTCACTATGTTGCCCAGGATTGTCTCAAACTCCTGAGCTCAAACAGTCCTCCCACCTCGGCCTCCCAAAATGCTGGGATTACAGGCAGGAGACACTGTGCCTGGGCAAAAAGTTACACTTTTATTTTTTTATTTATTTTAATTTTATTTTATTTTATTTATTGAGATGGAGTTTCACTTTTGTTTGTTTATTTATTTATTGAGATGGAGTTTCACTTTTGTTGCCCAGGCTGGAGTGCAATGGCGCGATCTCAGCTCACTGCAACCTCCACCTCCCGGGTTCAAGTGATTCTCCTGCCTCAGCCTCCTGAGTAGCTGGGATTACAGGCACACGCCACCACGCCCAGATACTTTTTGTATTTTTAGTAGAGACGGGGTTTCAACATGTTGGCCAGGCTGGTCTCGAACTCCTGACCTCAGGTGATCCACCCGCCTCAGCCTCCCAAAGTGCTAGGATTACAGACATGAGCCACTGTGCCTGGCCAAATGTTACATTTTTAAGTTACAACTTTCTACGGTTATATATCAAAATCCTGTCATCTGGGTTCTAATGGCAAAATTCCTAATTGCCAATAAATAGCTGGTATAAAAATAGATTTAATTCTAACTCAAAGCAAAAAAAAATTATATATATATATATAAACGCAATATATATATAAAATATATGTGTATATGTATGTTTTATTTGGCTTATTCAATCTTGTCATCATTAAAAAATAACTTTCATTAGACTGTTTTTTTTAAGAACTAATAGAAATGTAGACATTTCTACCTTCCCAGATAACTAGGGACCTGTGTCTTGGGATGGGACCACAGCACCTCCCTTTGAGCTTCACATGTTCCCACCTTTGGGATAAGAGTATCATCTCTACTTCTAGCAGCTGTCTGAATGGAAACAACTCTGCCAGCAGTAACACCATATTAACATTCTCAGTGTAACTGTCAAATGCCACAAGTATAAGACAGACCTAAATAGCTCTAATATGTCCCATTTTAAGTTAAAACATCTTCTACATTTTAGATTTCAGCCCATAAGGAATTTCCCAGGTCACTCTACACACAGGTTGCATCTCTGATTGACAAAACGAACACGGGATTGGCCCTCATGGTGGGTAACGGCAGCCTGATTTCAAAATACGTGTCCACAATCCTTTCTCTCTGGCCAGTGCTCCAGCACAGAACTTGTTGGTTAGACTTACATGTCACTATTTTGCACACAAATGTTCAGCTTTACATTTGACCTTCTAAAGTTAGACTTCACACTAATCCAAATGGAACAATTTAAGATATCTGGTAGCTCTCATCATCCCCAAGCTCCCAAGGCCTAGCACAGCACCTGGAACATGTGCACAGGCTCTTGTGACCTCCAGAGAATCACGAAGAATCCACCAGGCACCCTGCAAGCAAGGAAAGCCCCGGAGAACCTGCTTCAGGGGAGTGCCATATTAGCAATTGCTAGGCCAGTCCCTTTCACACTGAAATACATTGAAGGAACACAGGTAAGTGACAGTATGTCTCTGGCTGTGGATGTCTTGGTACATTCCTCCTGCTCTTGGGCACCTGGGATGCCTTGGTAGTGGGGGATGTGGACAAGGATGCGGTGTCCGTCATTAGCAAACCCACTGAACCACACAAATCATTTCTGAGTCCATCTCTTGAGATAAGTGTTCTTCAGAAGACATTTAGGGAGAGCTGCCCAAACTCTGTTTTTATTCCTGCAGTTCTAAACCCAAACTTAGAAGCAAAATGAGAAAGAACTAGGCCTGATGACTGCCTACCACATGACTTCACACATGTTCTTCCACTTGAACTTTGAGGTAAACTATTTTTATCTCCATTATACAGATGGGGTAAATGAGGCCTGCTCAGGGCAGAAATAGAGCTGGCATTTCAGCTCCAGGACACCTGACTCCAAATGCCATGCTTTTCCCTCTAGCCCCGGACTCCTTGAGATAAAGTTACTTCAGCACTCAACTGTAATTTCATAATAACTGTTTTTTTAAGAGTGCCTCCTTTCAGTCTTAGACAATTTTCTTCCTTCCCATGTCTGCACCCCCCAAAAAAGGACAGTTGCAACTCCTCTGGCCACAGACTCAGGGCTCCTCCCCATGGCCTGCCCCCAGCTTGGGGCGACCTGCAGCCCACACAGAGGGGAAGGCGCCACCAAAGCGACCAGGGCACCCCGACACCTCCTCCCTTCTGAATCTTCAACACACAAGTGCTTCCTTCTCTTCACGCTACAGTGAGCTACGGACAGAGGTGGAACTGTTTTCAACATTTTAAATTTTGGTAAATAGTTGTGAAAAAAAATCACCACAGTGTCACTGTTTTTTTGGTGTTTCCAGCAGCCTCTTTCGGAGAACACAGTGCTAGCTTCTTCCTTCACATCCACTGACTTTGGTTAGGCTTTTGGTCTCAATTTGAGTGGCTTATTTGTTTTTACTACAATTCTCTAGAAATAGAAAACTAAGACAACAATAACAAAAATGAAGGCCTCAGCAAAAAAGCCAGGGAGAATGAACTATTTCAAGGGTAAGAACACAAGCTATGGCCTCTGACAGCAGGCAGGCGACTGCAGAGACTGCAAATGCCCCCCGCCCCCACCCCCCACAAGGCATTTTTGGCAGAGGGGGAGCCATTCGATCAGTTGGGAAGATGTCCTTTCAAGTAAGAGGAGGTGATTTTGCATAAGGCTAGTTATTGAATCCATCTTGACGGGTTCTACCATCCTAACTCATCTAGAAATGACAATAAGCCCCATTCACGGTGTTAACAGGATGGAGATCAATCTCCCTCCTATCCTTCTCCATCTCAGAACAATGTCAAAAGCAACTTCCTTTCCTCTAGGTTGGAGCTGTCTTCCTGGTGCTTTAATGAGGCACATTTCTTGGATGGCAACTACAGTATTGAGATCAATACACTTCATTTCAATCTGTGAGATTTTACTGATTAGCTCTTCTGGGTCCTGCACTAAACTAGGTGCTAGGTGGATACAGAATGGGCCAGAAATCCTTCTGCCCTTAAGAAAGGCTGAATCTAGCATAAACAAGAAACAGAAGACACAGATGTAAATGTTTGTAAAGCTCCCTCTCCTTATCTATAAAACAAAGATAAAATATTTGCTGTGCCTACATACCAAGGACATCATGAGGTGCAAATGAAATACAGTCTGAAAGCTATGCAAGAAAGATGAATGCATCAGTGTACAGGGTGGGAGAGACTGTTCGAGTGACAGATTATAATCCAGGCATTCGAAAAACCCACAGGGAAGCCGTCTACACCATCCACATACAACAGCAGTTAAATTCAGAAGACACTTTTTTTTTTTTGAAGACAGTTTTTCATTTTTCTTTTCTGTACTTTTTAAAATGATAAATATTGTGTTTTATTTTTCAGCTTTTTTCAGTTATAATTGATAAAGACTGTCCATTTTATACTTCAAGTGAACAATGTGAAGTTTTGATATTCATTTTTTGTATACGTGTATACATCATAAATCCATCAAGCTAATTAAATATCCATCATCTCACAGAGTTACCAATTTGTGTGTGTGTGGTGAGAATACTTAAGATCTATCCTCACAGAAAATTTCAAGTATACAAAACAGTATGATTAACTATAATTATCATGCTGTACATTAGGTCTCTAGAACTTATTCAACCTGTATAACTGCAACTTCATACCCTTTGACCTACATCTCCCCATTCCCTGCAGACCCCGGGAAACTACCGTCCTACTTCCGGCTTCTATGCACTCATTTTCTTTTTTCATTCCTTGAATGGACAGAAAAAACAAGTAAAATTCAATGAGATTAACTAAAAGTAAACCTCACACACTCATTTATCTTTTCCGATAGATAAAATTTGGGATTTGAGTTTGACCCAAACCCCAGATTCTTGACTTAGAAGTCCCCATATTCATTAAGCCCCGAAGGATCATCTGGCCCCAAAAGAATGTTGGCTACATCATAACAAATATTAAATGTGATTTTAAAATATCTATATTCTAGTTTAGCACTAAGCCAGTGAGAGATGACACTGAGGACTGAATATTCTAGCTACACACAATCACTAGGTTAGCACTGCCATAACCTCAGACATGTGACTATTAAAATACATTTGATATAAGGTGTGGAAGCTTTTGCTGTGTAGCAAGGAGAACATGCGCTATGATAAGTTTCGTGAATTGTTATCACGAGCTTCTAAAATTCTGTTTAACCGATTGCTTTTGCACCACAAGCAACTGTAATGGAAATCTTCCACTCTGGGAGCCTGCCTGACTAACAGAATAATTCTTCCAAGAACTGTGTGAAGGCCTCAACAAGAAGACTCCACTGTCAGGCAAAATGTAGTCCAAAGGTTTGCCTAGTGTCTCTGCAAATGAAAGCAAAAAGCTCATCCTAAAATCACTGTAACATATATTTTATCCAAAAAGACCAACCAGAGTACAGAAGATGCATTGGCACTGGGCTATGGTTGTCATCTGCTCCACTGGGTACTCCCCAAGACAGAGCTTGCAAGACACCAGCGGGTCGAGGGCCAGGTCCCAGGTGGGCCGGTACCTTGTTGTGGTCATCGCAGAACAGTCTGAAACGAGAGAAGCACGGAAGGTCAGACCTCCCCACCCCTGGCATCCACCTGCTCCGTGGCAAGGTTCTCCTGGCTGTAGCTGGGACCCAGGGAGGTGGCCAACTGACTGCTGATGGAGCCTAGAGCATCTGGATGTTCTGAGAATTTTTTGGTTTTTTTTGAGATGGAGTCTCGCTCTGTCGTCCAGGTTGGAGTACAGTGGTGCAATCTAGCTCACTGCAACCTCCGCCTCATGGGTTCAAGCGATTCTCTTGCCTCAGCCTCCTGAGTAGCTAGGACTATAGGCAAGTGCCACCATGCCAGGCTAATTTTTTGTATTTTTAGTAGAGATGGGGTTTCACCATGTTAGCCAGGATGGTCTCGATCTCCTGACCTCATGATCCCCCCACCTCGACCTGCCAAGCTCTGAGAAATTTTAACCAGGGGTGCCTGCCTGGGGTCTGTGAGTGGCTCCCTTACCATTCTGGTAGTAACTTTCATGTCTGCCCTCAAAACGGCAAACAACTCACCCACACACCCATCCTTCCCTCCCTCCCACTGATGTGCATTTTAATAAGACACCTGCCAACCAGGCTCCTAAACCAGGGGGGCAAAACCTTAGCCATCTTGGAAGAGAAGCTTTTGCTAAAATACATATTGCTTGGATTTAACTGTTCTCCAGTGTTAAAGACGTGGCGAATATGAGGACAAGCCTGGGTGGAAGGGTCAGAGCAGAAGGGCTTGGTGGGGGTGGTGAGGCTTGAGTTTTCAGGGCAGCTGGAAAGAAGGTAGACGTCCAACAGAAGGAAGAAATGTCGTAGCATCTTTCACCAGAAGACAAGGCACAAGGACCACATGGAGGGGCAGAACCATTGCTATGCTTTGTGGTCACACAGAACTGCCCAAAACAGTTCCCTAACCACTCTCAGCCTCAGCTGGCTCATCCACATGAGGGGGCTGATAATCCCCTCTCACAGAGGTGTTCTGAGGATGAAGGGAGATCACATAAAGGGTCGGCCGCACACAGCAAGTGCTCAGGAAAATCCCTTCCTCCCTGTGGTGGTTAACACTGAGTGCCAACTTGATTGGATTGAAGGATGCAAAGTATTGTTCCTGGTGTGACTGTGAGGGTACTGCCAAAGGAGATTACCATTTGAGTCAGTGGACTGGGAGAGGCCGACCCACCCTCAGCCAGGGTAGGCGCCATCTAATCAGCTGCCAGCAAAGCCAGAATAAAAAGCAGGCAGAAAAACATGGAAAGACTGGACTGGCTGAATCTTCTGGCCTCTGTCGTTCTCCTGTGCTGGGCTTTCTGCCCTCGAACATCGGACTCCAAGTTCTTCAGCTTTGGGACTCCTGGCCCTTCGACCACAGACTGAGGGCTGTACTGTCAGTTCCCTACCTCTGAGATTTTGGGACTTGGACTGGCTTCCTTGCTCCTCAGCTTGCAGATGGCCTACTGTGGGACCTCACGTCGTGATCGTGTGAGTCAATACTACCTAACAAACTCCCCTTTATATAAACATCTATCTTATTAGTTCTGTCCCTCTAGAGGACCCTAACAAATACACTCCCCTTCCCCTGTGATGTCTCCTTCAGCCACAGCTTAGCAGACAGGGAATCTGACGATGCCGCTGTGTGCCACAGGTAGGTTTGGGACTTACTGTCATTTGAGTAGCTTATTCCCAGGGTCAAGGAGCTGTCCTAACTTAAAAAAAAAAAAAATTACATCATCCCTTTCTCAAGTTTTACGACTGACACCTCACTGGGTGTCACTGCGCTAATATTTAGTTAGGAAAACCCACCTGGTGAATTCCACATGGAAGGAGAAGGGAGAATTCACCCACCTGGTGAATTCCACATGGAGGGAGAATTCTACCAGGAGGGAGAAGACACGTCTGGCCCAGAAGGAAGCACCTGCAGGATCCTGAAAGCTCACCCAGCAGATGGGGCCCAGTGACACATGACGAAGGACATGAGAGGCAGAAATGAGCCAGATTCGAGGAGGAGACCCTGACTACCAGAGCTCAAGCAACTGAGGGGGTGACTGAAGACCGCCCGGGATCTGCACTGGGAATCTGCGCAGGCCTTCAGCGTCTGGGGCGGGAGTGGGCCGCAGCTGGAGGGGCCTCTTCCAAGGGCAGCTGGTGCCTGCAAGTCACTCAGTCTAAAATACATGTGTCTTCCCTGTTACAAAAGGACTCTTTGACACAAATTCCTCTGGACTGGCTAGCACTTTCAAGATAGTTTAAACAAGCATCATGATTTGACCTCAAGCTGGTGGGTCCTGAGGAGTGAGATAATTGGAGGCGTCACACGGCTCTCTGGGGCTGCAGGGGGTACAGACATCAAGGCGTCCTCCCCAGGGTCATATTCATTTGGATCATTTCTCTACACCTTGAATTTTATGCTTATGCTTATGACTGTCATCATTTTCAATCTCTACATGGGGTTTTCTGGGTCCTAGGCTGACAGGCTGTGACTTTTTTCTTTTGATTTCTCTGTATCTTTTTTCTGCTTTAATACTTAATAATTTTTTTAAGTAGCATCTCTTAAAGTTCACTGGACAACATGATAATTATATTTTAAAATGTTAGCTGGCCCTAAATTGGATCACAAACCTTCACCCCAGGCACTGAGGCTTGGGGCAGGCTGCAGAAATCAGTCAGGGCTGGAAAAGTTTCAAGGGGGCAGTAGCTGGCAATTGGCTGCTCTGGCCTGGAGATCTGGGGAGAGCTTGTTTTTTGACAATGTTGAAAAAGCACTGGGTACAAGTTCTGTCGGGCTGTTGGGGAAGTTGCAGGGTAAAGAGTTCACGCTTTGCAGTCAAGCAGACCTGGCTTCAAATTCCTTTTTTTTGGCCACTTGGTTATGCTGATGTTGAAGATATCACATAACTTAAATTTAACTTCTGTGAACTCAATTTTTGTTTTTGTTGTTTTGTTTTTTCCCTCTGTAAAGCCTGTATCACCATCACCACTCATGTAGACTTGGGAAGAGTGAGTGAGAAGTAAGAAGCAATATATTAGAATAATATATCTAATATATAGATACTAGGAGCTTGGTAAGTAGAAGTCATTATGATATGTCAGGTTAACAAGCTTAGACTTTTACCTACATAGACAAAATGGATAAAACAAGCTGTTGGGAAGAGATATCATATGGTGAAATTAGTCATTTCGGAAGTTCAATCCAATGGAGAAAATTTTTAGAAGAATCAAACATCAAAACCTCCTAAAGCCTCCTCCCTTATCGACAGCCATGCACTATGCTCCCAGCCTGGACATCACCCGAGAACGCATTACCCAGAGGCAGAGCTTAACCGCTCCACAGAGGGCCCTGGAATCCCCACCTCCACCCCGCGTGAACAGTTCCCTGCCCCACAAGCCAGTTATAGCCTCTGTGCTGGACCTCTGCCCTGCCCCATCGTGCTTGTTCCCAAGACAATTCTCTCTCCTTCCAGCTTCAGATCTGGGCTCCTTTTCCTGTTTACTGCCTCTCTGTTGTGACCTCCTGGCACAGCGTACAGGGTTCCATCTGTCTGACTTCCTTTCTGCCTGGACCATGATTTCTATCTGGCCCCCAGTGGCTTCCCCTGCCCTGGGCACAGGTCAGCCCATGGCCCTCACCTCCCACTTCCCCCGCCAGCCCCATGAGCTGGATTTGAAGCAGGTCACAGCACCATTTCCAGGAATCACATCACTATTCTTTCCCCAACAGAATACACAGTCTCTGAGTTGTGCTCAAAATCGTGATTCAAATGGTGACAACAGGATATATTTTACAGAAAAAAAAGGGGTCTATATTGTCTAAACCCATCATGGACCTTCCCTACACACAGGATGGCCTTAATATGATTTTGCAAACAGCGAACAGCTGCGAACTTGCAATCAGATTATGCTAAGAGAATCACAATGCACAATAAAAGAAAGCACAGTCTTTGTTTTCCTAATGTGAATGTCAAGTCATATGAAATGGCAAACTGTTTTAGGAACATCTGGTCAATTATAAGTATTATTCAATTTAAGCAATTCAAAATGTGCATAAGGCAATTTACTTATTAAGCATGACTGAGACCGTGCAAAGGATTGTGCCTTGTGATGAAAGAGGTGTGGACACAAGGATAAGAGAGAGCTGGAAGAGAAAATAGTCCACTGTAGAGAGATTCAGCAGATTCCTGCAAGGTCCAAGGTGGTTATTTGACCAAAACTATCCCATCTCTGAGCCCCAGGGCTACGGACCTCTGTAGGCCCCTATTCTTCCCACCTTTACTCCTTCAAAGCAAACCTTGGAAAGGTAGGCAGCTGCCAGCCAGTCATCATCCACCTCTTACTTTCATGCCTTCCTCCAGCAAGTCCCTGCTCTCCTCCAGTTGCCTGGGACACTCTCATGTTTCCTCTGCAGCCTAACTCCCTTTTCCTTCCTTACCCGTTCTCCACACCCTACAAACCCTTCACACCCAGCATCAGTCCTGGTGCTGTGTGATGTCTCCTCTGATTTCTCACGTCTCCCCGCTGTCTCCCGTCTCTGGGTCTCTGCTGTGTGTGGTCCACCAGGCTTCGCAAGCAGCGCTCTCTAAACACCAGCATCAGCATCACCTGAGAACTTGCTGGAATGTAACTGGTTGGGCTCCAACCCCGACTCATTAAAACAGAAACTCTGGGGAGGTGGGTGGGGCGGCACAGTGATCTGTTTCCGTGAGCCTGGCAGGGACTGTGATGCACAATGAAGCCCAAGAACCACTGGTCAGTATCATTCCACTCAACAGCATTTCCAACCAAGTCTATCTCACTCAAGGCTGTGTGGGTCGAAGCCCACCAAGTGCACCGTTCTTCAACAATACCAAAACTCAGCTGTCCTGTCTACAAGGCCCTGGCCTACACTCTCATAGTAACTCCCATTTCTTCTGGGTAAGTGTGGCTTTGGAGGTCTACCATGTCACCAGTCTTTCTGGGTAAGTGTGACCCTCAAAGTCTGACATATGTGTGAATTTACCTCCCCAACTTGACGATACATTATTCAAGGGTAGGAACTATGTTCTAGCCTTCTGGACAGTGGTCACAGCAGCTATTCCATAATTATAACAACAATTATATATACATATATATATGTATTTATGAGAGAGATATATATGTATGTGTGTGTGTATATATATTATATATGTATGTATGAGAGAGAGAGACTGTTAAATGTACATCAGACATTGCGTTCGCCATTTGCATATACTACTTCATTTCTCTGCACAATGACTCTGAGACTTTGATAGTTTGCTATTATTCAAATTTTACCAATGAGTAAACCAAGGTTCGGAGAGGATTAGGGTAACCTGCACAAACATACAGGGCTATTTAGTCACAGTCTGTGTGGCCCTAAGACACAGCCATTTACTGTGCTACACCTCCTCTGTATATCCTCATCAGCTGAATGAGATGGAGCCTTTTGGATTTGTAGAGATATAAGACAAACCAACTTCAGTTTTGCTTCTGAGCTTCCTGGGCTTAACTTGAGCACGTACAGATTGGCAGTGGCTGGGAAAAGCTACATCTTCATAATACGGAGCTGTCAGCAGCAGCAGAGATTGGAGAACTGTGGCTGAGTAGAAAGTTGGCTGTAAAAGAGTTGGCTTATTCAAGTGTATGGCTTCATGACGCTTTAGGAAAGTACTTGGACGCTGTCTCCTCCCAAGCAGATGATGCCCACTCAATGATAAAAACTTAACTATTTCCAGCAATCACACTCCTAGTTTCCCAGCTAATGTGAAGACTTATGTTCACATGAAAACCTGCACATGCATGCTTATAGCAGCTCAGCCGTAACTGCCAAAATTTGGAAACAACCAAGCTGTCTTTCAGTAGGTGAATGGGTAAACTATGGTATATCCAGGCAGTGGAATATTATTCGGCACTGAAAAAATAAGTCATCAAGCCAAGAAAAGACATGGAAGAAATTTAAAAGCATATTACTACCTGCAAGAAGCCAATCTGAAAAGGCTACACACATATGATCCCAACTCTAGGACATTCTGGAAAAGACAAAACTATAAGGACAATAAAAAGATCAGTGGTTGCCAGGGATCATGGAGAGGAAGGGATGATTGGGCAGAGCACAGAGAATATTTAGGGGAGAGCAACTATTCAGCATGAAGCGTAATGGTGATTACATGTCATTATCCACCTGTCAAAGCCCACAGAATGTGCAACACCAAGGGTGAGTGAAACCTAGCGTAAACTATGGACCAAAGTTTACCCCCCTGGCAAATTTGTATGCAGAAGCCCAAACCCCCATTGGGACTATATTTGGAGATTTAGCACATCTAGAAGTCTATATATCTGTGTGTGTGTGTGTGTGTGTGTGTGTGTGTTTGTGTGTGTAGCAATCTCTCTCTCTATATATATACATAGCAATATATATAATATGTTATATCATATATTATATAATATATATGCTATGCTATATATATTATATGTTATATTATATATTATATATATATATAGCTCTGTGTGTGTGTGTGTGTGTGTGTGTGTGTGTGTGTGTGTGTGTGTGTGTGTAAATATATATAGTCTTTAGGAAGGAATTAAGGTTAAATTAAGGTTAAATGAGCTCGTAAGGGTGGGACCGTAATCCAATAGGACTGGAGTTACAAGAAGAGGACGAGAGAGCTCCCATGCTCTTTCTTGGCCATGTGAGGACACAGCAAGAAGGCAGCCTCTGTAAGCCAGGGGGATGTCCTCACCAGAACTCAAGCACGCTGGCACCCTCCTCTCAGACTTCCAGCCTCCAGAACTGCAAGAAAATAAATTTCTGTTGTTTCAGCCCCGTGGTCAATGGTATTCTGTTACAGCAGCCCCAACTGACTACCATAGGAAATTATGAACCCTGGGAGAGAATGCTGATCAATGTATATTCATTCATGGTAACAAATGTGCCACTGTGGTATGGGATGTTAATAGCTAATTGTGTGTACGTGTGGATGGGTGTATGGAAACTCTGTATTATCTGTTCAATTTGGTTGGAACCTAAAAGTGTTGTAAAAAAATAAGGTCTTTTTTCTTCTTTTTTTTAAGAAAAGGGTATCTACTGTATGATTCTAATTATATGACATTCTAGAAAAGGCAAAACCCTAGTCAGCAAACAGATCAGTGGTTACTGGTAGCTTGGAGGGGGGCGGCTGGGAGAGCAGAGGAGGCTTGAATGGGTGAGTACAGGGCATTTTCAGGGCAATAAAACTATTCTGTATGACACTGTAATAACAGATATGTGACATTCTGCACGTATCAAAACCCATAAAACAGAACTTTACAAAGGGTGATCCTTAATGCATGCAATTTAAAAAAAAATCATTGAGGAGGTCAGGGGCATGGTAGGATGGAATGCAGACTGTAACAAAGGTTCCACCTGTATTAAAAGCGGGTGGGGGAAAGGTGCTGACCAGAATGATTTCGGGAATGGGCCGAACCTGTAATAATAATGGCCAAGTTCATAAGCACTATTCTCCAGGTGATGAAGCTGCCTGCTGCAGGGCATGAGTTAACAGTTCTGAAGCCACTATCCCTTTACACTGGAATGGAAAAAATAAGTAAAGGGATGGTAGACAGTGGGATCCAGGTTTCTCACTGTTGGAGTGGAAGGTCTCAGATAAGCAAGGGTGGTCATGGAATAGAGTTGGCCTCATCAGTAGGAACCCATGTTTAGCCTAATATAGATTCAGGTGGCTAATAAAGAAATATGTATAGACTTGTGTGCACACACCGGTTAGTGTACATACATATGTTTCCTTGTTCTAGCAGCTGACAGGGCACAGAAGGAATGACATCCCAGTTTGCAACAAGCACATCTAGTGCCCAGATCTTGATTCTAACACAATGTTCCAGTTACCGAAACTAGGGTTCACTGGACAAACAGCTGATTCTAGGACTGGGGCAGGACATTGGAGTTGAGCTAGAGGATGTCCAAACAATATAGGAGACAACTGAAAAAGCTCCCAGTGGCTGTAGCTGAAAAAAAACAGAGCAACAGAGTAGCATGAATTATCACCCAGAATAGAAAATATATACCCATGAGCCCATAATCACATAAATAAATGAGGGAAAAGACACATCTCTCATGCAGAAAAATTCCACATAATTTTCATAGATGCTATGCCCTCAAGGAGGTGGAGCCTAACTCCTCATTCTGAAGTGGGCTGTAGAGAATGACTTCCTTCCAAAGAGTGTAGTTTAGAAAATGGTGGAAAAAGGAGCTCACACACGTGAAAAGGACAAACGCTGCCTCAATGAGGTGACCCCGACGGCATCGGGGTGACTGTACACATGGATGGTGTTGACGGTGACCACACCCCTCACCCCCACCAGGATGTGATGAGAATAAGGTTTCACCTCTAGGGTCTTCCTCTCAAAACCAATAACCCCTGTCTTCTTAAGAGAAGAGCATCAAATAAATCCCAATTCAAGAATATTCTATAAAATTCCTAACCAAAAACTGTCAAAGTCTTCAGTGGAAGCCTGAGAAACTGTCCCAGTGGAGAGGACTCTAAGGAGACAAGACCCCTAAATGCAATGAGAGAACTTGGAACAGAAGAAGGACACTGGGTAAAAACTCAAGAAACTGGAATGAAGAGGGTTCCTGAGTTGATAAGCATGTAACAGTACTGGCTTCATATTGTGACAAATGGACTAAACTAACGCAAGACGTTAACAGGAGAAGCTGGGCATGAGGTTTATGGGAACTCTCTGTACTACCTGCGTCATTTTCTAAATCTAAATCCATATCGGTCCATCTAAATCTGTATCTAAAACTAAATCTGTAAATCTAAATCTAAACTGCCCTAAAATAAAAGTTTATTTTTAAACGAAACACTTTGACACGAAAAATCTGAGAAACGCTAAATTAAATATAGTTAAACAGATTAGTTCACTTATTTTTCAGCATTTTAAACTTCTGGTGGTTTTTGGTATGCTAATGAATACCATCACAGTCCAAGAAAGGTACACAGAAGGGCCCAAGGAGCCCATAAAACACTTTCTCAAGCACTACTGCATAGCATTAAAGCTTCGTAAGAAATACAAAAAAAGAAAGAAAGCTGCTCTTAGTCATTTCAATGTAACAGATTTCCCTAAATTAAGATTTTGCAGGAGTACAGAGAAGAACATACACAATCAACAAGGAAGAACCCAGGGGCCAGAGGAAGGGCACCCACCTTCTGAGCACAGGGCCAGATGGAGACAAATTCACTAGAGAAACAGCCACAGACTGGCACCAAGTGGAGGTTGTGGGTGCTTTCTACTTTCTACCTTCACCTACATCTGCAGGTGAGGGTGAAGGGTCAGCCATTGGGAGCACCTCAACTGCAGAGGACAGCATCCATAATTGGACACTAAAATATACAGGGTAATTGAGCAGAAAGTCTACTTACATGGAACTGTTTTCTTTTGTAGACCAGGCGACCTCCACGCAGAGCCCTGTGCTTCTCCCTCCACCCCATCAGAGCATTCTTAAGTCTGTATGTCCCACAGCAGGGCCACAGAGAGGACAGAATTGTGATCTGACAGGGAGACACACACACACACACCCCAGAAACCCTGCTGAAAATGACCTTAGAGAAGCATCCAACACTGCCCCGGGTGTGGCCCCGAGACGCCTCCTTCCTGGCCCCCGCAGATCTGCAGACCAGCTTCTGGAGGCAGCCTCTCTTGCAGGCCACCTGGCTTGGAAAACAATTGCTATTCATGGCAGGAAACTCATTCTTTATTTCTAAGACCAAAACAGTTGATGCAGCCATTCCCCAGAGTGCTGATAAAACACTCCACACACAAACTTAAACGTTTCTCGGTGGCTTCAACATCATGGCCGGTTTCCCACAGAGGACCCAGACACAGCCACGCGTTCTGACCCCCATCCGGGAATGAGATGCAGAGAAAGACACAAAGGGCCTATTATTTCAACACTAATGTATTTGCCCAGATAAACATTACACTTCGGCTACCAGAGAGTAATGCTGTCAAAATCAAACATCGACTCATTAAATTTAGAGTTGAAGGGGGGATGTTTGGATCATCCCTCCTTCTTTTTAGAGATAATTCCCTCATTCTGAGCTGTTTAGGGATTTGCTAAGAAGTCACAGCAACCCTGCCCCTCACCCCAACCCCACTTCCTTCTATCAGATAATGAACCACCCTTAATGTTTTATTGCAACACTTTTGCTAGGGACATAGTCATTCTTCTCTCTGTGTCTCTCTGTCAGACAGAACACAAAGAAAAAGCAGCAGGAGATATATATATGGACATCTATGATAAACCTTGAATAGCAGTGGGCCACCGGGTTCCCTGCCCTGAAGTGATCTTAATCACACTCTGTTCAACAAAGAGCCACTGTGGGGTGTGGGAGACTCGTCTATTTGGTCACCTGCAGTTTCTTCAGTTCCTTCAGGTCAGTACTTGCTGATCTTGAGGGTGGCTTAGGAACAGGCCTCTGGCCAGCTCAACAAGGGGGCAGGCCCGGCACAATGGCTGTCTCCTTCAAGTCCCCAAACAGAAACCTTGTTGCTAAGCAACAAGCCTGGGAAATTTCTGGGTTTGGAGCTTGTCAATCCCTTGAGCTAATGGAAGAAGACATAATGGAGGTAACAGAGTAGGGAGGAGGAAATCGGGTGGAAATGGGCCTCCGAAAGCTTTAAAAAAAAAAAACCGGGTTTTATTGCAAGCTTTGGGAATGACTGACCCATGTGACCCTGAGGCTGTCACTGTACCTTCATGGAACAGTGGCCTCATCTGTAACCCGAGGATGCTGGCTGGGACAGCTGGCTTCCGGGAGTCCTCTAAGCCATCCTTTCTCTAAACCTGTGCAGCCTTCATTCCTTCTGCCCACGTGAAAACCTGTGACTCTGCTCATCAGTGAGAGGCCTCTTCCACACAGGTAGGAGAACCAATCTCAAAGTAAGAGAGTGATAAAGATAAAACATGCGGCCGGGCACAGTGGCTCACGCCTGTAATCCTAGCATTTTGGGAGGCCGAGGTGGGCGGATCATGAGGTCAGGAGATCGAGACCATCCTGGCTAACACGGTGAAACCCCGCCTCTACTAAAAATACAAAAAAAATTAGCCGGGTGCGATGGTGCGCACGTGCAGTCCCAGCTACTCGGGAGGCTGAGGCAGGAGAATGGCATGAACCCAGGAGGCGGAGCTTGCAGTGAGCCGAGATGGCGCCACTGCACTCCAGCCTGTGCAACAGAGCAAGACTCCGTCTCAAGAACAAAAGATAAAACATCCTTTCCAATTTGAAAACCCCATTGATACCGATCAACTTCAGAGCACATGCTACACGTGTGGCTCGAGTTGTATTCCGTCTATTAAACCATCTGAACCTTCCACATCCACCTTCCTAAGAACTCACCTGCAATTCCAATGCCAGAGGTTCCTCCATCCCTTATGCCAACATTTACAAGCCCCTAATCCTTCCACTTACTCATTATCAGTTATTGAGCAAACCAGAATTAGGTTCCTAGGAAGTTCTAAATACTATTCTAGAGAAGGGATTACAAAAGCCAACCAGGGAAGAATGGCCACCAAGGGAGCACTGTCTAATAATAATAATCAAAGCCCTTTTTCCCTAAAGCAGCTGCCTTTAACGATCTTCTCATTGTTAAAAAAAAAAAAAAAAAAAAAAAGAGGGGGGAGGGAGATGAATTAAAACATGCAAAATGACACTAAATCTGTTCAAAGAAACCTGGGGAAGTCCCGCGGAATCACCTTTCATTTATCAGTATTAGGCCACAGCTTTATTTGACCACCTGCCCAGAAAATTATGTATTTCAAATACATAGAGAAGATTTCCTGTTCCACCAAGTCCTGTGTTTCTTATGTGAAGTTTATTTTGATTTTCTCTTTGCTTTCTAGTAACTGGTCAGTGAACAGAAGAGAGCATGGGAAACACTGAAAGAGAGGAATAAACTAATACAATGAACTCTATGGGGTGATAACAGCTGCTTTACATTTCCAGTGAGGGAGGCAAAACATATCTGCAGACTTTGGAGACAAAACCCAGTGGGATGCACGAGTGGACCCCATGCATGCTCTAAAATAACAAAGAAAGGAAAATGATCCTGGCCTTGGGTGCTAGAGGCACCCTTGCATGTCAGGACCACATTAAATCCTAAAGGCTGGGAATATTCAGGATCTGCACCATCAGGAAAAGATAAATACAATTACGCACTCCTATTTTCCCAATGTATAGCAATGCTGTTAAGATGAATAAAACATGAGTTAAAAGTAAATAGTTATTCCCACATGCTACAACAAAAGGCAGAGACATCCTTCCAATCATTCAAGAAGCTTGGGGCCGAGTGCGGTGGCTCACGCCTGTAATTCCAGCACTTTGGGAGGCTGAGGCGGGCGGATCATGAGGTCAGGAGCTCGAGACCAGCCTGGCCAACATGGTGAAACCCCGTCTCTACTAAAAATACAAAAATTAGCGCGGATGTGGTGGCGGGAGCCTGT
This sequence comes from Homo sapiens, assembly GCF_000001405.40. Taxonomy (NCBI): domain Eukaryota; kingdom Metazoa; phylum Chordata; class Mammalia; order Primates; family Hominidae; genus Homo; species Homo sapiens. Next base: position 6,984,441 of record NC_000002.12, on the reverse strand, counting down.
AATCCCAGCTACTCGGGAGGCTGAGGCAGAAGAATTGCTTGAACCCAGGAGGCGGAGGTTGCAGTGAGCTGAGATTGCACCACTGCACTCCAGCCTGAATGGCAGAGCAAGACTCCTTCTTGGAAAAAAAAAAAAGAAAAGAAAAAAGAAACTTGGTTCCAGGCAGTGCTCTCCTTGCTGGAAATGTGAACAGTGAACAGAATAGGCAGATATTCCCACCCTTGAGAAACTTACACTCTAGCGGGGAGACAGAAAATAAATAGATAAATCGGTAAGATACACAGCTTGTGAACTATGCGGGCTCAGTGGAAAAATGAGGCAGGGAGAGGGAGCTGGGGCTGAGACTGTGCACTGAGCACCCCGATGCACCAGAAAAATGCAGAGCACTGTGGCCCATTGGGAGGTAACTGCAACCATCCACAGACAAGATGGGGATTGTCCAACATGGCCCAATGACAAATAGGGCTGATGGCAAGTAGTCACATTCTGGATATACTTTGAAAAAGAAGCTGCTCAGAATGTGCAGTTTCAAGATCGGTGCTGGAGAAAGAGAGGAGTCAAGGGTGTCTCCGAGGCTTCTGCCCTATGTAGGCAGCAGGACGGAGCTGCCATCTGAGACATCTGGGGAGGAGCACATCTGTGGTGATGCCAGGAGGGTCACCATCATTTGCTTGCATGGCTGTGGGAACACCGAGTCCCCCTGAGCCTCAGCCTCTCCTTTGCTATAAGGTAGACAGACACAGTGGGGGCCCACACAGGAGGATTCCGGTACAAGGCTCAGAAACAGTCAGGAAACTCCTGACAGAAATCCTCCAGGAGAGTGGGTGAGAGGTCAGGACCAAAGTAATGGACTGTAGCCACCTGCATCCTGAAAATGTCACTTAAGATCTGCATAAGAATAAGTAGCGCTCTAGCATCCTCTGCCATCAGAAAGGAAGAAGAGACAGGACTAGTGATTTGGGCTCCATCCAGTGCTACACGATGGCCAGAGGCGTGATGCTGACTGTAAACCTCACTACCAGATAAAAAGGCTGTAGGGCAAGTCAGCACTGTCTCCTTTTAGAACCTGAGCTCATAGAGATCCACAGTCCCCCAGGGATTGTTCTAGAAAGACAACAGTGTGGAGCCAGGGAGAGGGCCCAGGGCACACACACAGCTTCCAGGAGACTTCTTATAGAAAAGAAAACTGGAGCCTTTAAATTCCCCTTCTACCACTTAAAGCATGCCAAACAGCTCACACAAGGAAGGAGACTTGCAAACACTATGTCCTCCTGGTAAGGGAGACGGTATCTTTAGCAAAGGAAGCAGTAACATCTGACAGCCAGCAGCACAAGCATGGGAGAGGCCAGCAAATACCATTGAAGAACACACGAGTTATTCACGGACCTGGAAACTGCAGCACCTCTAGGACAAAAGCCTTTCCTAGGCTCTCTGCAGATTCTTATTTCTACCTTTAGGTACAGCCAGAGCTCACTGGGAATGACAAGCAAATCATAAGCCACTAGGCAGAAGCTGTGGCATTCCATTTCACGGGGCCTCAGCTATTTTCCAATGTACTAAAGGTGTGAGAATGATTAAAAGATCCCTCTTTTTAGAAAACAAGCACAGAAACCCGAAGAATCCCAATGTTACTGCAGCAGGAAGATGACTGTGACAATAATGTGATAATAATGTCACCAAGTTTGATGTTCTCCAAAGCACACTGGCCCAGGATCCATGAAGTTGCCACTTTCTCAATCGTCTGATTGCTACAGACATGGCCAGGGCTCTCACCACTCTCTCCCTTGTCCCTCTTCCTTTTACCCCACAGCCGTTCTCTGACATACTTGACATCGGCTTATGTGTTTGTTGTTTTTTCCCCGAAGGAAAAATGTTAAGCTGTATCAGGGAGTCAGTCTTATCATCCAACTGTTTACAAAATCTATTTGAATATAAATAATTGCTATAGTTTGTCATTTTCTTTATTGCCTAGTTATCTAGGAAGAAAAAAATACTAGCGTGAATCAGGCAATGCCTCCTTCCTTGGTGTGAAGAGGGCAATTCCTCTTCCACAACCATGGAGCCAAGTAAATGTGATGGGCGCTCTCCCTCCATTGATAAAATAAAGAAGTCCCCATGTACCTAATGCACCCATCTTCTGACCAAATAATGACACACAGCACATTGCAACACACTTACGAGTAGCTGCAAGGTTTACCAATATCTCTATTCTGTATTCTACTTTATATTTTGCCACTCATGTGAAGTCAATGATAAGATTTGGCTCTGTGTCCCCACCCAAATCTTATCTGGAATTGTAATCCCCAGTTCATCTGTCCATGAACAGACCTGGTGGGAGGCGACTGGATCATGGGGGGCAGTTTCCCCCATGCTGTTCCAGTGATAGTAAGGGAGATCTCACGAGATCCGATGGTTTTAAAAGTGGCAGTTTCCCCTGTGCGCTCTCTCTCTCCTGCCGCCTTGTGAAGAAGGTGTCTGCTTCCCTTTTGCCTTCTGCCATGATTGCAAGTTTCCTGAGACCTCCCAAGCCTCATGGGGAACTGTGAATCAATTAAATCTTTTTTCTTCATAAATTACTACCTGTGGGCCGGTAGTATCTTTATAGCAGTGTGAAAACAGACTAATACAGAAAATTGGTACCAGGAGTGGCATACTGCTATGAAGATAACCTGGAAATGTGGAAGCAACTTTAGAACTGGGTAACAGGCAGAGTTGGAACAGATTGGAGGGCTCAGAGTAAGACAGGAAGATGTGGGAAAGTTTGGAACTTCCTAGAGACTTGTTGAATGGTTTTGACCAACATGCTGACAGTCGTATCGACAATGAAGTTCAGGCTGAGGTGGTCTCAGATGGAGATGAGGAACCTAATGGGAACTGGAGCAAAGGTCACTCTCACTATGCTTTAGTAAAGAGACTGGTGGCATTTTCCCCCTGCCCTAGAGATCTGTGGAACTTTGAAATTGAGAGAGATAATTTAAGGTATCTGGCAGAGGAAATTTCTAAGCAGCAAAGCATCGAGATGCGACCTGGCTTTTCCTGAAAGCACACAGTTACATGCATTCACAAAGAGACGATATGAAATTGAAACTTATGTTTTAAAAAAAAAAGCAGAGATAAAAGTTTAGAAAATTTGCAGCCTGACCATGTAGTAAAAAAGAAAAAACCCATTTTCTGGGGAGAAATTCAAGCCCGCTGCAGAAATTTGCATAAATAACAAGAAGCCGAATGTTAATCAGTAAGACAATGGGGGAAAATGTCTCCAGGGCATTTCAGAGATCTTCAAGGCAACTCCTCCCATCACAGGCCTGGAGGTGTAGAAGGAAAAAATGGTTTTGTGGGCCAGGGCCAGGCCCAGGCCTCAGCTGCTCTGTGCAGCCTTGGGACATGGCACCCTGGGTTCCAGCTGCTACAGCTGTAGCTAAAAGAGGCCAAGGTACAGCTCAGGCCATTGCTTCAGAGGGTGCAAGCCCTAAGCCTTGGCACCTTCCACGTGGTATTGGGCCTGTGGGTGCGCATAAGGCAAGAGTTAAGCTTAGGAAGCCTCCACCTCGATTTCAGAGGATGTATGGAATTGCTTGAATGTCCAGGCAGAAGTCTGCTGCAGGCCAGAGCCTTCATGGAGAACCTTCATGGGCAGTGTGGAAGGGAAAGGTGGGATTAGAGCCCCCACACTGAGTCCCCACTGGGGCACTGCCTAGTGGAGCTGTGAGAAGAGGGCCACTGTCCTGCAGACCACAGAAAGGTAGATCCACCAACAGCTTGCACTGGGCACCTGAAAAAGCTGCAGGCGCTCAATGCCAGCCTATGAAAGCAGCTGCAGCGGCTGTACCCTACAGAGCCACAGAGGCAGAGCTGCCCAAGGCCGTGAGAGCCTACCCCTTGCATCACCATGCCCAGGATTTGAGACATGGAATCAAAAGTGATTTTGGAGCTTTAAGATGTAATGACTGCCTGGCCAGATTTCAGACTGGCATGGGGCCTCTGGCCCCCTTGTTTTGGCCAAGTTCTCCCATTTGAAATGGGAATATTTTCTCAATGCCTGTACCCCCAGTATATCTTAGAAGTAACTAACTGGCTTGTGATTTTACAGGCTCTTCGGTGGAAGGGACTTGTCTTGTCTCAGATGAGACTATGGACTTGGACTTTTGGGTTAATGCTGGAATGAGTTAAGACTCTGGGGGGCTGTTGGAGAGCATGATTGGTTTTGAAATGTGGAAAGGACACGATATCTGGGAGACGCTGGGGTGGAATTACATGGGTTAGCTCTGCATCCCCACCCAAATCCTCATGTCAAATTGTAATCTTCACATGTTGAGGGACAACAGACCCAGTAGGAGGTGACTGGATCATGGGGGCAGTTTCCCCCAGGCTGTTCTCATGATATTGAGATGTTCTCATGAGATCTGATGGTTTAAAAGTGGCAGTTTCTCTTGCATGTGCTCTCTCTCCTGCCGCCTTGTGAAGAAGGTGCCTGCTTCCCCTTCACCTTCAGCCATAATTGTGAGTTTCCTGAGGCCTCCCCAGCCATGCAGAATTGATTCAATTAAACCTCTTTTGTTGATGGATTACTCAGTCTCAGGTAGTATCATTACAGCAGTGTGAAAATGAACTAATACATTAACTCAATTATCTTCATGTAACAGATTAAGAACTGAGGTTTAAGAGGGATGCACAATTTGCCCAAAGTCCCTGGGTAATAAGTGGCAAATTCAGAACTTAAACCTAAGTCTCTCAACTTATGAACC